>NC_000012.12:124682768-124984392 GCF_000001405.40 Homo sapiens | reverse complement strand
TCCGGCTAACTTTGTTATTTTTAATAGAGACAGGGTTTCTCCATGTTGGTCAGGCTGGTCTTGAACTCCCAACCTGAAGTGACCCACCTGCCTCGGCCTCCCCGAGTGCAGGGATTATAGGCGTGAGCCACTGCGCCCAGCCTTAAAATTTTATTTTAAACATGCTCCTCTGCCATCTGAGCTTTTTGTACATTAGTATTTGGATCTGTAGCAGTGACTGTCATCCGGAACAGTTTTGCGCGCCGCCCCCCGCTGCCCCAGGGACATTTGGCAGTGTCTTGAGACATTTTGGGCTGTGACAACTTGGGAGTGCTGCTGGCATCTGGCGGGTGGAGCCATGGGATGCTGTTAACAGCCTATAATGCACAGAAAAACAAAAACTTATTTGGCCCTAAATGTCAATAGTGCTGAGATTGAGGAACCCTGACCTGGAGCCTTCATGAGAATCAAGTTTGACTTTTGGTGAGGCCACTGCACGTGGGAGCTGTGTCTTCACATCAGGAGGCTTGAGGGTCTCTCTCCAGCAGCCGTGGATGGGCAGTCCCCAGAGCCTTGGTAGGGGGAAGACTTACTCACCTGTGAGCGTGTTCTTTTTTTTTTTTTTTTTGGAGACAAGGTCTTGCTCTGTTGCCCAGGCTGGAGTGCAGTGGTATGATCTCAGCTCACTGCAACCTCTGCCTCCCAGGTTCAAGCCATTGTCCTGCCTCAGCCTCCCGGGTAGCTGGTACCACAAGCATGCGCCACCATGCCCGGCTAATTTTTGTATTTTTAGTAGAGACATGGTTTCACCATGTTGGTTAGGTTGGTCTTGAACTCCTGACCTCAGGTGATCCACCCGCCTCGGCCTCCTAAAGTGCTGAGATTGCAGGCGTGAGCCACTGTGCCTGGTCAGTGTGTCCTTTTTAAATCCTATTTAGGGTGCTTTCCCGCTGTGCTATACCTTGTTCTGTGTGTGTGTGTGTGTGTGTGTGTGTAATACACACATAGAAGTGTGTAGGCTGGGCGCGGTGGCTCACGCTTGTAATCCCAGAACTTTGGGAGGCCGAGGCGGGCAGATCATGAGGTCAGGAGATCGAGACCACGGTGAAACCCCGTCTCTACTAAAAATACAAAAAATTAGCCAGGCATGGTGGCGGGCGCCTGTAGTCCCAGCTACTTGGAGAGGCTGAGGCAGGAGAATGGCGTGAACCCAGGAGGCAGAGCTTGCAGTGAGCCAAGATCGCACCACTGCACTCCAGCCTGGGTGACAGAGCGACACTCTGTCTCAAAAGAAGTGTGTATAAAACCTATATGTACAGTTACAAGAACAATAAAGTAAAAACTCACGAAACCCTCACCCAACTAAAAGAAGCCAACTGGGTACACCCCCTGCACACAGCATTGCTCAGGGTAGCTCGGGGACCAATTCACATCAGACACACAAAGCCGCCTCCTTCCTCAGAGCAGCTAGGGAGCACTGCTGTACATGACTGAACTGTGCTTTATTCATCTCCTGTTGATGGACATCTGGTGGGCCATAATCTTCTACTGTGATACCCTGCTGCAGAGAACCTCATTTATACAACCCCAGATTCTGTAAAAGGGGTTAAAAAAGCCAGCTTGCTGTGTCTGTTGATGGAAGAACACCATGCACCAGTAGAATTGCAATTTGACCGCCGATTTTAAAGACTCCAGGTGTTAATGATGCTGAAATTTTATTACAGTCTCACTTCCCTTCTTAAGAGAGGGTCGTGATGGCAAATGCATAATACACTCGTTTCCTTTCCCAGCGAGCAGAGATGCTACAGAAGCTGAGTGAAGTCCAGGCTTCCGAAGCTGAGATGAGACTCTTTTATACCACTTCCAAGCTAGGCACTGGGAACCGCATGTATCACACCAAAGAGTGAGTTGGCCAGTCCTTTGCTAACCCTGCCCTCCCTCCAGGGCCCCCTAGGGAGGGCGCACAGGTTATGGGGTCCTCTGGGGGTGGAACATTTGAGAAAATACCTTTATGGTGGCCTGAGTGGCTGAAAATTCATTGTCATCCTAAATGCCTCTAGTGGGTAAAGGCCACAGATGCTGCTGAACCTTCTGCGACACACAGGACAGCAAAGTTTCTCGCTCCAGTGATGTCGGTGTTTTCCTGTGGTGTAGAGTCCCTTGTTACAGCTCTTCCAGCTTTTGTGCAGCTGATTAGGCCAGAAATTGCCATTAGGTGGTCAAGGGCTGGATTTGGCCCATCAGCGGGTTTGGTTTGGTTTGTGTCGTGTTTTTTTTTGTTTTTTTTTTTTGAGACAGAGTCTTGCTTTGTCACCCAGGCTGGAGTGCAATGGCGTGATCTCAGCTTACCGCAACCTCCACCTCCCAGGTTCAAGCGATTCTCCTGCCTCAGCCTCCCAAGTAGCTGGGATTACAGGCATGCACCACCAAGCCCGGCTAATTTTGTATTTTTAGTAGAGACGGGGTTTCTCCATGTTGGTCAGGCTGGTCTCGAACTCCCAACCTTGGGTGATCTGCCCGCCTCGGCCTCCCAAAGTGCTGGGATTACAGGCGTGAGCCACCGCGCCCGACTGGTTTGTGTCGTTTTTTAAGGCATGAGTGCTGTTTGCCAATATGTTAGCTTCCTGGCGCTGCCATAACAAATTACTGCAAACAGCGGTGGCTTAGAACAACCAAGCCAGAAGGGTGCCGTGGCTCATACCTGTAATCCTAGCACTTTGGGAGGCCGAGGCGGGTGGATCACCTGAGGTCAGGAGTTTGAGACTAGCATGGCCAACATGGTGAAACCCTGTCTCCACTAAAAATACAAAAATTAGCTGGGCATGGTGGCTCATGCCTGTGGTCTCAGCTACTCTGGCGGCTGAGGTGGGAGGATCACCTGAGCCTGGGAGGTTGAAGCTACAGTGAGCCGTGATTGCACCACTGCACTCCGTCCTGGGCGACAAGGTGAATTCATGTTCCCACCTAGTCTCGACTAGTTGGACGATCCGGCCACACCAGCAGTGTCCCCACCAAGCTGCTGACCCTTAAATGGCCTGTGTGCCCCTCCCACCCAGTCCCACCCCACTCTGTGGTCTCCTCAGCCTGTGCTGCTCATTTACATGAGGCCTGACTGGTGCCTGTGAGCACTGTCAGTTAGTGACTGTTTATCGAGTGCAGAGACTGTCCCAGGCTCTCTGCTAGGCCCTGGGGATAGAGCAGTGCACAGAAATAAAGTCCTTTCTCTTAAGGAGCTTCCCAGTGTCATGGCGGGAGATGTAATCGTGGGAAGTCATCAGGCGAGTGCATCTGTGTCCCACGCTGGGAAGCACTGAGCAGAAAATGAAGCAGGGAAGAGCGAGGTGGAGGGAGAAGGGTGAGATGTGGGGTCTGTGTGTGGTCAGGGAGTCTCCCTGACAGCTAGTGCTTAAGCAGAGGCTTAAGTGGAGTGAGAGGAGGTATCTGCAGGAAGGGCATTTCAGGGAGTGGAACAGCAGGTGCAAAGTCCCTGAGGCAGAAAGGGGTATGGCCTTGGAGTCCTGACCTCTGGGATTGAGGTGGGGCCTCTGTGCCTGAAGTCTCTGCTATCTCAACAGGAAGGCTGACGAGGTGGTAGCCCCGGGCCAGGAGAAGATCAGTAGCCTCAGCGGTGCCCACCGGAAGCGTCGCCGCTGGCCCTCAGCTGAGGAGGAGGAGGAGGAGGAGGAGGAGTCGGAATCGGAGCTGGAGGAGGAGTCGGAGCTGGACGAGGACCCAGCTGCTGAGCCGGCTGAGGCTGGTGTGGGGACCACCGTGGCACCTCTGCCGCCAGCTCCAGCACCCAGCAGTCAGCCCGTGCCGGCTGGGATGACTGTTCCTCCTCCTCCAGCTGCAGCCCCACCACTGCCCAGGGCCCTGGCTAAGCCCGCCGTCTTCATCCCCGTGAACCGCTCCCCGGAAATGCAGGTTCGCCACCCCGTGTTTGTGATTAAGAATCTAGGTTAGCGGGCAAGGGGCGCACAGAGGGCGTCCTGGTGAAGTGGGGCAAGGGCATCCCTTCTCTGTGCCTCCATGTCCCCATCTGGGAAAGGGGAGAGTGACTGCGCCTCCCTTGAGGCTGTGGCAGGGATTGGTGCGCGAGGAGGATCACAGTGCAGGGCGGGTGTCTGGCGGCACGCCTGGCAGGCTCGGGGCCCTGGAGGTCGGCGGCAGTAGCTTCATCGCCACTGCCCTCTGACCAGCGGGCCTGGCCTGGGCTGCCCCGATCCAGACAAGAGTTTGGGCTGTGAATCAGTTGACCCGAAATCAAGTGCTGATTCCCCTGCTCTCCAGCTCACTTCCCGCGCATCTGTAAAATGGGAATATTCCGGCTACTGAAGGGGCTCCCCCTCTCTGTGCCTGTTTCCTTCCTGGTACAATGAGTGTCTCACTGGGTTGTGATGACAATGAAAGGATTTGGGGCATGGAAAGCCCACAGCCCACGTAGGAACTCTGGATCCCTAGAGGAGTAATGTTGGCCGTTGAATGGAATTGGGATCCTGCTTCTAAGTACATTTTTCTGCTTTTATAAGTCTTCATCAGGGTAAGCTGACCGCTCTAGCAAATGACCCCAAAGTGCCAGTGGCTTCACACCACAAACGTTTGCTTCTAGGTGATGTCATCACCCAGTGCCATCTGGTGGCAAGGAGGGTGTGGGGTTCTGCTCCGCGCGGTCACTCAGGGGCTTGGCCTCCTCCATCCCGTGTCCCTGCCATCCCTTGGGACTTCAGTTCCTGCTTTTCTTTGTGAATTTTTCCCTATTCGTATCCTGTCCATATTCCTAAGCAATACATACCGTAGGTTTGCCTGTATTTAAAAGTGGCATCATGTCCTTTACGTTATTCCAGTTTGCTTTTTTGTTACTCAGCATTATATCTTGGGATACATCCATGTTGATGCAGGCAGCTGAGGCTCATTTACTTTTTCCCCACTGCTATCGAGTATTCACGGTGTGAATATAGCGCAGGATGAGTATTCTGTTGCTGGATAGTTGGTTGTTTTAGCTTTTTGCTGTTATCTTCACTGCTGTTTTTGTTGTTTGTTCGTTTGAAACAGGGTCTCACTCTGTCACCCAGGCTAAAGTGCAGAGGTTTGATCTCAGCTGACTGCAACCTCCGCCTCCGAGGCTCAAGTGACCCTCCTGCCTCACCCTCCCAAAGAGCCTGGGACTGTGGGCACACGCTACTACGCTTGGCTAACTTTGTATTTTTTTTGTAGAGACGGGGTTTTGCCATGTTGCCCAGGCTGGTCTTGAACTCCCAAGCTCAGGCAACTCCCAAACTCAGGCAATCTGCCCACTTTGGCCTCCTAAAGTGCTGGGATTACAGGCATGAGCACATGACTAGCCTTCACTGCTTTTTTAAACGTTCTTGTCCCTCTCCTATGAGCGCATGTGCAGAAGTTTCTCTTGGGCAGTGTTTGCAAATGACGTGATAGCCATCTTTGGGTCATGAATTGAGTAGCTTTTAATCTTTTTTTTTTTTTTGAGACAGTGTCTTGTTCTGTTACCCAGGCTGGAGTGCAGTGGTGTGATCACAGTTCACTGCAGCCTCTACCTCCTGGGCTCAAGCGGTCCTCCCACCTCAGCCTCCTGAGTAGCTGGCACTACAGATATGTGCCACCATGCCTGGCTAACTTTTTTATTTTTATTTTTTTGTAGAGACAGAGTCTGGCTATGTTGCCCAGGCTGGTCTTGAATTCCTGACCTCAAGCAGTCCTCTGCCTTGGCCTCTCAAGTCGCTGGGATTACAGGCGTGAGCCATCATGCCTGGCCTCATATTTTTAAAAAAAACAAATGGAGGCCAGGCACGATGGCTCACGCCTGTAATCCCAACACTTTGGGAGGCCGAGGCGGGTGGATCACCTGAGGTCAGGAGTTTGACACCAGCCTGGCCAACGTGGTGAAACCCCGTCTCTACTGAAAATACAAAAATTAGCCAGGCATGGTGGTGGGTGCCTGTAATCCCAGCTACTCAGGAGGCTGAGGCAGGAGAATCACTTGAACCCAGGAGGTGGAGGTTGCAGTGAGCCAAGATCACACTATTGCACTCCAGCCTGGACAACAAGAGTGAAACTCTGTCTCAAAAAGTAAATAAATACAACAAGTGGAATAGAATAGAATAGAAATAGAACAAAAATTAAGAATATGAGCTTGTTGGCCAGGCATGGTGGCTCATGCCTGTAATCCCAGCACTTTGGGAGGCCGAGGTGGGCAGATCACCTGAGGTCAGGAGTTCAAGACCAGCCTGGCCAACCTGGTGAAACCACATTTCCACTAAAAATACAAAAATTAGCTGGGCGTGGTGGCATGTGCCTGTAATCCCAGCTACTCAGGAGGCTGAGGCGGGAGAATCGCTTGAACCCGGGAGGCAGAGGTTGCAGTGAGCCGAGATCGCGCCATTGCATACACCTTAGGGTGAGCCATGTTTCACAGAACTGTTCCTTCCATATACGATACATATATGTGCCTGTGTGTGTACTGAGTCATGATATAAAATGTGTTTCTTTCCATGAGTCACAGGAAAAAATGTAGAAAGCCCCTGCTCTGGAATATGTACCTAGGAGAGGAACTGCAGGGCCACACATCTTAACTTTGAGAAAATTTGCACCAGATTATTTATCGAAGTGGCTGGGCCGTTAATTGAGACTCCTGCCAGCAACAGCCGAGGGTTCCCGTATCTCTGAGAGACTGCTCTGCCCCAACCAAGCTGTGCCTGGGGATGTCAGTCCTGGTGTCCTGAAGGATGTGATCCCTGTCTCTGTCTCTCCTGGACCATGGCTCCTGGTCCCCTCCCCAGCTGTCAGGGCCTCTGTTCCCCAGCAGGCACATCTGTTCAGCACCCATGTGTCAGCTGCCACCTTCCTGGAGGTCCCATCACTGTCTATAGTCTTGCTGCTCCCTAAGTGCTGACTTCCTCTCCTTCCAGGAGGAACGGCTGAAGCTCCCAATTCTCTCCGAAGAACAAGTAATCATGGAGGCTGTGGCCGAGCACCCCATCGTCATCGTGTGTGGTGAGACCGGCAGCGGGAAGACCACACAGGTGCCTCAGTTTCTCTATGAAGCAGGCTTCAGCAGGTAGGGGCTGGACACAGGGTTCTCTCTGGGTCCCTCAGTGACACTGGAGATGCCCTGAAAGGTCGATAAGAGCCTGGGCTCCCCAGGATCCAATCCTGGATCTGCCCTGTGCATGCTGTGTGACTTCAGACAAGCTACTTAACCTCTCTGGGCCCCAGCTGTGAGATGGGAATAATAGCGCCTACTTCACAAGGTTGTCGTGTGGATTAAGTGAGTGAACTTGCGTAGCACACTTAATTCCTGGCACGTAGAGCTATGTGCTTACTATTTTCTTTTTTCCTTTTTTTTTTTTTTTTGAGACAGCGTCTCGCTGTGTCACCCCGGCTGGAGTACAGTGGTGTGATATTGGCTCACTGCAACTCCGCCTCCCGGGTTCAAGTGATTCTCCTGCCTCAGCCTCCTCAACAGCTGGGATTACAGGCGCCCGCCACCACACCCAGCTAATTTTTGTATTTTTAGTAGAGACAGGGTTTCTTTTTTTTTTCTTTTTTCTTTTTATTATTATTATTTTTGAGACGGAGCCTCACTCTGTTGCCCAGGCTGGAGTGTAGTGGCGCGATCTCGGCTCACTGCAAGCTGCGCCTCCCGGGTTCACGCCATTCTCCTGCCTCAGCCTCCCAAGTAGCTGGGACTACAGGCGCCCACCACCACGCCCAGCTAATTTTTTTGTATTTTTAGTAGAGACGGGGTTTCACCATGTTAGCCGGGATGGTCTCGATCTCCTGACCTCGTGATCCGCCTGCCTCGGCCTCCCAAAGTGCTGGGATTACAGGCATGAGCCACTGCACCCGGCCAAGAGACAGAGTTTCACCGTGTTGGTCAGGCTGGTCTTGAACTCCTGACCTCATGTGATCCACCCACCTCGACCTCCCAAAGTGCTGGGATTACAGGCGTGAGCCACCCCGCCCAGCCTGCGCTTACCATTTTCACTGTGTAGCCTGCTATTGGCACTTTTGACCCATGTGTGTTGGGGTCCCCAAGACCATGCTCAGGTTCGGTGATTGACCGGGGACTCCCAGGACTCAGCATGTTATCCTGCACATGGCTATGGTATATTACAGCGAAGGACGCGATCAGCAGAGGGCAGTGGTACCTGGGGTGTTCTGGGGAAACCCAGCTCCAGCTTCCAGAGTCCCCTCCCGGTGGACTCACACAGGACGCACTGGATTCTCCAGTAGCCACCTGTGGCCACACAGGAACTATCCTCCACCAGGGAAGCTAGTTAGAGATTCAGGGTCCACGGCTGTTACTGGGGTCGCCTAAGCCCACCCTGCCTGGCAGGAACGAAATCCTAGACGCCTAAAAGGAAAGCAGGTGTCCGGCATAAACCACCCTGTTTGCACAAACAGGCTGGGCACAGTGGGCCCCGCACTTACAGGGAATGGAAGGAGCTCTCCTGTTGTACAGGTTCAGGCACCCAGCGAGGGCCAGCCCCGTCAGCAGCCTTTCGAGGGAGAGCAGCTGCAGGTCTGTGGTGTTAATGTTCCCACAGAGCTGGGACCAGCCACCCATCGGCTTGGCGGGTTCCTGTGTCTGGAGGAGCTTGTGCTTGACTGGGGCAAACAGAGCTCCCAGCCTGGTTCCCCCAGGCCCCGTTCCTTCTAGCGGCTGCCTGGTGTCCGCTGCATGGTGAATGTCGAACCGTTTTCTATGTGTTGGCCTTTGGGCTGTTCCGTTTGCTGTTAAAAGTAGTGCAACCTGGCACTGTTTCCCACCGCCCCTGGGTGAGCGCCAGGTCAGTATGGCAAATCTTGCTGTGGAACTGCATGAGGCTTTGGCATGAACAGGTGGGGCCGCGCACTGTTGATGGCCATGTTCTTCCTCCCCCAGTGAAGACAGCATCATCGGTGTCACGGAGCCCCGCCGAGTGGCCGCCGTGGCCATGTCCCAGCGAGTGGCCAAGGAGATGAATCTGTCCCAGCGGTGAGGGCTCTACTTCCCTGGGGCGGACTATGGGGTGGTCCTGTGGCCTTGCCCAGATGTGGGAAGCCCAGGAGGAGGTGAGCAGCATCTGTGCCGAGGGTGCTGGGTGGAGTGTCACCTCTGCATGTAGCACTGGGAATCATTGTGTGAGAGAACTTTCCAGGACCTGCCCAAGCAGGGGGCCTCCAAGCAAGCTTACGTCCTGCACAGTGTGCCGAGGGGACAGAGTGGCCCATCCAGGGGCTCGAGAACAGAGCAGGGGGCCAGATGCAGGCAGTCACGGAGCTAGTACCTAGCATTGCCGGGTTAATCTAAAACTCAAGGTTCTAAAGTACAAAATCTTGGCCGGGTGTGGTGGCTCACGCCTGTAATTCCAGCGCTTTGGGAGGCCAAGGCGGGCAGATCACCTGAGGTCTGGAATTCGAGACCAACCTGACCAACATGGAGAAACCCTGTCTCTACTAAAAATACAAGATGAGCCAGGTGTGGTGGCACATGCCTGTAATCCCAGCTACTCGGGAGGTTAAGGCAGGAGAATCACTTGAACCCGGGAGGCAGAGGTTGCCGTAAGCCAAGATCGCACCATTGCACTCCAGCATGGGCAACAAGAGTGAAACTCTGTCTCAAAAAAAAAAAAAAATCTTCAGGCGGTAAGTCTGTAGGACTTGCTTTGGAAAGCAGCCTTGAACAGGCAGATATAGCACTTGCTTTACAATGGCTGGGAGCATATGTTTATAATGCAGAGGCCTGTGTCTAACATGTCCAGCATGGTCTAAAATCCAGAAGGCACAAAAGAGCACAGAGTGAGAGCCTGCCTCATCTGCCCACTCAGCAGATGTTACTAGGCAGCATCTAGTGTGCCAGGCCCATCCTGGGCTCTCAGGACGTGGTGGTGGACCAGACAGAGCCACCGGCCCCCGGGTCAGCATGCCAGTTGGGGGACTTGTTGTCTTTGTACGTTAGGCTCGGAGGACGCTAAGGCAGGGATGGAGTACTGGGGGCCCCTTCTCACCCAATGCCCTGCCTCCTCTCCAGGAGCAGCCACCACTGACCATCTCCTGCACGTCCTCCTGGACAATTCTGTGCATAGTTGGCATGCGTCTAGGAAAAGCTGCCTCATTCTCTTTTTAACTTGTTAAATATTATAAAAATTTGGGGACTGGGTGGCCGGGTGCGGTGGCTCACGCCTGTAATCCCAGCACTTTGGGAGGCCGAGGCAGGTGGATCATGAGGTCAGGAGATCGAGACCATCCTGGCTAACACGGTGAAACCCCATCTCTTGAAAAAAATACAAAAAATTAGCCGTGCGCAGTGGCGGGTGCCTGTAATGCCAGCTACTCGGGAGGCTGAGGCAGGAGAATGGCGTGAACCCAGGAGGCAGAGCTTGCAGTGAGCCGAGATTGAGATAGCACCACTGCAGTCTGGCCTGGGCGAAAGAGCGAGACTCCGTCTCAGAAAAAAAAAAAAAAATTTGGGGACTGGGCACGGCGGCTCACGCCTGTAATCCCAGGACTTTGGGAGGCCGAGGCAGGTGGATCACCAGAGGTTGGGAGTTTGTGACTAGCCTGACAAACATGAAGAAAACCCATCTCTACTAAAAATACAAAAAAATTAGCTGGGTGTGGTGGCACATGCCTGTAATCCAGCTATTCAGGAGGCTGAGGCAGAAGAATCCCTTGAACCCGAGAGGCGGAGGTTGCCATGAGCCGAGATCACGCCATTGCACTTCAGCCTGGGCAACAAGAGTGAGACTCCATCTCAAAAAAAAAAAAAAAAAAAAGCGTTGGGGGGGGCGCATATACATAAGTAGAAAGGATAGTATAATGAGCCCCCAGGTACCCAAGACCCAGTTGTAATAATTGTCAACTCTTGCCCTAGCCTGTTGGATCTGTACTCTCCTCCTGGCCCCCCTCCCCCCCACTGTTTAGAAGCAAATCTTAGGTATCTTATTTTATCCTCAATATTTTGCTGTACAGATCTGAGAGATAAGAACTAATTTTTTTTTTTTCTTTTTTGAGACGGAGTTTCACTTTGTCACCCAGGCTGGAGTTCAGTGGTGCGATCTTGGCTCACTGCAACCTTTGCCTCCTGGGTTCAAACGATTCTCCTGCCTCAGCCTCCCGAATAGCTGGAATTGCAGGTGCCCGGCTAATTTTTGTATTTAGTAGAGATGGGGTTTCACCATGTTGGCCAGGCTGGTCTTGAACTCCTCACCTCAGGTGATCCACCCACCTCGGCCTCCCAAAGTGTTGGGATTACAGGCGTGAGCCATTTTTTGTTTTTTGAGATGGCTCTATTGCCCAGGCTGGAGTGCAGTGGTGCCATCTTTGCTCAGTGCAGCCTCAACCTCTTGGGCACAAGTAATTCTCCCACCTCAGCCTCCTGAGTAGCTGGGACTACAGGTGCACACCACCACACCAGATTAATTTTTGAATTAAGATAAGGACTTTTTGTGAAACACATACAGCTGCAGTACCCCGATGATAGTTGCCAAGTCTGTGAAGTCTCTGGAACACACTCCAGCCCATGTGCAGGTCTCCCCGGTGTCTCCTGGCATAGTCACCATCCGAGGAGGGCTCTGGCCGAGGTGTTCAGGGCCTGGCTCCTCAGTTGCCCTTAACAGCTCCTTCCCTTCCCTTCAGAAACCAGGATTTTGGAGGGGGAGAGTGGACTGGGGAGATGTCTGGGACTTGTTTCAGGTTGCCAGCGGGCCCTGCCCTCAAGCCGCCTGCCTGCTCCACGGCCTGCCTTGTAGTGGCCCCGTGGCGACAGCCCCAGCCAGGCACGGCTCTGCCCTAACCCGAACTCTGCCCATACAGGGTCGTCTCCTACCAGATCCGGTATGAAGGAAACGTGACAGAGGAGACCAGAATCAAGTTCATGACGGATGGTGTGCTGCTTAAAGAAATCCAGAAGGTTGGTTGTGGATCCTGGCTCACAGAGCAAGGCCAGTGGGCATGGGGGCGGGATGCTAGGATGTCACCTGGGATATGAGCAGCCGGCAAGCCACCTGTTGATCCAGCACTCCCACGGTGCTGCTGTGTGACTTTGGGTGAGTTACTTAACCTCTCCAAGCTCAGTTTCTTGATGAGTATGTTGGTGCATTCCTTAGAGAATCATTTTGAAGCGGAAGTTGTAGAGTGCATGCTGACAGCTTAGCACAGTGGCCCGTACCTAGAAGGTGCTCGTGAAATGTGAACTTGTATTTTTATTGTGACTGACTCACAGAGTTCACGCCTTGCCGGGGGTGTACTGAAAGCCTGTGGTGTGCAGGCTCTGCCCTGCGGCGGGTCCAGACACAGCCCCCTCTTGGGAGCTTCGAGTCCAGTTGCGTTTGGTGAGGGGCAGCACCAGACTCGGAGTGGGGTACCAGCCTCAGGCTGAGGGAAAGGGGAGGGGCCGCTGGGGCTTGCCCTTGAGCGTCTTCACGGTCCCTGGCCTCAGAAGCTGCGTCCCAAGGACTTTCCATTTGTAAATCGGAACCCCAGCTGCTGCCTCCCTAGTCAGCCCACTTGGGCCTTGGGGAAGCACCCCATGCTTCCTAGGGAGCCGGCCATTCGGTCAAGTGGGTGGCACGCGTGTCCAGAGAGCATGCAGGGCCCGGGTGGGGGACTGCTGTCTGGTGAAGAAGCTGTGCTCCGTGCTGGCTGTGACGTCCCCTTGGGCAGGGCCAATCTCCCAGGGGGATGGCAAAGGTGATTCCAGCCCTCCTGGCTTTGAAGCCACTGGGACTCCTGGGGGTGGCAGTGGATGCAGTTTGGGTCTGGGTGGCCCCTGTCTGTGTGGCACCTGCTGTCCAACTGCCCACGGCCCCACCCCACATCTCATGTCCATTTCCCACCTGCCCTCCCACTCTGCGGGCATCTGAGTTGAGCAGCTCACCTCTGATGAAGAGCAGCTGCCCTTCCTCTAACACTGTCTCCTCAAGTGGGAGTTCTGGGACGTGAAGCGGCCCTTGGGGCTTAGGCTGGAAGGGTGGGCCTCACCCCGGACCTCCCCCCAGGACTTCCTGCTGCTGCGGTACAAGGTGGTGATCATCGACGAGGCCCACGAGAGGAGCGTGTACACGGACATCCTCATCGGCCTCCTGTCCCGCATTGTGACTCTCCGGGCTAAGGTAGCGCAGGAGGCGGGTGCTGGGGAGCCCCGAGCCCTAGGCCCCCCCCAGCTCTGTCAGAGGCTTGGGCTTCCTTCACCTGTTCCCCGTTGTACCCTGGGCTGCTGCCATGAGCAGGTACCCCGAGCACAAGGTCTCCCTGGGCCTAGGTCTAGGCCTAGTGCCAGGGCTGTGAATCTTGGAACAGCCCCTGTGTGATCCCCTCCCCACCGCCCCGGTGCCAGCCTCATAAACTGGTGTCCTTCTCCCCATCCAAAGCAAGAGGCTCAGGAGAAGTGTTGATGCCTTGCCAGGCGCAATGGGGCTGGTTGATGAGGCCTCTGGGCCTCTGGGATCAGCAGAGCAGGTGGGCCTGCCCAGCCAAGGGCCAGGCTCCCGGAGCTCTGAGAGGGGCTCCCCAGGGCCTCTTTCTCCATCTCCCTGCCCCAGCCTGACACAGGGGCCTGCTGAGTTGGTGGGTGCCACCCTGGGGCGCGGCTTCATGCAGTAGGCCTGTCTCACCCTCCCGGCGGGGAGAGGGGCCTGCGCTCCACATGTGCCATGAGCCTGGCCACATTCAAGGCCCTGAAAATCAACAGTGAACAAGACGCTGTCTTGTTCTAACAGTTCCTGCCCTCCTGGGGCCTCCACTTCAGCAAGGGTGGCAGGCAGGACGCAGACTCAGAGTATGTGAGCCAGTGACAGACAAAGCCGGGGGCAGTGGAGGGAGGACACAGGGCTAGTGAGGGCTTCACCCGAAAAGTGACCTCTGAGCTCAAGTGGAAGGCTGAATGAGGGAGGGAGTGAGCGGCGTGCATTGCAGAGCGAGGAGAAGTCTGACTGGAGGAGAGCAATGCAAAGGTCCTGAGGCGGGCGTCTGCCTGGTGCCTTTTTTCTTTTGGTAACAAGCTTTATTGGGCTGTGATTCACATTTCATATCATTCATCTGTTCAAATGTACAATTCAGTGGTTTTTAGTCCGTTCACAGAGTGTGCAGCCATCACCACAGTTTTATATTTTGTCACTCATCAATCCAACAAGAAACCCTAGGCCGGGCACGGTGGCTCACGCCTGTAATCCCAGCACTGTGGGATGCTGAGGCGGGTGGATCACTTGAGGTCAGGAGTTCAAGACCAGCCTGGCCAACATGGTGAAACCCTGTCTCTACTAAAAAAACGAAAAATTAGCCAGGCCTGGTGGCGCACACCTGTAATCTCAACTACTCGGGAGGCTGAGGCAGGAGAATCACTTGAACCCAGCGGGTGGAGCTTGCAGTGAGCCGCGATCGCGCCACTGCACTCCAGCCTGGGTGAGAAAGCGAGACTTCATCTGAAAAACAAAAACAAAAAGAAACGCTGTGCCTTTTATGGTTTTTTGTGGTGGTGGTTTTTGTTTTTTTTTTTCGAGGCAGGGTCTCATTGTCACTGAGGCTGGAGTGCAGCGGTGCAATCACAGCTCACTGCAACCCCGACCTTCTGGGCTTAAGGAATCCTTTTGCCTCAGCCTCCCAAGAAGCTGGACCATGGTCACTCTGTGTGTAACCATTTGCAAATGATTTCCCCCAGCGGCTGCAGAATTCCATGGTACTTCCGCACCAGCAGTGTCAGAGCTTCCAGTTTCTCCACATCCTGCCAGCACTTGTCGTTTTCCATTTCTGTTATTCTAGACATCCCTGTGGGTGGACAGTGACACCTCACTGTGGCCTTGGTTTATGTCTTTGGGGGCCATCAGGAAGTCTAGAGTGGCCAAGCAGAGAGGGTGAGGTGGGGTCCGGAAGGCACGGGGGTGAGGCAGACAGGGACGGTCACTGTGGGGCAAGAGAGGGGCCTGTGCTGGGTGTCCTGCCTCCCACAGAGGTGCTTTGGCCACTCCTTAGCTTCTGGGTTTGGGGTTTCGTAGCAGCAAAGGCAGCAAGAGCTTGAAGCAGAGCTCACCATGAGGCCATTAGGCATTGCTGAGCGGCCTGGGGACCAGGGAGCTCCCGGGAGCTCTCTCCCACCCCCCACAGACCCCAGAGAATCAGGCAGCTCTTCCCTGAGCCCCCGGCACAGACACTCAGTCAATCTTGGTGTCAGGTGGGAGCTGGGTTGGGTGGGCCCCAGTCTCAGCCCACCTGCCTCATATTCTACCATCAAAGCCTGACTCTGAAAGACCCCCTGGAACAAGCCACCGCCCTGGGAGCGGCAGGTCCCACTATTGACTCACTTTCTCCAAGGAGCCTTTGGCATCCAGAAAGGGGCAGAGGGTGGGGGCTGGAAACGGGGTGGGCAGCAGGGCACCCCCATGCCGATTTCCCAGGCTTCAGACCCACCTGCGGTCCTGGGGCCACGGTCACTGAGCCTGTCCTTTTGCAGAGGAACCTGCCACTCAAGCTGCTCATCATGTCGGCCACGCTGCGGGTGGAGGACTTCACCCAGAACCCACGGCTCTTCGCCAAGCCGCCGCCGGTCATCAAGGTAACACAGGGTCCCATGTCCTCTGTGAGCTTGGATGGCACAAGGACGCCCTGGTGTCGGGAGCCCCCTGAGAGACCTCACTTGGTCACAGGGGGGATTGACAGCAGCTTGGAGGGGGTGTTAGAAACCTTGATTCGGAATAATGGGGAAAGGGAAGGCAGCCCTGGGCCGAAGCTCGTGTCCCCCCCACTCCCCATGCCTTCCTGGGCGTCCCACAGGTGGAATCCAGGCAGTTCCCAGTGACTGTGCATTTCAACAAGCGGACACCGCTGGAAGACTACAGTGGCGAGTGCTTCCGGAAGGTCTGCAAGATCCACCGGATGCTGCCCGCAGGTGAGGCCCTGGCCAGGTCAGGGGAAAGAAGCCTCCCTTCCTAAACCCTCGCTGAAAGCACGAGTGTGGGAGGGCCCATCTCCGAGTGGCTCAGAAAAGTCCCTTGACCCTGCCAGGCCTCGGCTTCCTCACTTATTCCAGAGTGTTCATGACACCTGTCTGGCCTTATTCCACTCCAAATACTATGAGGCTTCAGCAGCTACCAGATGGTGGAGCTTGCCATCTGTCCCCATCTGATAAGCAGAAAAACCCACAGGGCCCAGGCCAGTGCTGGCAGGTGACCATAGACACTGTAGGGGAACGGGCACATCCCCCCAAGAGTCACGGATACCCTTCACAGTTCTGCCTTGTCCCCATCATACCTGCTCCGTTACCCACCTCATGTTACTGAAATGGATGTGACCTTTCTGTGTGAATAGATTGTGATCGCTTCCAGCCAGACTTTTTTTTTTTGAGACGGAGTTTTACTCTTGTTGCCCAGGCTGGAGTGCAGTGGCAGATCTTGGCTCACTGCAACCTCCACCTCCCGGGTTCAAGTGATTCTCCTGCCTCAGCCTCCCAAGTAGCTGGGATTACAGGTCCCACACTGGTCGCACACTGCCACGCCTGGCTAATTTTTTGTATTTTAGTAGAGATGGGGTTTCATCATGTTGGCCGGGCTGGTCTCGAACTCCTGACCTCAGGTGAGCTGCCTGCCTCAGCCTCCCAAAGTGCTGGAATTACAAGTGTGAGCCACTGCACCCAGCCTAGCCAGAGACTCTTGTGTGCCGAATTTGGGCCCAAGGCTGGCTTTCTTCATGTTAGGGAGGCAAGGAGCCATGGGGGTGCTTCCCAACAAGCTTGACCTCGTCCTTCAAGGAAGCCGAGGTTGCTGCTTCGTGATGCTCTGTCCTTGCTCTGCTTATGGCCTTTCGGGGCTCCCATCCATTCTCTGGGAGACTGGGGCTGGCAGGAGGTGAGGCTGGAGCTTGGGCAGTGAGCCTTCCTGCAGCCTCAGGTCTCAGGGCAGCCGCGGCGCTGTCACTGTCGTGAGTGTGGTGTGCAGGGTTCCGTGTGAGCACGCTTCTCAGGGCTTTTGGGTCTGTTCCTGGGAGTGATGCTGCTGGGCTGTGCAGTCGCCGTGTTTGTTGAACTCCCTGGCGGCAGCTGCTTCAGTCTGGGCGTGCTGCCCCCTGCTCATCTATGTCTGTGTACTCCTGTCCTCCCCCATTATCCCTGGAACCTTGCCTCTCAGAGCATGGCTTGGCAGGTGCTTTTGCTAAGCAAATGTTTGTGAGTGACTGATGGATAACAGAGGGGCCCATTCTTTCCACAGGTGGCATCCTGGTGTTCCTGACGGGGCAGGCTGAGGTGCATGCGCTGTGCCGCAGGCTCAGGAAGGCTTTCCCACCCTCCAGAGCCCGGCCACAAGGTAAAGAGGACGCCCCGACCAGCACTCTGCCCTGAGCAGCTGGGCTTGGCCTCGCGCTCCCTGGCTGGGGTGCAGCTCCTGCCTCTGAGCTTCTCTCTGGAAGCATCAGCACCTTTGCCATCCCCCACCTCACCCCCGAATAAATGGCCACCACTGAGTGGCCATGCCTTGAACAACAAAGGGCAGTGTGCTGGCGACCACGCCGGCCACAGACGCCTTTCTCCCCAACCTGCCCCTCTCCCAGAAAAGGACGACGATCAGAAAGACTCGGTGGAGGAAATGCGGAAGTTTAAGAAGTCAAGGGCCAGGGCCAAGAAGGCGCGGGCTGAGGTACGTGGGGGGCTGGCAGGGACTCCTGGAGAGTAAGGCTGCGTTGTCCAGGATGGCAGCTACCAGCCCCATGTGGCTGCTTAGGTTTAAGTGTAATTGGAATAAAATGAAGTTAAAAATCCAGTTCCTGGTCAGGCACAGTGGCTCATGCCTGTAATTCCAGCACTTTGGGAGGCCAAGGTGGGAGGATCGCTTGAGGCCTAGAGTTTGAGACCAGCTTGGGCAACATGGTGAGACCATGTCTCTACAAAAAATTTTTTAGATTAATCCAGTGCAGTGGCGCATGCCTGTGGTCCCAGCTGCTCAGAGGCTGAGGTGGGAGAACCATCTGAGCCCAGGAGGTCAAGGCTGCAATGAGCTGTGATGGTCCCACTGCACTCTAGCCTGGGCAACAGAGTGAGACTCTGTCTCAGAAATGGAAAAGAAGGCCAGGCGTGGTGGCTACGCCTGTAATCCCAGCACTTTGGGAGACTGAGGCAGGTGGATCACCTGAGGTCAGGAGTTCAAGTCCAACCTGACCAACATGGCGAAACCCTGTCTCTACTAAAAATACAAAATTAGCCAGGCATGGTGGTGTGCACCTGTACTCCCAGCTACTCTGGGATGGCTGGGCTGGCAGGGGCTTTCCTCTAGCCTCTGCGTGAAGGCACCGTGGGTCTTGTGCTCCGTGACGGTAGCGTAAGCACTCAGCCGTCTCTGACTTGCCTGTTGCACTACCGATGTGTCAGGCAGCGATCCAGGTTCCTCACGTGTGTTCACACAACCCTCCCACCAGCCTGGGAGACAAGGTCTATGATAGTCCCCAATGTTTAGGTGGGGAAATTCTGGCAGGAAGAGAGAATTATGTGGCCTGCCCCGGGTTGCATGGCCCATGGGTGTGGACCGGGGCTTCCATGCGAGGGCACCTGTCTTCCTGCACGTGCCACGTCCTCACACCCAGGATCCCTGCAGCCCAGGTGTCTATGTCTTGTTCGCCGTAGGTGCTGCCCCAGATCAACTTGGATCATTACTCGGTGTTACCGGCAGGCGAAGGCGATGAGGACAGGGAGGCAGAAGTGGATGAGGAAGAGGGGGCCCTGGACTCCGACCTCGATCTGGACCTGGGGGATGGCGGGCAAGATGGAGGTGTGGCCCGAGCACCGATTCCTGCTCATGTTCATTATCTCTGCCCTGAGGATGTGCCCAGAGCCCTTGTGGGCCCCCCGGGGGCCGGGGTTCTAGCAGCTTTGTCCCCGATGCTTCCTGAGTTCTTGAAACTGCCTGGCACGAGGAGGCCTCAAACATTTGCCATGTTGAATGTAATGGGGGCTGCCAACCCCTTGCTGAGGGACGCAGGCCTTCAGAGCCTGGGGGTGTTGCCCAGCTCCGTGTGCTCGCAGGGGCCCCCTGAATGCAGGCAGACCCAGTGCCCTGCTGTGCCCAGCCAGGGGCTGAGTGGGGCAGCAGAGAGTACCCCAGTACGGGCTCAGCCTGACCCCACCACAATGCTGCCAGGACACGAGGAGTGGAGTCAGGCTCCCGGGATCCATGCCAGGGGTTTGGAGGAGGAGATTGTGCAGCACAGGGGTTCAGATCCGGTTCAGGGCAGCAGAGACAAGAGAGCCCCTGGGAACCTCTCAGCAGTTCCCCCAGGCTTGGCCTGGCTGGTCCCAAGGGGAGCCTCTGCAGCAGGGCAAAGAAAGGAGCTCTGGTGGAGCAGCCTGGGGGTGCAGGGCCGCTGTGGCCAGCTCCTGCCTGTGGGCATCTGTCCCGGCCTGGGTGCCAGTGACCTCTGCTTTCCCTCCAGGTGAGCAGCCGGATGCCTCCCTCCCGCTCCACGTGCTCCCGCTGTACTCTCTGCTGGCCCCAGAGAAGCAAGCACAGGTAACCGTGCTGGGCCGGTGCCCAGCTTTTGGGGCACTTTTAAGGGCATTACAGTGGGGTTGGTCAAGCCCTTGGTGGTCCTCTCCATCTGCTGTTTGATCAGCATCCCCAGAGTTTTGAGGAATATTGGGGTAGTTTTGGAGAATAGGGAACCCTCCCCCAAGGCACTGGGCCCCAGATGGGATGGCTTGTCCTTGCTACGTCTCCAGCACACCAGCCTGGCTGGCTTTGTCCTTGAGCCTCCATTCCACGATTTCTTTTCTGATTCTGGTGTTTTCCTGCCATCCCTTCCCCGAATCCTAGGTCTTTAAGCCTCCACCGGAGGGGACTCGGTTGTGTGTTGTGGCCACCAATGTGGCCGAGACGTCGCTTACCATCCCTGGCATCAAGTACGTGGTGGACTGTGGGAAGGTCAAGAAACGCTACTACGACCGCGTCACTGGCGTATCCTCCTTCCGTGTCACCTGGGTCTCCCAGGCATCAGCTGACCAGCGAGCGGGCAGAGCAGGACGGACGGAGCCCGGCCACTGCTACAGGTGGGTCACCCAGGCTCCTCCTCAGGGACGTTGGTGCCGCCTTGCAATAGCCACTGAGGAACAAGGGAAGGATGCTGACCCCCACCTCCATCTGTAGTATGTTCCGTGTCCTGCCGGGCCCCTGTGACTTTGGGGTGCTCCCCAGCCCTTTTGCTGGCTTTCAGATACTCACACTATTTTTTTTTTTTTTTTTTTTTTGAGATGGAGTTTCACTCTTGTCACCCAGGCTGGAATGCAATGGCGTGATCTCGACTCACTGCAACCTCCACCTCCTACGTTGAAGCAATTCTCCTGCCTTAGCCTCCCAAATAGCTGGGATTACTGGTGTGCGCCACCACGCCCAGCTAATTTGTGTATTTTTATTATATGTATTTATTTATTTTAATTTTTGTATTTTTAGTAGAGACGGGGTTTCAGCATGTTGGCCAGACTGGTCTCGAACTCCTGAGTTCAGGTGAGCCACCATGCCTGGCCTACTCGCACTGTTTCTTTTTTTTTTTTTTTTTTTTTTTTTTGAGACGAGTCTCACTCTGTCGCCCAGGCTGGAGTGCCGTGGCGTGATCTTGGCTCACTGGAAGCTCCACCTCCCGGGTTCACGCCATTCTCTTGCCTCAGCCTCCCGAGTAGCTGGGACTACAGGCACCTGCCACCACGCCCGGCTAATTTTTTTTTTTTTTTTTGTATTTTTAGTAGAGATGGGTTTTCACCGTGTTAGCCAGGATGGTCTCGATCTCCTGACCTCGTGATCCACCCGCCTCGGCCTCCCAAAGTGTTGGGATCACAGGCGTGAGCCACCGTGCCCGGCCACTGTTTCTTTATTCTGCTACTGAGGTCAGGGGCAGCTCTTGAGTGCTGTTTGTTAACAGCTTGATCAGGATATAATTCACATACCATAAAGTACATAATTTTAAAGCATACAATCCAGGAGTTTTTAGGACAGTCACAGAGTTGTGCAACCATCACCACAATCAATGTCAGAACTTCCCATCAACCCAAAAAGAAACCCCGTGACCACTGCAGTCACCCCCCTTCTTCCCCGCCCCAGCCTGTGGCAAGCATCAGTCCACTAGTTTTTGTCTATAGGGATGTGCCTGTTGTGGGCAATTCAGATAAATGCAATAAAGTCATACAAGGTGTGGCCCCTCGTGTCTGGCCTCTGCCGCTCAGCACGGTGAGTTTTCAAGGCTCACCCCGGGTGGCAGGTGTCAGCACCCCGTTCCTGGCCGTGGCTGAATGATATCACACCATATGGATGTGCCGAGTTTTGTTTGTCTGTTCATCAGCTGGTGGACGTTTGGTTGTTTTCACCTCTTGGCTATTGTGGATAGTGCTGCTCTGAACACTCAGGTGCAAGGATTTGTCTGGCTCCGGTTTCATTGCTCTTGCAGTGGAACCTAAGAGAACCGCTGGGCCGTATGGTAACTCTGGGTTTAACTTACCGAGGAGCCACCAAACTGTTTTCCACAGCAGCTGCCCCATTTGACATGCCTACCAACAGTGAATGAGGGTTTCAGTTTCTTCACGTCCTCACCAGCACTTTTTAATTTTTTTTTTTTTGAGATGGAGTCTCGCTATGTCACCCAGGCTGGAGTGCAGTGGTGCAATCTCAGCTCACTGCAACCTCTGCCTCCTGGGTTCAAGCAGTTCTCCTGCCTCAGCCTCCCGAGTAGCTGGAATGATAGGCATGCACCACCATGTGCATATAATTTGTTTGTTTGTTTGTTTGTTTTGTTTTTGAGACTGAGTCTCACTGTTGTCGGCCTGGGCTAGAATGCAATGGTTCAATCTCAGCTCACTGCAACCTCCGCTTCCAGGATTCCAGCAATTCTCCTGCCTCAGCCTCCCAAGTAGCTGAGATTACAGGTGCCCACCACCACGCCCAGCTAATTTTTGTATTTTTAGTAGAGATGGGGGTTCACCATGTTGACCGGGCTGGTCTTGAACTCCTGACCTCAGGTGATCCACCTGCCTCAGCCTCCCAAAGTGCTGGGATTGCAGGCATTAGCCACGGCGCCCGGCCAATTCTTAGATTTTTAGTAGAGACGGGGTTTCACCATGTTGGCCAGGCTGGTCTTGAACACCTGCCTCAGCCTCCCAAAGTGCTGGGATTATAGGCATGAACCACCACGCCTGGCCAGCACCAACACTTATTTTTAATATTTTTGTTTTGCTGGGGTTTTTTTTGAGAGACAAAGTCTCACTCTGTTGCTCAGGCTGGAGTTCAGTGGCCCAAGTATAGCTCACTGCAGCCTCCGCCTCCTGGGCTCAAGCAGTCTTCGTGCCTCAGCCTCCCAAGTAGCTGGGAGTAGAGGCACGTGGCACTGTGCCTGGCTTCAGGTGTTTTTTTTGTTTTGTTTTAATGTGTGACTATTTCCTGTCACACACAGCCCTGCCCTGGTCCTGAGAACAGGTGCCCTTACCTCACCCACCCCCACTTTTTTTTTAATATGAAAGCTTCAGTATTTTTGAGCCTAGCTCTCCTAGTGGATGTGAAGTGGTATCATATTGTGGATTCGGTTTATGTTTCCCTAATGACTAATGAAGGCCTCTTTTCATGTACTTATTGGCCCTTTATGCATCTTTCTAGGGAACTGCCTATTCAGATCTTTTGCTCATTTTTTAATTAGGTTATTTGTCCTTTTATTATTGATCTGTAAGAGTTCTTTAGGCCAGGCGCCATGGCTCACGCCTGTAATCCCAGCACTTTGGGAGGATGAGGCGGGCAGATCACAAGGTCAGGAGTTCAAGACCAGCCTGGCCAACATAGTGAAACCCTGTCTCTACTAAAAATACAAAAATTAGCTGGGCATGGTGGCATGCACTTGTAATCCCAGCTACTTGGGAGGCTGAGGCAGGAGAATCACTTGAACCTGGGAGGCAGAGGTTGCAGTGAGCCAAGATCATGCCCCTGCACTCCAGCTTGGGCGACAGAGCGAGACTTCATCTCAAAAACAAAAAAAGTTCTTTATATAATATAATCTGGATATTAGATCCTAATCAAATGTGTCATTGACAAATATTTTCTCCTAATCCGTGTGCTGTAATTGTGTGTGTGTGTGCGTGCACGTGTGTATGTAAGTGTGTGTGCGTGCGTGCACGCGTGTAAGTGTGTGTGCGTGCACGCGTGTATGTGTGTGCGTGCGTGCACGCGTGTATGTGTGTGTGCGTGCGTGTGCGTGCGTGCACACGTGTATGTGTGTGTGTGCGTGCGCGCATGCGCGCGTGTATGTAAGTGTGTGTGCGTGCGTGCACGCGTGTATGTAATAAATAGCTTTATTGCTGTTCCTTTTGTCAGGGCTACATGTTAGTTAAAAAGTAGAAAATTTAGAAAATTTACAAAGAAAACCAGTAAGAAGTAACTGTAGTTAAAGTGTAGAGTGCTATGCACCATCCCCTGTTTTAAGTACTCTACATGGAATAATACCTTTTCTTTTGGTTTTGAGACGGAGTCTCGCTCTGTCGCCCAGGCTGGAGTACAGTGGCACCATCTGGCTCACCCCAACCTTTGCCTCCTGGGTTCAAGTGATTCTCCTGCCTCAGCCTCCCGAGTAGCTGGGACTACAGATGCACGTCACCGTGCCTGGCTAATTTTTGTATTTTTAGTAGAGATGGGGGTTTCCCCATGTTGGCCAGGCTGGTCTTGAACTCCTGACCTCAAGTGATCCACCCACCCCAGCCTTCCAAAGTGCTGAGATTACAGGTGTGTGCCGCCACACCCAGCCAGTGGAATAATAGCTAATTAATTTTCACCAATTCCTTACGAGGCAGCTGCAATTTGAGCTGCATTTCACAGGTGAGGAGAATGAGGCAGGAAGCGGTAAAGCACCGTGCCTGCTGTCAGGTGAAGATCCAGTCCCAGTGGCATGACTGAGTTTTGTTTGTTGTCCCGGTTTCTGTCTGCCCAGGCTGTATTCATCTGTGGTTTTTGGTGTGAGTTTTGTGTTTGTTGTCCCGGTTTCTCTCCATCCAGGCTGTATTCATCTGCGGTTTTTGGTGACTTCGAGCAGTTTCCTCCTCCAGAAATCACCCGGAGGCCTGTTGAAGACTTAATCCTTCAAATGAAGGCGCTCAACGTTGAAAAGGTCAGTTGCTGCCCCCAGCCCCGCTCTCAGCCACCCCAGTGGACCACCTCCCTTTCCCTGAGGCAGGGAGCCCAGAGCTGGGTCTGCTGGTGCCTGGCCTGCGGCAGCTGCTTACACAACAGTGCATCAGCAGGTGCTCCCAGGGCTTCTGGGCTCCTGTGACCGCTGCCTCCCCAGTGCTGCATCGCCCGTGGACACCCAGGGGATGGCTGTCTGGAATAGAGGCAGCAGGGTCCTGCACGCTGTTCATGTACTATCCGTCCGTGGGGCGTGCAGAACGTGCTGCCGGCTCTTCCTGGCTGCAGCCTTCTCCGACCCAGTCCTCCAGTGGAGGGGGGGATCCCTCTAGGGTCACCCTCCCTCCCCCTGCTCCAGGGCAGGCTAAGCCAGGCAGTGCCCCGTGCCACGCTGCGTGCTGTCCTGTGGGCGTTCAGATCCCCATTTAACTGATGAGGAAACGGAGGCAGGGAAGTGAAGGTTTTTGTCCAGGGACACACATCTAGTAAGTGACAGAACCCACATGGTCTCCTAGTGCCTTTTAAACATCTGTGCTCACTGATTTTTCTGGATGTTAATATGTTCAAAATCATAAAAACTTCAGATACTTGAGATCATCAGGGAGAAGGTGAAGCCCGTCCCACTGTCCGCCATTTGTGACCTGTGTCCCAGTTACGTTTCCAAACACATAACATCCTGTACTTTATTCCTGTGGTTTTGTGAATATTGTCTGATATGTTACACGCTGCTTTGGGGGCTTGATTTTTTCACCTAATAAAAATCATGGGTGCTGGCCGGGCCTGGTGGCTCACACCTGTAATCCTAGCACTTTGGGAGGCTGAGACATGTGGATTAGTTGAGGTCAGGAATTTGAGACCAGCCTGGCTAACATGGCAAAACCCCGTCTCTACTAAAAATACAAAAAAAAAAATTAGCCAGGGAGGCTGGGCGTGGTGGCTCACGCCTGTAATCTCAGCACTTTGGAAGGCCGAGGCAGGTGGATCACAAAGTCAGGAGTTCAAGACCAGCTTGGCCAACAAGGTGAAACCCCGTCTCTAGTAAAGATACAAAAAATTAGCTGAGTGTGGTGGCACACGCCTGTAATCCCAGCTACTCAGGAGGCTGAGGCAGGATAATCACTTGAACCCGGGAGGCGGAGGTTGCAATGGGCCGAGATTGTGCCATTGCACTCCAGCCTGGGTGACAGGGCGAGACTCCGTCTCCAAAAAAAAAAAAAAAAAGCCAGGTGTGGTGACAGGTGCCTATAATCCCAGCTACTTGGGAGGCTGAGGCAGGAGAATCACTGGAACCTGGGAGGCAGAGGTTGCAGTGAGCCAAGATCATGCCGTTGCACTCCAGACTGGGAGACAGAGCAAGACTCCGTCCCAAAAAAAAAAAAAAAAAGCTGGGTGCATTGGCTCACAGCACTTTGGGAGGCCGAGGCGGGTGGATCACAACATCAGGAGCTCGAGACCAGCCTGGCCAATATGGTGAAACTCCGTCTCTACTAAAAATATAAAAATTAGCCAGGCGTGATGGTGGGCACCTGTAGTTCCAGCTACTCGGGAGGCTGAGGCAGGAGAATTCTTGAACCCAAGAGGCAGAGGTTGCAGTGAGCCGAGATCACGCCGTTGCACTCTAGCCTGGGCGATATAGCAAGACTCCATCTCACAAAAAAAAAGAAAAAAAAGAATCATGGATGCCAAGTATGTGCTGGGCGTTCAGCACGTGTGACCTCAGGTTATCCTCCCAGCCACTCTAGGAGGGAGTTACTAGTGTTATCACCCCATTTTCCAGATGAGGAGCCTGAGACACTGAGACAGGCCTGACTGTGGGTCACGTGGATAAAAAGTGTCAGGGCTGGGCTGGGAGCTCAGTGTGGCTGGGAGCACTGTCGGGAGTGCCTCCCACAAGTGACATCAAGTCCACTCTGTAGAAACTCCGCAGTGGCTTCCCCTGGCTCTTGAGTCAGCTCCAGAGCAGGCCCCCTCCTGCCTTCCCCCAGACCTGGGTTCCTAGCATTGCCTCCTTACCTGCGTGCCTGCTGCAGGCTCACCACCCCGCCTCTAGCTTTATTGAGATAGAGTTCAGGCACCACACAGTCACCCATTGAAAGTGTGTGGGTCAGTAGTTTCCAGTGTGTTCACAAAGTTGTGCGGACATCACCACCGTGGCCATTTTCATCACCCCAGAAAGGAAGCATGTACCCTTTATCTGTCACCACCTCCCAGCTCCCTGGCCCCTGTGCCCACTCCTCTCCATGGATTTGCCAGTTTGGGACATTTCATGCAGATGGAATCCTACAATGCGTGGCCTTTGTGCCCGGCGTCTTTCCCTGAGTATGATGTTCTCAAGCTCCATCCGTGGTGTAGCGCGTGTCGCTGCTTCACTCCTATTCGCGGCTGAATCATTGTCCATTTTATGGGTGGCCCACGTTTTGTTCATGCACTCCTCCATTCAGAGACGCACAGGTTGCTTCCATCTTTTGGCTATTGTGATAAATTTATTCACGTTATTATTACTATTTTGAGATGGGGTCTCACTCTGTCACCCAGGCTGGAGTACAGTGGTGTGATCTCGGCTCACTGAAACCCCCACCTCCCAGGTTCAAATGATTCTCCTGTCTCAGCCTCCCAAGTAGCTGGGACTACAGGCGAGCGCCACCACACCCGGCTAATTTTTGTATTTTTAGTAGAGATGGGGGTTTCACCATATTGGTCAGGCTGGTCTCGAACTCCTGACCTCAGGTGATCTACCCGCCTCAGCCTCCCAAAGTGCTGGGATTACAGGCGTGAGCCACCGCACCAGGCCAATTTATTCGTATTATGCCTCACTGACTACCTGTGGCCCCTCCTGGTCAAATGACGCTCAGTCCTCATGAGTATAATAGTCTGTTAAAAACCGAAAAAAGCACCCAGCGGGGGCAAAGCACAGCCCTCAGTGCCTAGCCAGTGCTTGGGACGTGTTTTTGAGTGAATGGATGAGGTGAGTGAGTAAAGGAGGCCTTGGGGTTCCATTGGGACCTGGCCTTTGAGAGTGCCCCAGGCCCCTGTGTCCCCACTGGCATGAGCTGAGCCCGGAGAGAGGGGTTGGAGGGAGTGCCTGCCACAGACGGAGCAGGAGCACCGGACTTGTTCTTGGCATTCACCCTGTCCCTGCCACGTCTCCTTGTGTCCCAGGTCATCAACTTCCCCTTCCCGACGCCCCCCTCCGTGGAAGCCCTTCTTGCCGCCGAGGAGCTGTTGATCGCACTGGGTGCCCTGCAACCGCCCCAGAAAGCAGAAAGGTAAGGCCAAGAGATGCAGAGCCCAGTTCCTGCCCCGTTCAGGGCCCTCTCTCCCTTTTGCTGGGCCTGAGCTGCCTCAAGCGTGGGGCCTCCCAGCTGTGGCTCCAGAGCTCCTCTCAGAGCACTGCCACCACCACCTCCATCTCCAGGGTGAAGCAACTGCAGGAGAACCGGCTGAGCTGCCCCATCACTGCGCTGGGCCGGACAATGGCCACATTCCCCGTGGCACCCCGCTACGCTAAGATGCTGGCACTGAGCCGACAACACGGCTGCCTGCCCTATGCCATCACCATCGTGGCCAGCATGACGGTGCGGGAGCTGTTTGAGGAGCTGGACAGGTGCGAGGTTGGCGGCTGGGCACTCAGGGCCAAGCTCAGTTCCGACGGGGGCTCTGGGCTGAGAGTCCCAGCTACTCAGGAGGCTGAGGTAGAAGAATCATTTGAACCCAGGAGGTAGAGGTTGCAGTGAGCTGAGATTGTGCAACTGCACTCTAGCCTGGGCAACAGAGTGAGACCCTTCTCTAAAAAAAGAAAAAGAAAAGTGACACTAAGACTGTGAAAGTATGTTGAAAGTATGTTTAGTGCATTGTGTATTTAACAAAATTTACTTATAGATTATGACTACATGCTAATTCTTAGAATGAACAATTATTTAATAATTTCCTGGCATCCTATTGCGTAGATCTGCCTTTGGCAGCTTAATGATAAAAGGGGTCATTTCTGCAGAGATTTCTGGAAGCAACTTGAGTTTCTCAAGGGCTTGGTAAGTCTTCAGCGTTCACATCATTCCTCCTGAAACCGCCTTTCACGCCATCAGTTTTGACCATCTCTCCCTCAGCTGTGAGCCAGGCTTCTGCTGCCACCATCTCTCGTCCACTGTGAATGGTACAGGCAGGCCCACAATGTCACTTCATCGACTCTGTGAGCCTCTGCATCTTGTGCAAAGCCTGCTGCTTCCCTTAGGGTCAATCTGCCTGTGTTTGGACCATCTTGTCAGATGACAGAGCAGACACTAGTTGGGAAGGCAGTTAGGTGGACACTGGGGAATCTGTTGAGATCTGGATGGTTTTTCTTTGTTTATCCTCCACCACCTCCCCTCCCCGGTCCCACCCACCCTAACCAGGAACTTTGCTTTAGGCCACATCACTGCATGGGCCATTCCATACCGCAGCCACTAACCACACGTGGCCTCAGCCTGTGAAATGTGGCAGTTACGGCAACAAACTGACTTAAAACCTTACTTATTTTTAATAGTTTAAATTTAAACAGCCACATGTGGCTAGTGGCCACTGTATTGGCCAGTGCAGTTCCAGACGTTTCCCTGTGCTCTGCACGGACAGAGTTTTAATTTGAGGAAATGAGATCAGATGGTCCTGTATCTTTTCAGGGTCAGTGCATCTGAACTTCAAAAGCAGCTTTAGCCGGGCATGGTGGCTCACGCCTGTAATCCCAGCACTTGGGAGGCCGAGGCAGGCAGATCACTTGAGAGGTCAGGAATTTGAGACCAGCCTGGCCAACATGGTGAAACCCTGTCTCTACTAAAAATCAAAAAGCGGGCATGGTGATGGACACCTGTAATCCCAGCTATTCGTCAGAATCCCTTGGGGGAGAATAATAGGGTTCTCTGGAGAAACAGAAAGTGGTGTCAGTTTCAGTTGGGGTCTGAAGGCCCAAGAACCAGGAGCATCGAGGGCAGGGAAGACCCAGCTCACGCAGTCAGCAGAGCCCGAAGTCACACCTCCTCTGCCTACTTGGGCCCTCAGTGGATCAGATGTGGCCCACACCCACATTGGGGGAGGGCAGTAGCTTTATGCCAGTCACCAATTCAAAGAAACACCCAGAAATAAGGCTTAATTAGCTATCTGGGCATCCCTTTGCCCAGTCAAGTGGACACATAATTAACCATTACATGTAAGGTCTTGAAAACCAGGTGTCTTGGCCTCTGCCCAGATCTCCTGGTCCCAGCATCTCTAAGACTCCCACGTGATGCTAGTGTCAAGGCTCTGTAGCGTGGTGACTGAGAGCTCAGGTATGGTTCGAATCTCTCTCTGCCATTCTGAGCTGTGTGACCTTAGGCAAGTGACTGTACCACTCTGAGCTTCATTTTCTCCATCTGGAAAATGGGGATGATGATAATGATAATAATTGGATTGTTGGTAGAATTAAATGAGTTAACACAAGCAAAGTGCTTTGAGCCGTGCCTGACACATATGTTAAGTGTTAGTATTATTTTCAGGTTTGGAAGCCACTGGCATCATTCATTTATTCAGTCCACCCTTGGCAGCTATTTAAGCAGTTTGCAGAGTTTTTTATTACCTAAAAATGGTGCAGTGGCCGGGCACGGTGGCTCATGCCTGTAATCCCAGCACTTTGGGAGGCCGAGACGGGCGGATCACGAAGTCAGGAGATCGAGACCATTCTGGCTAACACGGTGAAACTCTGTCTCTACTAAACAAAAAATGCAAAAACTTAGCCGGGCCTGGTGGTGGGCACCTGTAGTCCCAGCTACTCGGGAGGCTGAGTCAGGAGAATGGTGTGAACCCGGAAGGCGGAACTTGCAGTGAACCGAGATCACACCACACCACTGCACTGGGCGACAGAGCGAGACTCTGTCTCAAAAAAAAGAAAAAAAAAAGAACAACAGTGCAGCGGTGGCTGCCAATGGTGAATTTTGAGCTGGACCTTAATACCTTAATTACATTCATCAGTGACCCCACAAGGCCTCTGAGCCTGTCCCGATGAATAAAGGAGTTCCCCCCGCTGAGGCCCTGAGCGCAGCCGAGGCCCCAGCCCAGACAGTATGTATGTGTGTTTGCAGACCAGCGGCCAGTGACGAGGAGCTCACCAGGCTGAAGAGCAAGCGGGCCCGGGTGGCCCAGATGAAGAGGACCTGGGCAGGGCAGGGGGCTTCTCTGAAGCTCGGCGACCTCATGGTGCTGCTGGGTTTGTGCCCTGCCCGTTGGAGGGTGGCGGGAGGGTCACCCAGGTCTGGGATGGGTCAGAGAGAGAGCATGCCCCCTCTTCGTTCCCCAGGCGCCGTGGGAGCCTGTGAGTATGCCAGCTGCACACCCCAGTTTTGCGAAGCCAACGGGCTGCGGTACAAAGCCATGATGGAGATCCGGCGCCTGCGGGGCCAGCTGACCACCGCAGGTACGGCCCCGTGCCGGCACGCCGCTGCACCCGGCGGGCAACCTGACCTGGGCACTTGAAATGTTTAAAAAAGTGATCCATAGAGTCCACGTTTGCAAACTTGCTACGCACCAAAATGTATTTATAACCCTAAATCAATACTTGGGGAGCTTTTCCAGGAACAAGGGAATGTGCACATGAGCAGGGCACTAACAGATTCGAGCTGCCAGCCTGCACCCTCCCCCACCAGGTCGTCGCTCGGTTTCACCTTTTCCCTGGCGATACCCCCTGCCATTTTCCATCACCGCTGTGGCCTGGACCCCTCTTCCCTCCCACATGTCCCCCAGACCCTTCTCATGCAGAAGGATGAGGCCTTGCCCTGGACTCTACCTCAGCTCAGCAGCACAAATACTTCCTGCCACCAACACCCAGGGAAGCTTGAGAGGAAGGAAATGTCCTCCAACATATGGCAAGAGGACGATGCGTAGAGAGGGCAGCGTGGACACTGGGTCTCTTCTGGGCAGGCCACGTTCTTGCACCCAAGGCTAGTGGAGAATTTGCCTTCCATTTAAGCAGATCCCAAGGTTTGATGCCAGAATTGATGGCTCTCTTCCGGCCGATCCTTCTCCCAGCGCCAGGTGCATGGTGGTGGCCCTGTCACCATGCTCTGTGTCCTTCTGGCTGTGGCTTTCCAGAGCAGCCCCATTCCAGGTGCAGCAGCTTAGAATTGCAGTCAGCCTCCAGACAGTGCTGGTTACAGTGGCTTGGTGACATTAGACCTTTATTGTTGCAAGGAAGAGAAGTCACTTGAGTCAGCAGCCCAGGGCGTTTCTCTGCTGCCATCCTCCTGCCATTCGCTGTGCCTTCCATCCTAAGGTCACCTCTTGGGCTGAGGAGGTAGTTGGAGGCTTAGTCACCTCTGCCTTCCAGGCAAGAGAAGGGAAGGATGAGGCCAGGGCACCCGCCGGCTGTCCTGTTCCCGTATTGAACGTTCCCAGGAATTCCAGCCGCAACTTCCTTCTTCACATCATGGACCAGAACTGAGTCTGAGGCCACCTGGGTGTTAGGGGAGGGCTGTCTCCTCGAAGAATGCTCTGCTGCCCAGGCAGGATGTGGGGCTTTGTCCCAAGGGAGAAGGAGGGAATGGGGGGGCGGCTGCAATCCTGCCTGCTGGGGGCTTTGGGTCCTGCTGGTGGCCTCTGGGGAGGGGTTGAGACAAGCAGGTGGCTGAGGCTAGAGCACTGAGCATGGTTGGGACTTTCTAGGAGGTCAGGGCAGAGCTGGCTCCGGGCCTTGCCACCACCGACCTCACTCTTGGTTCTCCCCTCAGTCAATGCCGTGTGCCCCGAGGCTGAGCTCTTCGTGGATCCCAAGATGCAGCCGCCCACCGAGAGCCAGGTGACCTACCTGCGACAGATCGTGACGGCAGGCCTGGGGGACCACTTGGCCCGCAGGGTCCAGAGCGAGGAGATGCTGGAGGACAAGTGGAGGAACGCCTACAAGGTGCGGCCCCCACCGCCTCCCTGCCCGGGTAGCTTGGGGCACCTGGTGAGGGGCAGGCGGGCTGGGCCCTCAGGGTCTGGGGAGGCTTGTTCCCTCTCAGCTGTGGGTCCCCACTGAGGAACAAGTGGGGCTTGCAGTAGAATCACATCTTCCTTGGTTAGTTTCTCCCAACTTTTTTTTTTTAATAACAGTTTAGTGGAGATAAAATTCACACAGCATTTAAACTCTTTTGGGGTTTTTTGTGTTTTCTAGAAACAAGGTCTCGCTCTGTTGCCCAGGATAGAGTGCAGTGGCACAATCATAGCTCACTGCAGCCTCGAATTCCCAGGCACAAATAACCTTCTCGCCACAGCCTCCTGAGTAGTTGGGACTGCAGGGGGCACACCACCACCTCCGACTAATTTTGTTGTTGTTGTTTTCTTTTTTGAGACAGAGCCTCACTCTGTTGCCCAGATTAGAGTATAGTGGTGCGAACTCAGCTCACTGCAACCTCCACCTCCTGGGTTCCAGCAATTTTCCTGCCTCAGCCTCCCAAATAGCTAGGATTACAGGTGTGTGCCACCATGCCCAGCTAATTTTTGTATTTTTAGTAGAGAAGGGGTTTCACCATTTTGGCCAGGCTGGTCTTGAACTCCTGGCCTCAAGTGATCTGCCCACCTCGGCCTCCCAAAACGCTGGGCTTACAAGCAGTGTTACCCAGGCTAGTCTTGAACTCCTGGCCTCTAGGAATCCTTCCACCTTGGCCTCCCAAAGTGTTAGGATGACAAGTGTGACCCACTGCATCTGGCCTGCATTTAAACCCATTTAAAGTGTTCAATTCAGTGGGTTTTAGTATTTTCACAGAGTTTTGCAACCATTATCATAGTTAACTTTAGAACATTTTTATTACCCAACAAAGAAACCCCACATATGTAAGCTGTGAGTCCCCAGTTCCCCGTCACCCCCGTTTTCATGATCCTGCTTTCCATCTGTGGATCTGCCTGTTCTGGACATTTGGCATGAGTGGAATCTTAACATACATGGCTTTTCATGTCTGGCCTCTTGCACTTAGTGTGATGCTTTCAAGCCCCATCCACGCCATGGCAGGTGTCGGTGCTTCCTTTTTTTTTTTTTTTTGAGAAGGAGTTTTGCTCTTATTGCCCAAGCCGGAGTGCAATGGCGTGATCTCAGCTCACTGCAACCTCCACCTCCCGGGTTCAAGCAATTCTCCTGCCTCAGCCTCCCAAGTAGCTGGGATTACAGGTGTGTGCCACCATGCCCAGTTAATTTTTTGTATTTTTAGTAGAAATGGGGTTTCACCAACATGGTGAAACCAGCCAGGCTGGTCTCGAACTCTTGACCTCAGATGATCCACCCTCCTCGGCCTCCCAGAGTGTTGGGATTACAGGCGTGAGCCATTGCACCCGGCACTTCCTTCCTTTTCACGGCTGGATCAGACTCCAGCGTGTGGATGGGCCGCATTTCCCGGCAGATGGAGCACTCTCCCACTTTTGCGGCTGGAGTGGATAATCAGATTCTTCTCCTGGGTTGAAAGTATGCGGAGCCCCTGGGCATGGGTTCTTCCCTGACCACATCACTCTCCATTCTCTGCAGACCCCTCTCCTCGACGACCCTGTCTTCATCCACCCCAGCTCCGTCCTTTTCAAAGAGCTCCCCGAGTTTGTGGTCTACCAGGAAATCGTGGAGACCACTAAGATGTACATGAAAGGTGCCGAGGCCTGCGGACAGCCCCTTGTCCCCCGATGGTGACGCTAATGGGGGTGTGGCTGGGACCCTGGGGCAGAGGCATGGCAGCCCCTCCCACGGAGGGTGCCGCTGTAACCCCAGCTTCCTCCCCCGGCCCCCAGGCGTCTCTAGCGTGGAGGTCCAGTGGATCCCGGCCCTGCTGCCCTCTTACTGCCAGTTTGACAAGCCCCTGGAGGAACCAGCCCCTACATACTGCCCCGAGCGGGGGCGGGTGCTGTGTCACCGGGCCAGCGTGTTCTGTGAGTTGGGGCAGTGTCCTGGGCAACCTGAGCCTCCTGCAGCCGTGGGCTTCTCGGACACACGGTCCTGTCCCCTGCCCCCGGACGTGTGTGTCTCGGGTGGGGCAGGGATGGGACTCGGGAGGGCAGCTGCAGGAGGGTCCCTGTCTCACTGGCTCCCACCTTCTAGATCGCGTGGGCTGGCCGCTCCCCGCCATCGAGGTGGATTTTCCAGAGGGGATTGACCGCTACAAGCACTTTGCCCGGTTCCTGCTGGAAGGGCAGGTAGGTGGCACAGCGGCTCCAGACCCTCATCTCGGGTACCGTGGGCAGCAGCAGCCCGGGCCTCACCCCTTCCTGTGGTCTCTCATCAGGTCTTCCGCAAGCTGGCCTCATACCGGAGCTGTCTGCTGTCCAGCCCCGGCACCATGCTGAAGACGTGGGCCAGGTACTGCCTTCGGTGGGAGCCTCGCAGTGGGCAGGAGGGGTCCGAGGCCTGAATGACCTCCCCGGGGCTGCCAGGACAAAGCACCACACACAGGGAGGCTTAAAACATCAGAAGTCTGTGCTCAGGTCTGAAGGCTCTGCAGAGCCACGGTCTGTGCAGCGGCTCTCGGGGAGGGTCCGTCTTGCCTCTGTCGGCCTCCTGGGCTTGTGGCCACATCACTCCAGTCTCTGCCTCCATCTTCACGTGGCCATCTCTCTGTGTGTCTTTAGTCTCCCTCCCTGTGTTCTCCTTATAAGGACACCAGTCATTGTATTCAGGGCCCACCCTACTCCAGGATGACCTCTCCTTAACTCATGACATTTGCAGTGACCCTCTTTCCATATAAGGTCACACGCTGATGTTCTGGGTGGACATGAATATGGGATAGGGGAGACACTGGGCAGCTCCCACAGAGCCGCCAGGTGTCAGTGGGAGGCATCCTGCCCTCCTGGCCCTGGGGACTTCCTCCCAGCTAAGCAGACCCCTGCCCCATCCCGCCCACCACCTCTGCTTCAGGGCTCACCCTTGCCCTCTGCCTCCTGCTTCTGCTCTCCTCCTGCCTGTGGTCCAGACCCACAGACACCTCCCCCTTCCTGGGGCTGGTGGGGCCTATGGTGCAGGGGCTTGGGGCACTGGAGGCAGGCCTGAAGGTGCAGGCAGGTGCCAGGGACTCGAGATGGGGCGTGGGGCACAGCACCCGCTGCTGGGCTGTCAGGAGCCGTGTCAGTCACTCAGCTCACGTTTTCCAGTGTGGCCCTGTCCCAGGCATGTTCTCGGGGCTGGGATACAGACACGATCTCTGTCCCACAGCAGCGTTGCTCGGCCCCAGAGGGACAGAGCAGGACATGAGTGAGGCCTCGGTGGGCAGGGGGTGGAGTGCGACTGGGCTGGTCGGGGAGAGCCTCACTGGGCAGATTCAAAGGAGCCAGGGCTGCAGCTGGGCACAAATCTGGAGGAAGGTTCTAGATGAGACAAGTTGCATGCACAGAGCAGCCTTGGTGGGCAAGGAATGTGGACCAGAGGCAGCCAGGGTGGATGGGAGGAGGTGGGATCTAGAGCCTTCTGTCCCGGGATGATTAGGGGAAGGGGACCCTTTGCCTTCTCTTTTATTTTATTATTATTATTTATTTTTTAGAAGGCCTGTCTAGAGAATTATGTTTTTTTGCTTTTGAGTTTTGTTTGTTTGCTTGTTTGTTTGAGACAGAGTTTTGTTCTTGTTGCCCAGGCTGGAGTGCAATGGCGTGATCTTGGCTCACTGCAGCCTCTGCCTCCTGGGTTCAAGTGATTCTCCTGCCTCAGCCTCCTGAGTAGCTGGGATTACAGGTGACCGCCACCATGCCCGGCAAATATTTTTGGATTTTTAGTAGAGCTAGGGTTTCACCATGTTAGCCAGGCTGGTCTCGAACTCCTGGCCTCAGGTGATCCACCTGCCTCAGCTTCCCAAAGTGCTGGGATTACAGGCGTGAGCCACCACGCTCAGCCAGTTTGTTTGTTTTTGAGACAAGTTCTTGCCCTGTTGCCCAGGCTGGAGTGCAGTGGTGCAGTCATGGTTCACTGCAGCCTCCAACTCCCAGGCTCAAGGGATCCTCCTACTTCAGCCCCCTGAGTAACTGGGGCTACAGGTGCATGTCACCATGCCCAGCCAGCTCTTCACCCTCCTGGGTGGGGCTGGTGGGGTGGTGATGCCTGCCCTGCTTTCGGGCCCCCAGCAGCAGCCGGTCTGTGCCCTGGCTGCCTGCCACCAACGTGCATTCCTGCCCCACAGGCTGCAGCCCCGTACGGAGAGCCTTCTGCGAGCCCTGGTTGCAGAGAAGGCTGACTGCCATGAAGCCTTGCTGGCTGCTTGGAAGAAAAACCCCAAATGTGAGTTTGACCAGGGCCAGGGGGTGGGAGTAGACAGGATGGGGTCACTGAGGCAGGGGCTTTGTGCTTTGTGCACGGTCAGCCCTGGCTTGGCAGAAGGATCTGGCCCCACGGCTGCTGGCCAGCTTTTTGCCACCTGAGGAGAGTCCCTGGGCCCAGGGTCACCCTGACACTGTCCTCCTTCCCTCCCCTGCAGACCTGCTGGCTGAGTACTGTGAGTGGCTTCCACAGGCCATGCACCCCGATATCGAGAAAGCCTGGCCCCCCACCACTGTCCACTGACCAGAAACCTGGCTGCAGGGCCGAGGACTGGTTTGGGGACTGGAGGGCTGGCAGCAGCCTGTCACCGTGCGACCGTGACCACCTGGCATGGGCTTCGTGGCCTGCTCTCAGGAAGTGGGTCAAGCCCTGGGAACCCTCATCCATGAGAGCTCGATCCCGTATGAAGGGTGCTGCCGCCCGTGCCATCTGGCCCGGGGGTGACTTTTTGAACTGTTTATTATATGGTGGATGATGATTTCATCTCACGTGCTGGACGCTGTTCTGTTCAGTGTGCTCTTTGGACTACATTAGTCCCCTGTGGAGCAGCAGGGCTGGAGATCTCTGCAGTCCCTTCCCCGCCCGCCCTGCCAGAAGGCCGAGGAGGCACGTGGAGGGCCTCCTTCCTGCAATTCTTCCCTCTCCAGAGTCAGGGAGGGCTGCCCAGCCCTGGCCTCACAGCCGTCCCAGATGTTAGGTGAGCCACTGAGCTCTGTGTTGACCTTGAGGGGCCTGGCTGGGGGCCCCCAGGCTCCATGCCTTCTTGGGAGGGTGGCCGCCAACGCCTTTCCTGTGTTATGGCAACAGGGAGTGGGCATCTCATCTGCCTGTGGTCAGCTCTCAGACGGCAGGGAGCGGAGCTGACGTTGGCTGTGCTTGGTCACCGCTGCCATGCCGCAGAGGATGCGCCTAGCTGGGCTGGGGCCACACGACTATTATGTTGGCCTTGAACGGGGACTGCAGAGCCCTCAGTTTGTCTCCCTTGTTCCTCTGTGGCTGAGGTGGGAGGGGGAGGGTGGGGTAGGTCCCCCAGCAAGAAAGAGGGACAGGAGCACCCCAGGCAGGACCAAGGAGTCGGGAGGCCCCTGCCTTCTGTCCTCCATGGTGAGGGCACAGATGTCTCCCCAGAGCCCAGCGCTGGCAGAATGGATTCTGCTCCTGGCTTTGCTTCTGCGGCTTCGGTGGAGACAGTTATGGAATAAAATGTTCCTTGCACCCAGATTGTGTTGTGGAATGCACTTGGGGAAGGACACCCAGGTGGCCAGTGTGCTGTCCCGGGACGTGGCCTGGTGGCCGACCTGCCTTCCCAGCACTGCTGTCTGCTTTAAGGAGGCCTCTCCTCACTGGGTTTACTTACCTCCCTGGCTGCTCTCAAAGCCCAAGCAGCAACCTCTCCCCACCTGCCCCAGAGCCGAGATGGCAGCCCGGCCCTTCTCACTCTATGTTCCTCCCCAGGAGCCCAAGGCAGGGCCATGAGCCAGGGCAGCCTGCAGACACGTTTCGCTTGACCCGCCCGGTGATTGAGGAGGACTTGAACTCCTCACTAACATGTAGAATTGGGCTATTTCCCACTCGAAAGTACTGACCTCCAGCTTTCCTAAAATCCCACCGCACATGGGCTAGCAATTCTGAGATGAAAGCGGAAGCTGTCATTCCCACCAGTGTCTCAGGCGCCAGGGCAGCCTCCTCAGGGACGTCCCTGCCTCCTCATTGCACTCCACAACCACAGCAGAGCATCCACAGTTGTAATTAGGCAATTCTTCTTAAAAAATGTTATGTAATTAGCACACCATAAAATTCCCCATTTTAAGGTATACAGTTGCTTTTAGTGTATCACAGTTGTGCAACCGTTACCATGACCTGATTCCAGAGCATTTTTATAGCTCTAAAAAGATACCCTGTACCCATCAGCAGTCTGCCCCTATTTCTCCCAGTTCCCCAGCTCCAAGCCCCACGAATCCACTTTCTGTCTCTGGATTTGCCCGTTCTGGACATTTATCTCTTTTGCTGCTTTTGTTTGTTTGAGACGGAGTCTCGCTCTGTTACCAGGCTGGACTGCAGTGGCGCAATCTCGGCTCACTGCAACCTCTGCCTCCCAGGTTCAAGCGATTCTTCTGCTTCAGCCTCCCGAGTAGCCGGGACTATAGGCACATGCCACCACACCCAGCTAATTTTTGTATTTTTAGTAGAGACGGGGTTTCACCATGTTGGCCAGGATGGTCTCGAGCTCTTGACCTCGTGATCCACCTGCCTCCGCCTCCCAAAGTGCCGGGATTACAGGTGTGAGCCACCGCGCCTGGTTTGTTGCTTGTTTTTTCAAGAGGATCTTATTCTGTCATTCAGGCTGGAGTGCAGTGGTGCGATCCTAGTTCACTGCAGCCTCCATCTCCTGGGTTCAAGTGATCCTCCTACCTCCCAAATAGCTGGGACTACAGGCACACTCCACCATATTGGGCTAAAATTTTTAGTAGCGACAGCTCTTGCTATGTTGCCCAGGCTGGTCTTGAGCTCCTGAAGTACTTCATTCCTTCCTATGGCTGGATAATACCCCATTGTATGGATAGACCACATTTTTATTTGTTTCCGTCTTTTGGCTATTGTGAATAGAGCTGCTGTGAACATTGATGTACAGGTTTTTGTTTGTGTGGATGTATATTTTCCATTCTCTTGGGTATATACCTAAGAGTAAAAAAAAAAAAAAACCAAGAGCACCATTGCCTGGCCAATGTCATTTAGCTTTTCTTTTTTTTTTTTTTTGAGACAAAGTCTCAAAAAAAAAAAACTTTCATCCAATTTGAATTAATTTCTGCATATATGGTGTGGTCAGGTGGTCAACATTCTTTTGCATGTGGTTCTCAGTCCCATCGCCATTTGTCAAAGAGGCAGTTCTTTCCCCCCGAATGGTCTTGCGACCCTAAAAGACCCTCCCTACTGTCTCTAAAAGAGACATTATCTGTCACCCAGGCTGGAGTGCAGTGGCACAATCATAGTTCACTGCAACCTCGACCACCCAGGATCAAGCAATCCTCCCACCTCAACCTCCTGAGGAGCTGGGACTACAGGCGCACACCATCACACCAAGCTAATTTCAAAATTTGTGGTAGAAAGGGTTTCACTATATTGCCCAGGCTGGTCTTTTTTGGAGATGAAGTCTCAACTCTCACCCAGCTGGAGTGCAGTGGCACTATCTCAGCTCCCGGGTTCAAGTGATTTTCCTGCCTCAGCCTCCTCAGTAGCTGGGGCTACTGGCGCCCACCACCATGCCCAGCTAATTTTTGGTAGAGACAGGGTTTCACCATGTTGCCCAGGGTGGTCTCGAACTCCTGAGCTCAGGCAATACAGCTGCCTCAGCCTTCCAAAGTGCTAGGATTACAGGTGTGAGCCATTGTGTCCAGTCCCTGGATGGTCTTGAACTCCGTGGCTCAAGCAATCCTCCTGCATTGGCCTCCCAAAGTGCGGGAATTGCAGGCGTGAGCCACTGCACCTGGCCTGGCCCGTCCTTTTTATCAGCTGCAGAACATTTCACACTAGGTAGCGCTACCATTGTTTTTAAAATCAGTCCCAGCAATGGGTACTTCCTAACCTTGCTATAATGAGCAAAGATGTGTTGAGCATCTTTATAGACAAGTCATTTCATACCTGGGTGTATATCCACAAGACAAATGCCAAGAAGTGGGATTGCCAGGTCAAGAGACTTGGGGATTCTTCCCTTTGAAAAATGGTTAGGTGGCCGAGCGTGGTGGCTTACACCTGCAATCCCAGCATTTTGGGAGGCCAAGGTGGGTGGATCATTTTAGGGCACAAGTTTGAGGCCAGCCTGACCAACATGGTGAAACCCCATCTCTACTAAAAATACAAAAATTAGCCAGGCGTGGTGGTGGCTGCCTGTAATCCCAGCTACTCAGGAGGCTGAGGCAGATCCAGCCTGGCGACAGAGCGAGATTCCATCTCAAAAAAAAAAAAAGAAAGAAATGGATGAACCCTTCCGCAGGCAAGCACTGCCTTTTTCTTGCTTTCCTGGATGACAAGAGTGAAACTCCATCTCAAAAAAAAGATAAAAGAGAAATGGTTAGGTTGTCCTCTGTGAAAATCGTGTCCCAGATCAGATCACGTCACCAGCCTGCTTTATTTTTTGTTCGTTTTCTTTTTCTTTTTCTTTTTTTTTTTGAGACAGAGTTTCGCTCTTGGTGTCCAAGCAGGAGTGCAATGATGTGATCTCAGCTCACTGCAACCTCCACCTCCCAGGTTTAAGTGATTCTCCTGCCTCAGCCTCTCGAGTATCTAGGATTATAGGTGAGCGCCACCACACCCAGCTAATTTTTTGTATTTTTAGTAGAAACAGGGTTTCACCATGTTAGCCAGGCTTGTCTCGAACTCCTGACCTCAGGTGATATGCCCGCCTGGGCCTCCTAAAGTGCTGGGATTACAGGCGTGAACTACCACGCCCGGCCACTGCCCTGCTTTAAAGCCCTATGAAGAGTCCCCATTACCCAAGGGATCAAGGCCAACTCAAACGTGGCCTCTGAGACTGGACCTGCACGGACACTCCACTCACACCACACCCAAGGGCCAACCTGCTCTCCTTCCACCTTCCCCGAAGCAGCCCTGTTGGCCTCCGCAGGTGCCGTTCCCTCTCCTGTGGTGCTCTGAGCCTAACTCCTGCTCCCTCTGGTTTCTCATCTTCAGAGGCAAGCCCCTCTAGACGCCTCCCTAGGGAGGGTGGCCTGCCTGCCACCCACTCTGGACAGCAAGCCCAGTGACAGCAGATCTTCTGTCTTGCTTACCATCCTGGGTCCCCAAAACATGGTAGGGCAAATGTTAAAAAGTAAATTGCAGTGAATATTTGTAAGAACACTGGAAAAAGCTTCCAAATTAAACAAGGCCAGGCATGGTGGCTCATGCCTATAATCCCAGCACTTTGGGAGGCCAAGCCAGGCAGATCGCTTGAAGCCAGGAGTTCAGGACCAGCCTGGCCAACATGGTGAAACCCCGTCTCTACTAAAAATACAAAAATTAGCCAGTGTGGTGGCAGGCGCCCGTAATCCCAGCTACTTGGGAGGCTGAGGCAGAAGAATCACTTGAACCCGGAAGACAGATGTTGCAGCGAGCCAAGATCGTGCCACTGCACTCCAGCCTGGGCGACAGAGTGAGACCCTGTCTCTCTCAAAAAACAAAGCAAAACAAACAAAAACAAAGTTAAACAAACTTCCCAGAAACTATAAAGGAAAGGGGAGACATTTTACCTTATCGAAATCTTACATTGACATGGTAAATTGTATAAACAAAGTTAGAAGATGAAAGAATAGATGAAAAATACTGCAAAACATGATAAACAGCGTCATACTATTGGATGAGCTATTGCAATTTGGTGAGAAAAACACAACGGGCAAAGGCCATGAAAAAATTAGTTGCTACATCTAGGCCGGGCGTGGTGGTTCATGCATGCCTGTAATCCCAGCACTTTGGGAGGCCGAGGCTGGCAGATCACGAGGTCAGACAAGATCAGGAGTTCGAGACCAGCCTGGCCAACATGGTGAAACCCCGTCTCTACTAAAAATGCAAAAATTAGCCAGGCGTGGTGGCAAGCGCCTGTAATCCCAGCTACTCGGGAGGCTGAGGCAGGAGAATCACTTGAAACCAGAAGGCAGAGGTTGCAGTGAGCCGAGATTGTGCCACTGCACTCCAGCCTGGGCAACAAGAGCTAAACTCTCTCTCAAAAAAACAAACAAACAAAAAAAAACTGCATCTAAGGTCGAGTGCAGTGGCTCACACCTATAATCCCAGCACTTTGGGAGGCCGAGGCAAATAAATCACCTGAGGCCAGGAGTTCGAGACCAACCTGGCCAACATGGCCAAACACCGTCTTGAATGAAAAAATACAAAAATTAGCCAGGCATGGTGGCGCGCACCGGTAATACCAGCTACTCGAGGGCCTGAGGAATGAGAATCATTTGAACCCAGGAAGTGGAGGTTGTGGAGATTTGAGATCAACCACTGCACTCCAGCCTGGATGACAGAGTGAGATTCCCATCTGGAAAAAAAAACACAAAAACCTGCATCTGCATGGCTGGTAGATACCTGAAAACATGCACACCCTAGAAAGTAGGCAGGAAAAAAGCAGAGAAATAATTCAGTTCTACTTCCTACCCAACAGATTGGAAAAATTAATAATCATGGCCATACCCAGTGCTGAGAATATAAGGAAAAGAGCACCTTCATACATTGTTATTGAATATGTAAGTTGCCACAGCCTTTAGAAAAAAATCCAGCAATATTTATTGTTTTTATTTATTTTTTTTTTCTGAGACAGAGTCTTGCTCTGTTGCCCAGGCTGGAGTGTAGTGGTGCAATCTCTGCTCACTGCAACCTCTGCCTCCTGGGTTCAAGTGATTCTCCTGCCTCAGCCTCCTGAGTAGCTGAGACTACAAGTGTGTGCCACCACACCCAGCTAATTTTTTATATTTTTAGTAGAGATGAAGTTTCACCATGTTGGCCAGGCTGGTCTCAAACTCCTGACCTCAGGTGATCTGCCCACCTCGCCCTTCCAAAGGGCTGGGATTACAAGTGTGAGCCACCATGCCTGGCCCAAAATCTAGCAATATTTAAAATAAACCAGGCATGGTGTTTATGCGTGTAATCCCAGCACTTTGGAAGGCTGAGGTGAGAGGATCACTTGAGGCCAGATGTTCGAGACCAGCCTGGACAACATAGCGAGACCCCTGTCTCTACAAAAAAAAAAAAAAGAAAAATATTTGCTGGAGGTGGTGAAGTATACCTGTAGTCTCAGCTTTTGGGGAGGCTGGGAGGTCTCTTGAGCCAAGGATTTCGAGGCTGCAGTGAGCTATGATCGCACCACTGCATTCCAGCCTGGGCGACAGAGAAGTACGTTTGTAAAAGTATCCATGCCCTTTGACCCTGCATTGCTCCCTGTGGACATCTGCCCCATCGAGGTACCGGCGCCAGAAGGCAAGGAAAACGCATGCACCAGATCACTGACTACAAGACTTCAGTGAGAGGAAACAAAATTACCCGAATCCCTAGGAGGAATGGTAATAAAGCGTGCTACCCCTCCGTTAGGAAATACTATGCAACCACGTCCAGCATTTGTCCTGAACTCCATCAGGCTCGCACTTCCTCTGCAGCACCCCTGGAGGAAGTCTCCAGCAGCTTCCTGGGCGGTGGCTGCACCTCCTTCCCGATCTCCCCACGTCCACCCACGCCCAGGGTGTGTTCTCCGCATGGCAGCCAGAGGGAGCCTTTTCAAACCTGAATCTGGTCGCGTTCCCCTGCGTCAGGCCTTCCAGTGTCTTCGAAGATAAAGTTCATCCTCATTCACTAAGCTCCAGGGCATGGCTTTCTTCCTGCCCCTTCAACACTGAGCGCCCTTCCTCCAGCCTCAGGGCCTTGGCACCTGCCGTTTCCTTCGCTGGAAGCACTGTTTCTGCAGAGGTCTCCCCTGGCAGCTAATCTAAAGCAACCCCCACTCCTGCACCCCTGAGTTTCCATCTCATCGCTATTATTGTCTTCATAAAACGTATCGCTACTTGCTTATTGTTAAGTCTCCAGGACTGGACTATAAAGTCCAAAAAGGCTGAGAAAGCTTGCCTGGCCTGTCTTATCCAGGGATACCAGGGGACGTACACTTTACCCGGCACACAGTAGGTGCTCAGTGCATGCACGGAACCTGACATGAGGCCCTCAGGAGTTAATGAATGGTCAGTTGCAGAACCTTTCTAAGGAATCCATGTTTTTCTATCTGCTTGATGAAACAAATAACTGGGAGTATTCGTTTCAAATGGCAGATTCCCGGCCCCGTCACTGACCTACTGAACGCGAATCTCCGGTGGAGGGGCCCAGGGCATTTGTGATTAGGGGCAGGGAAATGTGCTGGCGCAGCCCCTTCCAAGGGAGCTTTCTTCGCAGGCAGGTTGTTGAGGGTTGCCTGGGTCCTCTTCCAAGCTTTTGTAACCACGTGACTGTAATTTGCCCGAAAAAGGCGGAAAAGTCTGGAGATGCCGGGGATTGAACCCGGGGCCTCATACGTGCAAAGCATGCGCTCTACCACTGAGCTACATCCCCTACCCCTTGTGTTGGTCTTTTCTGGGGATGGTGATACAGGAAGTGCCCTTCGCTCTGCTAGTTCAGGTGCCTTAGCTTCGGAACGTGCAGTGCCTCCAGCCACTCAAAGGGGCCTCTACCCGCCTTGGATAAGCCCAGCAGCCAGGGTGCCCGGCGCGGAGCCTGGATGGCCCGGAAAGGTTAGGAACGATAGCGAGAGAATGGTATGGACATAAGAAGGGAGCTGCAGGGAACACAGTACGGCTTGTCCTCGTTAGTATAGTGGTGAGTATCCCCGCCTGTCACGCGGGAGACCGGGGTTCGATTCCCCGACGGGGAGGCCGGGTACTTTCGTATTTTTAAATACAGAGGGGAGACTTTGTTGGCGATGCTTTTCGGTGTTCCAAAATATACAGAGTAGGTATAAGAGGATGTGCACATCGCAGGTGTGCCTGCAACACTGAATTAGGGCCCTTACGAGGGTTCCTTCCCCTCCAAGGAGAGTTCGAGGGAAGAAAAAACAGGGTGCTCGGCAGTGAGCATAATAGGTTCATTTTTATGTCAAAAAATTATAGATATGCACACAAATGTGTGAGTATATTAATGTTTCTGATTGGCATCACGGTAACAACAGCAGCAGGAGCAGCAGCCAACAATATACAGTTCTTAACGTGCGGGGGCGGTATTGGTAAGCGCTTTAGTGTTCACGCATTACATCCTCAAGGATCCTACCAACGAGCCGTTTTCTCCACATCAAACTGATGAAATACAGGCTCAGACAGAGGCTCCGTGGCCCGCCCGCGGTCACATCAGTCACGATCAACTGTAGACATAGGGGGCCTTTGGGGAGAAGGACTCGGGTGGTGGGTGGGAGGAGTGACTTTTTGACTTTCCATTTCTGTACCTTTCTGGACTTTTGGAATTCTATTTTTTTCTCCCTTCTTTTCTTTCCTTTCCTCTCTTATTCGATTTTTATCAAAATGATACGTCTAATTTTTAAAAGTCAGATACAACTGAAGAATATTTATTCCTTATGCATGAGGTCCCTATTGCTGTGTTTTGACTTCATTGGCTGCAGCCAGACCTCACAATTTAAACTAAAACCCGATTAGCTAACAGTTCAAAAATTTTTTAAATAGGTAAAAGCAGTGAGGAACATAGGAAAAAAGGATGTTCCTTACGAAAGGACTTAGAAAAGTAATAATATTCCTAAATAAGGAAGAGTGTAGGCTGCAAGCTGGGACATGCCTGGGCACGTCCAGCACGAATATTTTGACAAAGGTACAAGGACATAGAATGTACTACGTGCCTGTGAGCATGTTTAGCACAGATACCGAAGTCAGAGTGTGCTTATTCTGTTACATTTGCTACCTAAGGCTTAACAGAGAGTTATTACTATAAAATAAGAAATTTGAAGAAAGTTAGTTCTGAGAAAAGATATTAATAACATTTATGATTTAAAGGGGAAGCTTTGAAGAGGAACTTTTGCTTTCTACATTTCCTTCCCTTTTAATTTTTATAATTTTTCCTTTTTAAACTGTTTTAGCATGTTTTGGCTTAATTGTTCTACTTGAGCTTTTAAGAGGAGAAATCTCTTAGAATAAGGTGGAGGAGAGTTAAGATAGGTTTTAGTAGTTTTGGTAAGAACTGTCGTTATTAATTTTGTCATTAGCTTCCAGAGGCATGGTATAACATCCGAGAAGGAGAAGTGTACCTATTACGGTAGTAATAGAAGTGAGAATTGAGGTTATAGTTTCCTTCCGTTGACCAAACCATCGTCCTAGCCAATTTGAAATAGGGTTATTAATTCTAGAATTTCTAGTAAGCTCTTTAGATAAAGCAGTGAGACCTTGTAAGGTTCTGGTTATACTTCTGTTAGGAGTCGTGTTATTTGGGATGAAGGTTGTACACAACATTGGGTTTTAATTATAACACAAACACCACCTTTCTCGGCTAATACTACATTTAAAGCCATTTTATTTTCCTAAGCCATTTTAGTAGTGGATCCTAACTGTTCTGCTATTCCTTTAATAGCATCTTTAAGTATAGTTAATAAATTGTTGTTGATAGTAATAAATATTGTTTATCCAATTTACATTCTTATTAATTGTTATTTGTGGGAGAAGGGATTTGAACCTCACAGCTCTCTGATTTCTAGCTTTGAATTTATCTGATATACCTCGTGGAACGTCAGTTGTATCTAAATAAACATGGGGGTCAAAGGACCTACGAGAGGCTTCTCTTGTTTTACGATGTCATGTTTTTTTGTTTGTTTGTTTTTCTGGTTGATGAAATGCCAGGGTAAAAGGGATAGCTAACTGAACTAGAGCACAAGTACCGCTCCAATTATTTGGCAAAGTGTCCAGTAAAGGTTCTCCAAAATACCACCATACACCCACTCGGGGATGAATAAGGGCTGACTGATGGGTCAGCTCTTGGAAGTGCCTGACCTCACTGCATTCTGTTAAGTTTCTTTCTTTCTTTCTTTCTTTTTTTTTTTCCTCTTTTTGAGAGGGAGTCTAGCACTGTCGCCCAGTCTGGAGTGCAGTGGCGCGATCTCAGCTCACTACAAGCTCCACCTCCCAGGTTCACGCCATTCTCCTGGCTCAGCCTCCCTAGTAGCTGGGACTACAGGCGCCCGCCACCACGCCCGGCTAATTTTTTTGTATTTTTAGTAGAGCCGGGGTTTCACCGTGTTAGCCAGGATGGTCTCGATCTCGTGACCTCGTGATGCGCCTGCCTCGGCCTCCCAAAGTGCTGGGATTACAGGCGTGAGTCACCGCGCCCGGCCGTTTCCTTGACTTTTAAAAGAAAAATTAGGTTGGTGTCCTGGAACATGGACAATGGCTATTTCTTCCGGTAATTGAAGATTATTAAGAACATGAACAACTAGTGTTTCATGAGCAAGTTCCTTACCTTTACTGTTAAATAGTTCTCGCTCAGCCTAAATTTTTCCAAATGTATGAGATACTCTGAAAGCATATTTAGAGTCAGTATAGATAGTTCCTACCTGGTTCTGTAAATATTTTAGGGCCTAAGTGCGAATAACTTGCAAGCTTGAGCAGACCAATTATTTGGTAATCTTCCTGATTTTACTTTTTTTAAGGTCTCTTTATCAATTACAGCATATCCATTATGTTGTGTCCTTTCAATCATTTAGGAGGAGCCAGGGTGGTCTCAAACTCCTGAGCTCAAGCAATCCCCGCGCCTTAGCCTCCCAAAGTGTTACGATTACAGGTGTGAGCCACCTCACCCAGCCTAATATCTTTATTATAGAAATAATTTTTTAAATCACTAAGAAAAATTCAAAAATATCAATAGATCACAATCAACAGGCAATGAATTTACAGAAGAGGAAAAATGATTCATTAATAAAACTTACAGAAAAGCTTGGCTCTTAGAAGTATTTAAATAAATGGAAGTAAAACACAAGTTACTACTTTCAACCCATGATGTTGTGAAAGTTGTCAGAATCAAAATGAAGTCATGGATGTTAAGTAAGTAAATAAATAAATAAATAAACCCTGACAAATAGAACCAGGGAAGGCCATGAAGAGAGGGTTCCCGTGCTTGCAGGCCTGATAAAAGACTCTAGAAAAACCACAACCTTGCACAAACGCCTTCGCGACCTTACACAAAAAAGACTACTGCAAGGACATCCGCCAAGCAGCTGCCTGTCCAGCCTCAGACTACGGTCACCTCTGTTATTGATCTTTGCAGCCAACCATAATTATGTCAGAACAATTATGTAATCCTCCTCCTTTTTTTCCTGTAAAAACATTTGTCTTCCTGCCGGGCGCGGTGTCTCACGCCTGTAATCCCAGCACTATAGGAGGCCGAGGCGGGAGGATCACGAGGTCAGGAGTTCGAGACCAGCCTGGCCAACATGGTGAAGCCCCGTCTCAACTAAACATACAAACATTAGCTGGGCATGGTGGCGGGCGCCTGTAGTCCCAGCTACTAGGGAGGCTGAGGCAGGAGAATTGCTTGAACCCAGGAGGCGGAGGTTACAGTGAGCCAAGATTGCACCACTGCACTACCAGCCTGGGTGACAGGGAGAGACTCCATCTCAAAACAAACAAACAAACAAATGTTGCCTTCTTTCTGCCTCCGCTACCGCCATGGCGCCCATGAAAAAGCTTGTGGTAAAGGAGGGCTAAAAAAAAGGAAGCAGGTTCCAAAGTTCACTCTTGATCGCACCCACCCCGTAGAAGATGGAATCATGGATGCTGCCAACTTTGAGCAGTTTTTCCAAGAAAGGATCAAAATGAACGGAAAAGCTGGGAACTTTGGTGGAGGGGTAGTGACCATCGAAGGGAGCAAGAGCAAGACCAGCGTGACATCCAAGCTGCCCTTTTCCAACAGGTATTTGAAATATCTCACCAAAAAATATCTGAAGAAGAATAATCTACATGATTGGTTGCGCGTAGTTGCTAACAGCAAACAGAGTTACGAATTACGTTACTTCCAAATTAACCAGGACGAAGAGGAGGAAAACGAGGATTAAATTTCATTTATCGGCCGGGCGCGGTGGCTCACGCCTGTAATCCCAGCACTTTGGGAGGCCGAAGCAGGTGGATCACGAGGTCAGAAGTTCGAGATCAGTCTGGCCAACATGGTGAAAACCCTGTCTCTACTAAAGATACAAAAAATTAGCCGGGTGTAGTGGCGTGCGCTTGTAATCCCAGCTACTCGGGAGGCTGAAGCAGGAGAATTGCTTGAACCTGGGAGGCGGATGTTCCACCGAGCCGAGATCACGCCATTGCACTCCAGCTTGGGTAACAAGTTGAGACTCCATCAAAAAAAAAAAAAAGGAAAAAGAAAAGAAAGAAAATGTTTGGAGTGAGATAGAGATGGGGGTTGCACAACAGTGCGAATGCACCAAATGCCACTGAATTGCTCACTGTAAAAGAGTTGGCTTTGGCCAGGGGCAGTGGCTCACACCTGTAATCCCAGCACTTTGGGAGGCCCAGGCGGGCGGATCACCTGAGGTCAGTAGCTCGAAACCAGCCTGACCAACATGGAGAAACCCCCATCTCTACTAAAAATAAAAATACAAAATTAGCCGGGCGTGGTTGTGCATCCCTGTAATCCCAGCTACTTGTGAGGCTGAGGCAGGAGAATCGCTTGAACCCGGAGACAGAGATTGCTGTGAGCCGAGGTCGCGCCATTGCACTCCAGCCTGGACAACAAGAGCGAAACTCCGTCTCAAAAAAACAAAAACAAAACAAAACAAAAAAAAAACAAAAAAAAACACACAAAAATATATAAAAATAAAATAAAATGGTTGGTTTGGGCCGGGTGCAGTGGCTCACGCCTATAATTCCAGCACTTGGTAAGGCTGAAGCAGGGAGATCACTTGAGGTAAAGAGTTCGAGACCAGCCTGGCCTCTACTAAAAAGCTCATCTGTACTAAAAATTAAAAAATTGGCCAGACATGGTGGCGTGTGCCTGTAATCTCAACTATTCGGAAGTCTGAGGCAGGAGAATCGCTTGAACCTGGGAGGCCGAGGCTGCAGTGAGCTGAGACTATGCCACTGCACTCCAGTCTAGGCGACAGAGAGACTCCATCTCAAAAAAAGAAAATAAATAAAATAATTGGTTTTGGCCAGGCGCATTGATTCATGCCTGTAATTGCCGCACTTTGGGAAGCCAAGGCGAGGGGATTGCTTGAGGCCAGGAGTTTGAGATATAGTGAGAACCCGATCTCTAAAGCTAGTTTTATGTTATGTGAGTTTCACCTCAATACAAAACAAACAAACAAAAACATTTACTTTTAAGAATGACCGGCCGGGCGTAGTGGCTCACGCCCGTAATCCCAGCACTTTGGGAGGCGGAGGCAATCAGATCACCTGAGGTCAGGAGTTTGAGACCATCCTGGCCAACATGAAACCCTGTCTCTACTAAAAATACAAATAAAACAATTAGCTAGGTGGAAATTAGATGGGTGGCCTGCAGTCCCAGCTACTTAGGAGGCTGAGGCAGGAGAATCTCTTGAACCTGGGAGGCAGAGGTTGCAGTGAGCCGAGATCACGCCACTGCACTCCAGCCTGGTGACAGAGCGAGACTCCGTCTCAAAAAAAAAAAAAAGACTAAGCCTAAGCCATGTTTGGAGAAGACAAGAATGGAATGGGAAGGATGGAGCTATAAATGGCTTCAGCCTTTTCAGAAACTGCTTCCAGATCCCACACTCGGACTTCATAATCTATATATGGAATTTTGCCTTTAGTGAACAAATCTTAAATACAAAAGGAAAAACCTATGCAGAAACAACCTAAATAGCCACAGATCAGAAGATAGTTAAATGAATTGCTCTATATCAGGTGATGAATAGCACGTGCCAATTTAAACTGATGTGAATTTTTTTTGTTTTGTTTTTTTTGAGACAGAGTCTCGCTCTGTCGCCCAGGCTGGAGTGCAGTGGCATGATCTTGGCTCACTGCAAGCTCCGCCTCCCAGGTTCACGCCATTCTCCTGCCTCAGCCTCCCGAGTAGCTGGGACTACAGGCACCCGCCACCACGTCCAGCTAATTTTTTTGTGTTTTTTAGTAGAGACGGGTTTCACCGTGTTAGCCAGGATGGTCTCGATCTCCTGACCTCGTGATCTGCCCGCCTCGGCCTCCCAAAGTGCTGGGATTACAGGCCTGAGCTGCCGCACCGGGCCAAACTAATGTGAATTCTTTTAAAATGCCTCTAAATGGTGTCGGGCATGGTGGCTCAAGCCTGTAATCCCAGCACCTTGGGAGCCGTAGGCAGCGGGCGGGCGGGAATCACCTGAGGTCAGGTGTTCAAGACCAGCCTGGTCAACGTGATGAAACCCCGTCTCTACTAAAAATACAAAAATTAGCCTGGCGTGCTGACGGGCACCTGTAATCCCAGCTACTCGGGTGGCTGAGGCAGGAGAATTGCTTGAAACCGGAAGGCGGAGGTTGCAGTGAGCGGAGATCGTGCCACTGCACTCTAGCCTGGGCGACAAGAGGGAAACTCCATCTCAAAAATAAAAATAAAGCCTCTAAATGTTTAATTTTTTTCTTAACACATGGAATTGATTACAAACTAATTTGTCTCATGGGGTGAAAAAACATTTATCTTTTTTTTTTTTTTTTTTTTTTTGAGATGGAGTTTCACTCTTGTCGCCCAGCCTGGAGTGCAATGGCGTGATCTCCTGCCTCAGCCTCCCGATAGCTGGGATTACAGGCATGCGCCACCACGCCTGGCTAATTTTGTATTTTTAGTAGAGACGGGGTTTCTCCATATTGGTCAGGCTGATCTCGAACTCTGGACCTCAGTTAATCCACCCCGTCTCAGCCTCCCAAAGTGCTGGGATTACAGGCGTGAGCCACCGCGCCCAGCCCCAAAACAGTTATCTTAAGTTCAGTAATTCCTTCCATTTCATTTCTGATTTCTTATTCTCTTGTGAAACTAAAATTGATGTTGCTGCCTTTTGTTAAAAATAAAGCTGGGTGCGGTGGCTCATGCCTATAATCCCAGCACTTTGGGAGGCTGAGGTGGGCAGATCATGAGGCCAGGAGTTCGAGACCAGCCTGGCCAACATAGTGAAACCCCGTCTGTACTAAAAATACAAAAAATTAGCCGGGCACGATGGCGAGCACCTGTAATCCCAGCTACTCAGGAGGCTGAGGCAAGAGAATCACTTGAACCCAGGAAGTGGAGGTTGCAGTGAGCCAAGATCACGCCATTGCACTCCAGCCCAGCCGACAGTGTGAGACTCCGTCCCAAAAAAAAGATTAAAAATAAAATATATAATCTGATTCCATTTTAATACAATCTATCTGTCAATCTCTCATGCTCTCTGTATATATCCACTGCAGAGAGGCTTAGAATGGTGTTCAATTACTATCCATGAGGGATATTTCTAAGAAGAAGGATATGGATGCTTATTAGTTCACATCTTCATACTTTTCTATGATTCTTGATACTGAGCTTTTTTTTTTTTTTTTTAATGGAGTCTTGCTCTGTCACCAGGCTGGAGCGCAGTGGTGTGATCTCGGCTCACTGCAACCTCCACCTCCCGGATTCAAGTGATTCTCCTGCCTCAGCCTCCCGAGTAGCTGGGACTACAGGCGCGGCCACCACGCCCAGCTAATTTTTTTGTATTTTTAGTAGAGACAGGGTTTCACCATGTTGGCCACGATGGTATCGATCTCCTGACCTCGTGATCCACCCACCTCAGCCTCCCAAAGTGCTAGGACTACCGGCATGTGCCACCACACCTGGCTAATTTTTGTATTAGAGACGGGGTCTCACTATGTTGCCCAGGCTGGTCTTGAACTCCTGGGCTCAAGTGATCCACCCACCTTGGTCTCTCAAAGTGCTGGGATTACAGGTGTGAGCCACCACACCCAGCCTCATATTTTGCTTAAAAAAAAAATCAACTCATGAAAATGAAATATGTGTGCTGGGCATGGTGGCTCACCCCTGTAATCCCAGCACTTTGGGAGGCCGAGGCGGGTCGGTCACTTGAGGTCAGGAGTTTGAGGCCAGCCTGGCCAACATAGTGAAACCCCGTCTCTACTAAAAATACAAAAATTAGCCAGATGTGGTGATGTGCGCCTGTAGTCCCAGCTACTCGGGAGGATGAGGCAGGAGAACCACTTGAATTCCAGAAGGCAGAGGTTTCAGTGAGCCAAGATCCTGCTACTGCACTCCAGCCCAGAAGACAGAGCAAGACTCCATCTCAAAAAATAAAATAAAATAAAATAAAATAAAATAAAAAAATATGTGATTGGTAATTGTAGTGGGATGAATAGTGACCTCTTACAAGATATATCTGCCCAGAACCTCAAAAGGTGACCTTACTTGGAATCCAAGGGTCTTTAAAGAGATAATTAAGGGAGAGAGCTCAAATGAGTTGATCCTGGATTAGGGTGGATCCTAAATCCCATGACATGTGTCCTTATAGGAGACAGCAAAGGAAAAAGCAGGCCATTTGTGGTAGCTGACACCTGTAATCCCAGAACTTTTGGAGGCTGAGGTGGGAGGATGGCTTGAGCCTGGGAGTTGGAGACCAGCCTGGGCAGCAGATTGAGACCCCCATTTCTACAAAAAATGTAACAACAACAACAAACATAAAGAAAGAAAAGGGGAAAGTACACAGAGGCATGGAGAGGAAGGCTATGTGAAAAAGTGGGCAGAGAGTGCAATGATGAAACTACATGACAAAGGACACCAAGGCCACCACTAGAAGCTGGGGGTGGGAGGTGGCATGGGACAGTTTCTTCCCCAGAGCCTCCAGAAGGAACAAGCACTGCTGACCCCTTGATTTTGGACTCTGGTCTTCAGAACTGTGAGAGAATAAATTTCTGTTGTTTTAAGCCACTCAGTTTGTGGTGATCTGTTACTGCAGCATTAGAAGCCATTAAGTGATTAAGTAATTAAGACCTGGCAACTTGTTTATCCAACAAATATTCATTGACAGCCTCCTATATGCAAAGCACTGAGCTGATACATTATCAAGTGAGAAAAATAGGGCATTGGTTGTATGAACTGAATCATTTGAGAAAAAACTATGGGGAACAAAACAAAATGAGTAAGTCATTTTTAAAATATTAGAAATTGCCAGGAGACTCCAGTTTTCCCTTCTCAATTTCTTTAGCAACACACATTTTCGGAACACACACCTTGGTTTGGGATTGCTGCAGACTGAAGAGCCGGATGGACACCAAAGCCCACTCCTTCTCTCACAGGCTCAGAGCTGGATGTGCTGCATTGCTGGCCTAGCTGTCTGGAGCTGGATCTAGCCAGACCTGATACCCATATCAGAAATGAATACACAATGCTGGGCCCCCCCAAAGGCCATTTGCCATGCTCTTGTGGGAGGATCTTTAGAAGGGGCTCTATTCTTGACAGGAAGGGAGTGAAGAATTTCAGAAGAGAGACAATGTGAAATCTTTCCACTCTTTTGGAAAATCCAGCCACAGTGAGTAGGGTGGAAGGTGTATTAGTCTCCTCAGGCTGCCATAACAAAATACCATAGGCTGGCGGGGCTTGAGATACAGAAACGTATTTTCTCACTTTTCTGGAGGCTGGAAGTCTAAGATCTAGGTGCTGGCAGGCTTGGTTTCTTCTGAAGCCTCTCTTCTGGGCTTGCGAATGGCTGCCTCCCTGCCGGGTCCTCACATGGTCGTCCCCCTGCATGTGTGTCTGTGTCCTAATCCTAATCTCCTCCTCTTTCGAGGACAACAGTCACATTGGATTAGGGCTTCCCCTAATGACCTAATTTTAACTTAATCACATCTTTAAAGGCCCTATCTCCAAATACGGTGACATTCTGAGGAACTGGGTGTTAGGGCTTCAACATACAGACTTTGGAGGGATAGAATTCAGCCCATGACACCAGGTTTGAGGACTCTTAAGGGGACTCCGGTTTGCTCCAGGAAGTTCAGGAAATTGGCTGACCCAGTGCATCCATTTGGAAGTGTAGTGGGCATCTCGAAACGTAACATGCCTGTGACTGAAGTCTTGATTTCCTTACTCACTCTGAGGCACCTGCCCTCGGGCAAGAGCATCACCATCCGTCCAGTAGCCCAGACAGCCGCTGGGTGTCATCCTTCACCCCCCTTTCTTTCCCCTTTCCCTATATGAAATCCATCAACAAGTCCTCCCACCCTCCTTCTGAAGCCAGTCTCAAATTCGTCCCTTCATCAACACCTCCAACTGCCTCCTCGCTGGACTTCCTGCTGCCACTCTGGCTGGCCAGTCCATTCTCCACCCAGCAGCCGGGGTGACTTTGCAGATGGAAATCATCTCACTCCCCCATGGCTTTCCAAGATCCAGGGCACCCAGGCTCATCTCCTAGGCCTCCAAAGATGGCGAGATCTGGTCTCCGCCCCACATTCAGACCTTGCCCCCTCCCCTCACTCCTCTTCCCCTCCACCTCTTCCATCATGACTTCTTTCTGTCCCTCTGACAAGCCAACCTGGTTTCAACCTCAGGACCTTTGTACTAGCTGTTCCCTCCGTCTGTGATGCTCTTCCTCCAGGTCTTCCCGTGGCTCTTCAGTCTTCTGGTCTTCTCAGATCTTCCCTTCTCTTGCTGCCCCCACAGTGCAGGTATTTTATTTTTCTTAGCATTTACTATTATGTGGACTTATTTTGTTATTGTATTTGGCTTTTTTTTTTTTTTTTAATAAGATAGGGAGCTCACTATTTTGCCCAGACTGGTCTCGAACTCCTACCCACAAGCGAGTCTGCTTTCACCTGGGCCTCCCAAAGCTCTGGGATTACTAGGTTGAGCCCCCGCACCTGGCCTGTTAATTGTATTTGTTGATGGGTCAGACGATTATTAGGTGCTCGGCGAATGCTTCTTGAATGACTTCAGGTCATGAGGGATTTCCTGATTCTTTCCCGGACAACACCCGCACCGTCCAACCGCCCACTTCCCGAAGCGAAGAGCCCAGTCTGGATGCCAACCTGTTGACGTCTTCCCGCTTGGAAGCTGAGCAGGTGCTCACAAGCATGGAGGCCACACTCGGAGGCCGGATCTGAGTCACTCCCTGCCCGAGGAACGCTGCGTTCCGGCTGACGCGTCCTCCCGTAGGCCCTGGCGAGGTCAACATCCCTGCCACGCCTCGCGCTGCTTGCGGAGCTGCGCCCAGGGGATGACCTTTTTCCTTTGCGCGGAGAAGGGGGCTTGAGAAACCCGAGCTCTGAACCAGGTGGGATTCATTCATTCACGCATGCATTCATTCATGTAGTCAGTCAGTCAATCAGTCAACAAATATTTGTCAAGGCCCCACAATGTGCTAGGCACTGTTCTAGGTACTGAGGGACACAGCGGTGCCCGAGGTAGACAAGGTTCCTGCTCCTCTTGTGTTTGTCATGCTTGCTGGGGAGACGGACAAGGAAAATGATAAAGTTAACAGTAAATAGTAAAGGCTGGGCCATGGCGGGAGATGTGATCAGAGAAGGCTTCTCAGAGGTCGTGGCCTTGACAGACGAACAGGCCACCGCACGCAGTCCCTGCTGAACCTGCATTCCCAGCGTCTGTGTCAAAGACCCGGGGCGGCAAAACGACCAGGAGGATAAAAGAGCATCGCAGTCGTAACGGCTGCCGAAATAGCTCAGTTGGGAGAGCGTTAGACTGAAGATCTAAAGGTCCCTGGTTCGATCCCGGGTTTCGGCACTTCCTCTTTTTCCTTCCCCCCGGGGGAAAAAGGAGGTGCATAGACGAAGCCGATTCCTTCCAATTGATCAAAGGCTTTTACTTTCTATATTTAACAAAGCCCCGAGCAGTGTCCGCGAGGAGCCAGAGGGAAAGGAAACTCCCCCTCCACTCCCCGTTTGGGTAAATCAAATAAGGTCAAGTTTTTCCCGTCTCCACCTCCTCCATGTCTCAAATGCACATTTGTTGATGCCTGTTTGTTCATTTTTGCTTTCTGTTTTTTAACGTCTGCTTTCTGAACTGGAAACGATCGCCTTAAAATGGCATGAAGTCAAGTCGGACCTGTTGTTTTGTGGGAAATACAAGATACTTAATTCTTTGGAAAGTGTTTAGGGAAAGCTACGTTTACCTTAAAACAGTCTCTTGAAGAACCTGTTTTATGGGCGGTCCTCGTTAGTATAGTGGTGAGTATCCCCGCCTGTCACGCGGGAGACCGGGGTTCGATTCCCCGACGGGGAGGCCAAGTACGTTTTTACCATTCTTCCGTATTTTTCCTTACTCTTCCTATGAAGAATAAACCCGGCAGGTAAACGGGACTCTGGTTCTGTGGTTGTCTCTGGCCTCGTTGCGTGCCACACTGTTACAGGAAAGCAAGAAAAAGGCAGTGCTCGCATGTGGAAGTGTTCATCCATTTCGTTCTTTTTTTTTGGAGACCATTTCTTTTTTTTTTTTTTTTTCCTCAGACAGAGTCTCGCTCTGTCTCCCAGGCTGGAGTGCAGTGGCCCGATCTCAGCTCACTGTAACCTCCGCCTTCCGGGTTCAAGCGATTCTCCCGCCTCAGCCTCCCAAGCAGCTGGGACTACAGGCGTCCGCCACCACGCCCGAGTAATTTTTATATTTTTAGTAGAGACGGGGTTTCACCATGTTGCCAGGCTGGTCTCCAACTCCTGACCTTGTGATCTGCCCGCCTCGGCCTCCCAAAGTGCTGGGATTACAGGCGTGAGCCATTGCACCCGGCCTAGAAACCACTTCTTTCTTTCTTTTTTTTAAGTCGGAGTTTTGCTCTGTCACCAGGCTGGAGTGCAGTTGTGTGATCTCAGCTCACTGCAACCTCCACCTCCTGGGTTCAAGCGATTCTCCTTCCTCAGCCTCCCGAGTAGCTGGGATTACAGGCATGCGCCACCAGGCCCAGCTAATTTTTGTATATTTGGTAGAGATGGGGTTTCACCGTTTTGGCCAGGCTGGTCTCGAACTCCTGACCTCGGGTGATCCTCCTGCCTCGGCCTCCCAAAGTGCTGGGATTACAGGCCTGAGCCACCGTGTCTGGCCGTGTTCATCCATTTCTTGCACCCCTCCTGCAAACTGTTTGGTTTATGTAATGGTTTCTCAGAATAAGATTATCAGCTTCCGAGGCCAGGAACTGCTCCTTCTGCTTCCGTCTTAGGATTTGCTCCAGCCCCGAGGGAGGGCCCTTGGAAAATGTTGATAGATTTGAGACGTTTTCTTGTCTTTAGGCAGTTGCAGACTCAGCTTCCTGAATACAGCTATCACCTTTCCCGGGCGCTTATCTTTTGTTAACTTTCCATATTCATTTTACAAATATTTACTGAGTACCTATTATGTGCCAGGCACGGTTCTAGGCAGCAAGACAGAGAAGGTGCTGCCCTGTTGAGATTACCACCTAGTGAAGGACCTGGCATTGAACAAATAGGATAAAATGGGTAAATGCCATGAAGAAAAACCAGGCAAACCAGAGGCATGGGATAGGGAGTGAGTGGGATTCATAGGCCCCTTTAGAGAGGTGCTCAGGGAGGCCTTTCTGCGGTGGTGGCATTTGAACCAGGACCAGGAAAATGAGAAAGAGCCAACCATAAGAAGAGCTGGAGGCCGGGCACGGTGGCCCACGCCTGCAATCCCAGCACTTTGAGAGGCAGAGGCGGGTGGATCACCTGAGGTCGGAAGTTTGAGACCAGCCTGACCAACATGGAGAAACCCCGTCTCTACTAAAAAATACAAAATTAGCTGGATGTGATGGCACATGCCTGTAATCCCAGCTACTTAGGAGGCTGAGGCAGGAGAATCGCTTGAACCCAGGAGGCAGAGGTTGCAGTGAGCCGAGATCACGCCATTGCACTCCAGCCTGGGCAACAAGAGCAAAACTCCGTCTCAAAAAAAAAAAAAAAAAAAAAAGAACTGGGAACAGCATTCTAGGCAGAGGGAACAGCAAGTGCAAAGGCCCTGAACTGGGAAGAAACAGTGAGGAAGCTGGTGTGGCAGAAGCACCCATGGAAGAGGATAGGGAGGACGGAGGAGTGGGGCAGAAGGAGGTGAAGTCAGAGCGGTCCTCAGAGGCCGGATTACATCGTACCTTGAAGGGATATGGAGGGCAGGAGGTATGGGTTTGATTCTGAGAGTTTCATGCAGAGAGAAACATTCAGGTTTGTTTGAGCAGTGCCCTCTGGCAGCCAGGTGGGTGGGCACAAGAGGAAGCAGGGGCACTTGCGGACTGAGAACAACCCGTGGGCTTGCTCCTCAACCACATCCAAAATGATGCCACCTATGGCGCCATCCTGCTCTTCTGCTGCCAGGGTCTCTCTCCCGTGGCTCCCACTTAGGCTGGGGAAATGAGGTCAGAGGATGGTTTACACGGTGGTCCCTATTCCTCACCTCCCCACTGCCCTCCTGCTCTCCCCCATCTCTCCAAAACGGGTCAGCAAAGCATCACGCCGGGCTGAATAGAAGAGGCAACTGCCCTCCAGCAGAGTCCTATGATAATAACATTTATAAAAGCCAGACCCACATTTCACAGTTCCTGCCTTCTATTTATTTATTTATTTATTTATTTATTTGAGACGGAGTTTTGCTCTTGTTGCCTAGGCTGGAGTGCAGTGGTGCAATCTCGGCTAACTGCAACCTCCGCCTCCTGGGTTCAAGCGATTCTCCTGCCTCAGTCTCCTGAGTAGCTGGGATTACAGACCCGTGCCACCATGACCAGCTAATTTTTTGTATTTTTAATAGAGACGGGGTTTCCTCATGTTGGCCAGGCTGGTCTCGAACCCCTGACTTCAGGTGATCCACCCATCTCGGCCTTCCAAAGTGCAGGGATTACAGTTGCGAGCCAGTGCACCTGGCCTTATTTATTTATTTAATTTTGAGAGAGGGTCTTGCTCTTTCGCCCAGGCTGGAGTGCAGTGGTACAATCTCAGCTCACTGCAGTCTTGACCTCCCAGACTCACGAGATCCTCCTGCCTCAGCCTCCTGAGTGGGGGTGGGGTGGGGTGTCTCACTGTGTTTCCCAGGCAGGTCTTGAACGCCTGGGCTCAAGCAGTCCTCCCACCTCGGCCTCCTAAAGCACTGGGATTATGGACCTGAGCCACTGCACCCAGCCCAGAGCCTGTGCTTTCTACCAGACACTATTATACATATTTTATGTGTAACTCATTAAATTGTCACAATAACCAGATGAGGTAGGTACATTGAAATCTCTTTCACAGATGAGGCCCAGAGGTTAGGTGATGCAATCACAGCTGCTGTGTCCAGCACTTCTTGCCCCCAGGCTACTAACTTTTCTGACAATTTTGCATGGTCTTTGGCTAGGAAGAGTTTCAAGTGCCAGCAGCTGTCAGGGAACTATGGAGAACGAGGCGGCAGGACATTTTTGATGCAAGCTTTCCTTATCACAATAAGTGTCTATTTCCAGCCAAGAAATCTCAAGGCTGATGGAAAGAGGTATAGCCTTCAGTTTTCCGCCCTCTCCTAGCTTCTCACCCATTCTTTCCCCAAGGAACAGCTTTTTGATGACCTGAAGGACACCAGACATTGTGACTTCTCTCCCCTGGTGTGCTTAAGAAACCCTCTGGAAGAGAGATGCAAATTCACAGTTTAAGAATGGCTCTTAGGGCCGGGCACGGTGACTCACGCCTGTAATCCCAGCACTTTGGGAGGCTGGGGCGGGCGGGAGGGGGGCAGGGGGCGGATAACGAGGTCAGGAGTTTGAGACTAGCTTGACCAACATGGTGAAACCCCGTCTCTACTAAAAATACAAAAATTAGCTGGGCGTAGTGGTGCACGCCTGTAATCCCAGCTACTCAGGAGCCTGAGGCAGGAGAATCGTTTGAACCCGGGACGCGGTGGCTGCAGTGAGCCAAGATCCTGCCACTGCACTCTAGCCTGGGCGACAAAGCGAGACTCGGTCTCAAAAAAACAAACAAACAAACAAACAAAAAGAATGGCTCTTTTCGGTGGGCAATTGTAAAGAGACTCCTTCCTCCAAGCTGAAGCCCTCATTCTGGGAAGTGGATATGTTTCTTTTCAGTTTGCTGATATTTATATTCAGACGGATTTTTTTTTTTTTTTTTTTTTTTTAGATGTGGTCTCCCTCTGTCTCCCAGGCTGGCGTGCTGTGGGATGATCTTGGCTTACTGCAACCACTGCCTCCTGGGCTCCAAAAATCCTCTCGCCTTAGCCTCCCGAGTAGCTGGGACTACAAGCGCTCGCCACCACATCCGGCTAATTTTTTGTATTTTTGGTAGAGACGGGGTTCACGCCATGTTGGCCAGGCTGGTCTCAAACTCTTGGCCTCAAGTGATCCGCCGACCTCTACCTCTCAAAGTGCTGGGATTACAGGCATGAGCCATGGCGCACGGCCATAATAGTTCTTTTGGGAGGAAAAAATGTCTTCCAGCTGATATGCAAACCTCAAAGTCACTGAAGGTTGGTATGGTTTTAAAGGATGAGAAATCAGAGGTTTCTGGGTGAAGGTACAATCAAGCCAATGCCCTTATTTGTTGGAAAGAAACTCGATTTTCCTTCTCTTCTCTTCTGTCTGTGAAGAGGAACATTTAAGAATGGGTCAGTTTACATTTGTTCCTTGGTTCTGGTATCCGCTAGAATTTTAGTTGCAAGGTTATGAAGAGCTAACCTACTTGGGAAACATAAAACAATTTTTTGTTGTTGTGGTGGTTTTGCTAAACTCTAACACTCACTTAAACACACAAAAGTTTAATTTAGAAAATATCCTTGGCTGGGCGCAGTGGCTCACGCCTGTAATCCCAGCACTTTGGGAGGCCAAGGGGTGCAGATCACCTGAGGTCAGGAGTTCGAGACCAGCCTGGCCAACATGCTGAACCCCCCCCCATCTCTACTAAAAATACAGAAATTAGCAGGCGTGGTGGTGCACGCCTGTAGTCCCAGCTACTCGGGAGGCTGAGGCAGGAGAATCGCTTGAACCCAGGAGGCGGAGGTTGCAGTGAGCCCAGATCATGCCACTGCACTCCAGCCTGGGCGACAGAGCAAAACTCTGTCTCAAAACAAACCAACCAACCAAAAACTAAAAGCCTCTCGCACTCCCGTGTGTATTGCAGCTTTATTCATAAGTGCCTAGATGTGTCCGTCAACAGATACATGGATAGAGAAAATGTGTACATACGCAATAGAATACTATTCGACCTTAAAAAAATACAAAACAAAATGAAATCCTGTCATTTTTCCTCTACGAAACAAAAATAAAAACATGGCTAAGTTTGGGCGACATTACATAAAGTGAAATAAACCGGGCACAGAAAGATAAATACTGCATGATCTCACTCACGTGCGGAAGCTGAAATAGTTGGTCTCACAGAGAGAATAGTGGTTACTGCAGGTAGTGAAGGTGGGGGGAGGTGGGATAGCCAAAGGGGGGTTACTGGATACAAAAGTACAGCTGAATAGGAGGAATAAGTTCCAGTGTCCCTATAGAGTGAATACAACAACTTATTGTACGTTTTCAAATAGCTGGAAGCGTGGATTTTTAATGTCTCCCAGCACAGAGAAATGATACATGTTTGAAGGGATGGATGTGGTCATTGCCCTGATTTGAACATTACAAATTGTGTACATAGATCACAACATCACACCACACCTCATAAATGTGCACAATTGTTATGCGTCCAAACAATAATAAAAACCAAAAATAAAAATGAAACACGTGGAAACAGGAAAAACGCCTTTAAGAATAGAGTATAGCAAGGACTTCCAAAAGCAAGTACAGGAAAGGGAGGGGGATGTAGCTCAGTGGTAGAGCGCATGCTTTGCATGTATGAGGCCCCGGGTTCGATCCCCGGCATCTCCATTGTAGTTTTGTTGCTTTCTGTATTCGTTTTGGTCCGTGGTTCTTTATCATTAAAGTGCCATGGATGTGATTATCATAAGCATTGTGATTCCAGGCACTACTTGGAGCTCAGATTCTCACACCAGGTGTGATCTTCCCATTCTGAAATCTCTAATGTTTCAAATGCACATGAGTTAGAAGAGGCTGATGGGAGTAATCAGCAGAAAAGTGTTAAGGCAAAACCTGACTTGATGACTGAAACCACAGCAAAAGTGAGCAGGATGATCATTTGGGGAGTGTACACCACATCTCGTGCCACCATGATTGTACTGCACTGGCCTCGAGGGCTGTTGACGCATTCTTGGCCATCAGAGGGCAAGTGTGTAAGTTGCTGGAAGGTCTGGGCCCCCCTGTTTGCCATCTCACTCCTCCTCTGCACTGCCACGAACCACCTCATTTGCATGGGAGGAACCCAGAAGCAAACTCACATCCCAGCGGGGCTTTGCTCTCTGCTTCCTCAGCAACACGTCTCCACGGCTGTAATGCAAGTGCAATTTACATTTATATTCATACACTGTGTTCCGGGGTGAGCAGGCCTATGCAAACCTACCCCAAAGGCCAAGGGAGCTGAGAGGCCAAAGAAAGGGGTTGACAAACCCAGTTTCTCAGGAAAAAACATTTATTAGGGACTTACCAACAGAAGCCATAGTCTCAGGGTGGTCATCAGAGGATATAAGGTTTGCTGCGCCATAACCCCCGGCCCAGGGCTTCCATACCATAGGGAAGGAATATATGTAGGACAATTGAAGTTGACCCCTCAAGCAAGGCAAGAATGTTATGTGAATCCGCATAAGGGAAGGATTTATGATCTAGGTTGTTCTGATCTAAGGGCAGAATTTATGGTAACAGTAAAGTAGAAATCTTAGAGACCTTCCTGGAAGAGGCATTAATCGGAAGTTATCTTGGTGGATTAGCAACCAAGATGGAGTTGCTTTCACCTCCACTGTGTTTCTGTGTTTTATCACTGAAAGCAAAAGATGGTGGCTCAGGCCTGTAATCCCAGCACTTTGGGAGGCATGAGGCAGGAGAATTGCTTGAGGCCAGGAGTTTGAAAGCAGCCTGGGCAACAAAGGGAGACCTTGGCTCGGAAAGGAAAGGAAAGGAAAGGAAGGGGAAGGGGAGGGAAAGGGGAAGGGGAGGGGAGGGGAGATTGATTTACTTGCATGAATGATCTTTAGGCAAAAATAAATACATAAAAATAAATTATATTTTTTAAAGTTTAACCAGTTCCCAGCTCTCTAAATAATAATAAGAATGAAAGAAGGGATTCGGCTGCATTCTGTGGTACAGTTCTTTGCAATTATAATGAATTCCTCACCTGTCAGCCCCTTTCTTTCATTTGACTTGACTTCATGTTTTAAATGGTAAAAGCGTCTAATCCTAGATCTAGAGCTTTCATTTTTGAGATGAAGAAAATGAAACTTGCGAACTGACTCACCAGTTAGGTGGTGACGCATTGGTGACAGCTTGTTTCTAATGAGCTTCAGGAAAGGTTATTTCTCCCTAAATGTCAACAAGGTTTTAGGGGAAAATCATTGAAGATAATTTCTGAAGTCATCAGGCCTAACACAAAACTTACATGCTTCTGTAACTGCCCAACAGTTTCTCCTTGCCCGCTGCCTAGACAGAGCCCATTTATTAGGACAGGGAAACTGTGATCCGCCCACCTCAGCCTCCCGAAGTGCTGGGATTACAGGCGCAAGCCACCTCGCCCTGCCATAATAGAGAACGTTTAATTCACACACAGCTGGCAGTGTGGGAGACGGGAGTTTTACTATTACTCAAATCAGTCTCCCTGAAAACTCAGGGATTGGAGTTTTGAAGGATAATTTGGTGTGTAGGGAGGTCGGGAAATCGGGAGTACTGATTGGTTGGGTCGGAGATGAAATCACAGGGAGTCGAAGCTGTCCCTTTGCCCTGAGTCAGTTCCTAGGTGGGGGCCACAAGACCAGATGAGCCAGTTTATCAATCTGGGTGGTGTCAGTCGGCCCACTGAGTGCAGAGTATGCAAAATATCTCAAGCACTGGTCTTAGGTTTTACAATAGTGATGTTATCCTCAGGAGCAATTTCAGCATGGACAGAATCTTGCAGTCTCCAGCTGCGTGACTCCTAAACCATAATTTGTAATCTTGTGGCCAATTTGTTAGTCCTGCAAAGCAGTCTAGTGCGCAGGCAGGAAGGGGGCTTGTTTTAGGAAAAGGCTATCACCTTTGTTTCAGAATTAAACTATAAACTAAGCTCCTCCAAAGTCAGTTCAGCCTACACCTAGGAATGAACAAAGACAGTTTGGAGGTTAGACGCGAGATGGAGTCAGTGAGGTCAGATCTCTTTCACTGTAATAATTTTCTGTTATGACTTTTGCAAAGGCAGTTTCACTTCTGTTTTACTTTGTTTCTTCTTTTGTTTATTTATTTATTTATTTTGCTTGAGACAGGGTCTGTTTCTGTTGCCCAGGCTGGAGTGCTGTGGTGCAATCACAGCTCACTGCAGCCTCAAACTCCTGGGCTCAAGTGATCCTCCCACCTCATCCTCCTGAGCAGCTGGAACTACAGGCATGCACCACCGCCTGGCTAATTTTTGTTTGTTTGTTTTGGTAGAGACAGGGTTTCACCATGTAGCTCAGCTGGTGTTTAACTCCTGGGCTGAAGTGACCCTCTCACGTTGGCCTCCCAAAAATGCTGGGATTACACGTGTAGGCCACCATGCCTGGCTATTTTTTTCAATATTTTTTATTTTTATTTTTTATTTCTTACTATGACCCCACACTTATATGACATTACTTTGTACCTTATAATTAAATATTTCAGCCAGGCACATTAGCTCATGTCTGTATTCCCAGCCCTGTGGGAGGCCAGGGCAGAAGGATCACTTGAGCCCAGGAGTTCAAGACCAGCCTGGGCAACATGGTGAAACCCCCATCTCTTATTTTATTTTTTGGAGACAGAGTCTCACTGTCACCCAGGCTGGAGTGCAGTGGCACGATCTCGACTCACTGCAACCTCTGACTTCAGGGCTCAAGTGATTCTCCTGCCTCAGCCTCTGGAGTAGCTGGGATTACAGGCGTGAGCTACCACACCTGATAATTTTTGTATTTTTAGTAGAGATGGAGTTTCAGCATGTTGGACAGGTTGGTCTCGAACACCTGACCTCAGGTGATCCACCGGCCTCAGCCTCCCAAAGTGCGAAACCCTCCTCTCTACAAAAAATGCAAAAATTAGGTGTGGTGGCGCATACCTGTAGTCCTACCTACACAGAAGGCTGAGGTGGGAGGATCACCTGATCCGGAACATCCAGGCTGCAGAGTGAGCCGTGATCATACCACTGCATGACAGAGCGAGATACTGTTTCAAAAAACAAAGAAACAAAGCCAAATATTTCTACTAGTGCATGACAAGGAAAAAAAATACCGCAGGGAGTTGTTATTGTTAAAGGTTGGTGTCAGGAATTGGAGCTTCCTAGAAATACTCTTTGAAAAAAGTGCTTTTTCAACTATTAAATTTTATTTTACCCTTAAACAAAGCTTATTATATGAGGTCACATGAGTTGTCAAATTCATAGAGACAGAAAGTAGAATGGTGGATGCCAGGGGCTGGTGGGAGGGAGAAATGGGGAATCAGTTTTTCATGGGGACAGAGTTTGTTTTGCAAGACGAAAAGAGCTCCAGAAATGGCTTGGTGGTGATGGCTGATGCACAATACTGAATGTACTTCATGCTACAGAAATGTACACTTAAGAATGGTAAATTTTATGTGTATTTTACCACAATTTTAAGACAAAACCAAACGACGACACAAACAAAGCCCAAATAGGTTAAATAACTTCCTAATGTTCCTAAAGTAGGCAAATTTGGAGACTAGCTAAGTCCGGTTTTGACCGCTGAGATGAATGGGTTATTTTTAAGCTGGAGCGGTTTGTGTTCCACCACACAGTTATACAGCACAAGCAGAAACAGGAAGAAGAACACATTCCCCAGGTTTTTTTTTTTTACTTCCTGTTTGCCAGGCCTCTAACCTGCAGGCGTCCTTGACAACCTTTTATGGTTATATAAGCGATGACAAAGCAAGGCAAACCCTTCCCACCACCTCTCTGATTCCACCCTTTTTCTTGGGGGAAGCAAGTTTGTTGACCCTCACTCATGCTCTCAGACAGTTTCATGGGGCTGGATTAAGTCACATACAAGGTGGTGAATTTCAGAAGGGGGAACTGAATCCTTAGGGGGAGGGGAAAAACGAAGGCGGAGGAGCAGGCGCTGATCCAACCCCGCCCTCCCCAGCTGCAGCCCAGCACCCCGGCCCTTTGTGAGCTCAGCTCATCACACGCTCCCTTCCGCCTGCCAATCCCGCCCTGTTGCTGGGCCTCTGTCCCTTCTCCATTGGTGCCAGCTCTGAAGCAATCTTTTCTGGGGCGCCTGCAAAGGACGGATCTGTGGGTGGAACGAACTGAAAACGGATCCAGTGACTCATCCCGATTCTTGCACATTCTAGCACATCGCATTCTAGGTCAGCAGGGTTTAGGTTTTAAGAGCGTGACTTGATACCTGACTCCTGAGTCCAAGTGGGACATTTAGACTTTGGGAACCCTTTCGGAAAACAGAAAAGCAGTTGTTGCAACAACAAAAATCCTTTGTAGGACAGGGTTTCTTAATTTCAGCACTATTAATATGTTGGGTCTGATAATTCTTTGTTGTGGGGGACTGTCCCTCATAGAATGTTCAGTGGCATCCCTGGTGTCTACCAACAGTGCTAGTATTAGTAGTAGCATCCCCTAACCTCCCCTGAGTTGTGACAACCAAGAATATCTCCAGATATTGCCAAATGTCCCCTGAAAGAGCAAATCACTCCTTGTTGAGAACCATTGTTGTAGAGAAACATCAGACACCTGCGTTTTGGGAGGCCATTTTCTTCCCTGTCACCTCAGTGACTTTGGAGAAAGGTTTATTTCTGTTTGCTTCAATAACCATTTAAGTCAGGGAATGCTGGGATGTTTTCAATAATTTTTTTCTGCTAGAGACAACATTGGTTTCTCTTTGCAGCTAACCTTTGGCCCATTACCCACCCTACCCTCATCCCCTCTTCTTCCTTTTTCCTCCTCCTGTCCTCCTCTCCCGCCCCTGCCTCTGCAGTTAGGGCTGTTTTTTCTCTGTACCTTTTGGACTCTGAAAAAAGCTATGTCACAAAGCTGGTGACTCAGCCTTTAAACAACATGAATCACAAGGCTTGCAGCAGAGTAACAGCCAAAAGCAACCAGGGCGTGGTTGAAAGCCAGGCCTGGTCACCTCAGAAAGAATCTCAGCTTTTTAATCCCTTCAAAACTCCTTCCCGAAATGTAGGGGAAAAACAAAAAACAAAAACTTTGCAGAAATGTGTATTGGAAATCACTGGGGTATCCTGCCAATCCTGGAAAATGACACTTTTATTATTCGTTTTAATTTCCCAGTAACACATGAATTCATTCTCTTTAAAATGTTAAAAATTGGAGATGTCAAAGTCTGTTTTGAACAATGCACAGATCTTGGATTTTCATAAATACACAGAAACATGGGTTACCATAGAAAATATATAGCAGGTTCATTTTGCTTTGATGCATATTTTAAGTCTGCCGTTTAAATAATGTAATGTTCATAACTTAAAACAAGAATGCAGCCTTTTCCTAATGGCAAAATATTTTTCAGTTGGTAGCCTCTTTTTCTCTTTTTTTTGAAGCTTTTAAGGGTAGAAATCAAAATAGCCTCCCTACCTCCAATACATTTGTAGAAACAGGGACTATTTGTAGAAGAGTCCAGAAGGAACAGTGGCTGGGAAATTGAGGGCATGAGGGAGACTTTTCACTGTACACTTTAAAAAGACACATTTAAAAAATCTCACCATGTTCGTATATTTTAAAACATTTAAAAAATATACTGAAGAAATGACACGTAGGGATCACAAAATAGGTTGTGGTAAAAATTTAAAAAGCTGGCTGGTGATGCTTTTCTCCCCACTTCTTTTACCAAAATAGAATTGCCCTGTAGAATTACATTTCATATTTGACACCCTACCCTGCACTGAAATAAGGTTGGGATTCTATTCCTGTCTTTTAAAATCTCCGGTTTAAATGGGTCCGATTATTGAATGGATCCTGCTTACAATAATCGTACCCATTGAAACCAGAGAAATTTCCATGCCTCCCTGTTGGCATCAAGTAGGACCTTTCCATACCTGGCCCTCAGAATGTACAGGAAGGTGGAAGAACAGTCTAGAAGGATGTCGTTCGCTCAGCCTTGCGTTCCAGCTAAAATAAAACTGTGTGGGGTTTCCGCCTCTTTTTTCCAAATTTAACCTGGACACCCAGCTCCTCTGCAGTGTCTCCCCTGGAAAGTTCTCGAGCGTTCCCCAGCTTTAGGGCCACGCCCGCCCTGAGATCTGCCGAGTCATTGTCCTTGTCCCGCGGCCCCGGGAGCCCCCCGCGACCGGCCTGGGAGGCTCAGGGAGGTTGAAGGGGGCTGAGCAAAGGAAGCCCCGTCATTACCTCAAATGTGACCCAAAAATAAAGACCCGTCCATCTCGCAGGGTGGGCCAGGGCGGGTCAGGAGGGAGGGGAGGGAGACCCCGACTCTGCAGAAGGCGCTCGCTGCGTGCCCCACGTCCGCCGAACGCGGGGTTCGCGACCCGAGGGGACCGCGGGGGCTGAGGGGAGGGGCCGCGGAGCCGCGGCTAAGGAACGCGGGCCGCCCACCCGCTCCCGGTGCAGCGGCCTCCGCGCCGGGTTTTGGCGCCTCCCGCGGGCGCCCCCCTCCTCACGGCGAGCGCTGCCACGTCAGACGAAGGGCGCAGCGAGCGTCCTGATCCTTCCGCCCGGACGCTCAGGACAGCGGCCCGCTGCTCATAAGACTCGGCCTTAGAACCCCAGTATCAGCAGAAGGACATTTTAGGACGGGACTTGGGTGACTCTAGGGCACTGGTTTTCTTTCCAGAGAGCGGAACAGGCGAGGAAAAGTAGTCCCTTCTCGGCGATTCTGCGGAGGGATCTCCGTGGGGCGGTGAACGCCGATGATTATATAAGGACGCGCCGGGTGTGGCACAGCTAGTTCCGTCGCAGCCGGGATTTGGGTCGCAGTTCTTGTTTGTGGATCGCTGTGATCGTCACTTGGTGAGTAGCGGGCTGCTGGGCTGGCCGGGGCTTTCGTGGCCGCCGGGCCGCTCGGTGGGACGGAGGCGTGTGGAGAGACCGCCAAGGGCTGTAGTCTGGGTCCGCGAGCAAGGTTGCCCTGAACTGGGGGTTGGGGGGAGCGCAGCAAAATGGCGGCTGTTCCCGAGTCTTGAATGGAAGACGCTTGTGAGGCGGGCTGTGAGGTCGTTGAAACAAGGTGGGGGGCATGGTGGGCGGCAAGAACCCAAGGTCTTGAGGCCTTCGCTAATGCGGGAAAGCTCTTATTCGGGTGAGATGGGCTGGGGCACCATCTGGGGACCCTGACGTGAAGTTTGTCACTGACTGGAGAACTCGGTTTGTCGTCTGTTGCGGGGGCGGCAGTTATGGCGGTGCCGTTGGGCAGTGCACCCGTACCTTTGGGAGCGCGCGCCCTCGTCGTGTCGTGACGTCACCCGTTCTGTTGGCTTATAATGCAGGGTGGGGCCACCTGCCGGTAGGTGTGCGGTAGGCTTTTCTCCGTCGCAGGACGCAGGGTTCGGGCCTAGGGTAGGCTCTCCTGAATCGACAGGCGCCGGACCTCTGGTGAGGGGAGGGATAAGTGAGGCGTCAGTTTCTCTGGTCGGTTTTATGTACCTATCTTCTTAAGTAGCTGAAGCTCCGGTTTTGAACTATGCGCTCGGGGTTGGCGAGTGTGTTTTGTGAAGTTTTTTAGGCACCTTTTGAAATGTAATCATTTGGGTCAATATGTAATTTTCAGTGTTAGACTAGTAAATTGTCCGCTAAATTCTGGCCGTTTTTGGCTTTTTTGTTAGACAATGCAGATCTTCGTGAAGACTCTGACTGGTAAGACCATCACCCTCGAGGTTGAGCCCAGTGACACCATCGAGAATGTCAAGGCAAAGATCCAAGATAAGGAAGGCATCCCTCCTGACCAGCAGAGGCTGATCTTTGCTGGAAAACAGCTGGAAGATGGGCGCACCCTGTCTGACTACAACATCCAGAAAGAGTCCACCCTGCACCTGGTGCTCCGTCTCAGAGGTGGGATGCAAATCTTCGTGAAGACACTCACTGGCAAGACCATCACCCTTGAGGTCGAGCCCAGTGACACCATCGAGAACGTCAAAGCAAAGATCCAGGACAAGGAAGGCATTCCTCCTGACCAGCAGAGGTTGATCTTTGCCGGAAAGCAGCTGGAAGATGGGCGCACCCTGTCTGACTACAACATCCAGAAAGAGTCTACCCTGCACCTGGTGCTCCGTCTCAGAGGTGGGATGCAGATCTTCGTGAAGACCCTGACTGGTAAGACCATCACCCTCGAGGTGGAGCCCAGTGACACCATCGAGAATGTCAAGGCAAAGATCCAAGATAAGGAAGGCATTCCTCCTGATCAGCAGAGGTTGATCTTTGCCGGAAAACAGCTGGAAGATGGTCGTACCCTGTCTGACTACAACATCCAGAAAGAGTCCACCTTGCACCTGGTACTCCGTCTCAGAGGTGGGATGCAAATCTTCGTGAAGACACTCACTGGCAAGACCATCACCCTTGAGGTCGAGCCCAGTGACACTATCGAGAACGTCAAAGCAAAGATCCAAGACAAGGAAGGCATTCCTCCTGACCAGCAGAGGTTGATCTTTGCCGGAAAGCAGCTGGAAGATGGGCGCACCCTGTCTGACTACAACATCCAGAAAGAGTCTACCCTGCACCTGGTGCTCCGTCTCAGAGGTGGGATGCAGATCTTCGTGAAGACCCTGACTGGTAAGACCATCACTCTCGAAGTGGAGCCGAGTGACACCATTGAGAATGTCAAGGCAAAGATCCAAGACAAGGAAGGCATCCCTCCTGACCAGCAGAGGTTGATCTTTGCCGGAAAACAGCTGGAAGATGGTCGTACCCTGTCTGACTACAACATCCAGAAAGAGTCCACCTTGCACCTGGTGCTCCGTCTCAGAGGTGGGATGCAGATCTTCGTGAAGACCCTGACTGGTAAGACCATCACTCTCGAGGTGGAGCCGAGTGACACCATTGAGAATGTCAAGGCAAAGATCCAAGACAAGGAAGGCATCCCTCCTGACCAGCAGAGGTTGATCTTTGCTGGGAAACAGCTGGAAGATGGACGCACCCTGTCTGACTACAACATCCAGAAAGAGTCCACCCTGCACCTGGTGCTCCGTCTTAGAGGTGGGATGCAGATCTTCGTGAAGACCCTGACTGGTAAGACCATCACTCTCGAAGTGGAGCCGAGTGACACCATTGAGAATGTCAAGGCAAAGATCCAAGACAAGGAAGGCATCCCTCCTGACCAGCAGAGGTTGATCTTTGCTGGGAAACAGCTGGAAGATGGACGCACCCTGTCTGACTACAACATCCAGAAAGAGTCCACCCTGCACCTGGTGCTCCGTCTTAGAGGTGGGATGCAGATCTTCGTGAAGACCCTGACTGGTAAGACCATCACTCTCGAAGTGGAGCCGAGTGACACCATTGAGAATGTCAAGGCAAAGATCCAAGACAAGGAAGGCATCCCTCCTGACCAGCAGAGGTTGATCTTTGCTGGGAAACAGCTGGAAGATGGACGCACCCTGTCTGACTACAACATCCAGAAAGAGTCCACCCTGCACCTGGTGCTCCGTCTCAGAGGTGGGATGCAAATCTTCGTGAAGACCCTGACTGGTAAGACCATCACCCTCGAGGTGGAGCCCAGTGACACCATCGAGAATGTCAAGGCAAAGATCCAAGATAAGGAAGGCATCCCTCCTGATCAGCAGAGGTTGATCTTTGCTGGGAAACAGCTGGAAGATGGACGCACCCTGTCTGACTACAACATCCAGAAAGAGTCCACTCTGCACTTGGTCCTGCGCTTGAGGGGGGGTGTCTAAGTTTCCCCTTTTAAGGTTTCAACAAATTTCATTGCACTTTCCTTTCAATAAAGTTGTTGCATTCCCAATTGGTGTTTTTTTTTTTTTTTTTTTTAAGTTTATTTTGCATTAGACTGGGTGAAGGGGGTCAAGGTTTTCGGTCTACAAATGTTCCTGTGGTAACGGTGAAATGTCAGTGAAGGGGGTGGCCTTAATATAGTATGAACTGTAGAAGGTGGGTGCAAATAAAAGCCAGCTTCAAGACCAGCTTGGCCAACGTGGTGAAACCCTATGTCTACTGAAAATACAAAAAAGGCAGGTGTGGCAGTGAGTGCCTGTGATTCCAGCTTACTTGGGAGGCTGAGGCAGGAGAATCCCTTGAACCTACGAAGCAGAGGTTGCAGTGATCTGAGATACTGCCACTGTACTCCAGCTGGGGCGACAGCAAGACTCAAAAAAGAAGTTATTGGGAGATGGAAGTATTTTGCATATGTAGATTTGCTTATAAGTTAACTTTAAAAGTACTGGTTTGTGGGTGATGTGTAAGGTAACGGAATGGGAGAATTACTGGAACACCAGGAAAGGAATTTTAAAAGGTGGGAGTGATGGGGTAACTGAAAGGATGCTTTCAGTGCATAGGTCTATATAAATGCACATTGAGCTGCATAGACAGTCATGGGATCAAATTTTAAGAGGATGTGGAAGGTAAAAAAAGGCATAGCTACCAAGGTGTGGAAAAAGAATTAGTGGTTAGAGAGTGAGCTATTCGTTGAAACAATTGCGTTCTTGAAACAATTCTTGCTGGTAAAATGTCACATTTTATGTGACTACAGGTGGAGGATTGGCACATAACCTAACCAGTGGGGGAAACAATTGACCTCTGGATTTGTCCAAGTGTATAGTAGCATTTGCCCAATCGAATGGTCCTGGTAAGGTGTTAATGTTGACTAGAACCAAAGGTGGAAGTTGCAGGGAAACTGGTTTAGTACAAGGGTGGACACCAGGCAGTCATCCAGAGGCCCATTAAAGGCCTTGGAATGTTTTTCCGAAGGAGAATCACTCCCTCTTCTCTCGCTTAAAGTTTTAGGGGATTCATGAACAGCTGCTGTGGGATAGTTTCATGTCCCTAGCAATTGTAAAGCAACTGAGGGTGGCTTAAACCAGTTTTAGCTTTAGGGTTAGGGTTACTGGACTAAAATTTGAGAAATTCATAAATCTTAAGGAAATCCATTGTGAGTTTTCATTATGAGTGCATCCAATGTATAATTTCCATGACCCTCCCATGCAAGTGAGCATGTGAATCAGGAAACGTTACAAGAACCCAACAAACTCAACCACTACTAGACAGGCGATCACTTCCAGTTAGTATGCAACTTTCTGTGTAATTTTAGTTACCATTAAAATCTGGATGACCTTAGTGTAAGGAAAAAATACCTTGAATAGTGTTAAAGATGTACACTTGGTGTCAGGCATTGTAACATTGATAAATCTGTGTAAGGTGCTTTTTGAAAACTTCAAAGCTGCATCAAGTCAAGTACAAGAAAGGCCATGGCTGCTAAAGCTGTTGAAGATGTGGGATGGAACTGGGTCACATTGGTGTTAACAGCGTTGTGCAGAGCCGGCAGGATCTTGGTGTGAGCGAACATTAGTCTATTTAATAAAGCTGTGTGAATGTTGTAGAGGTGAGGATGCTCACTTGAAAACTCACTGAAGAACACTTGGCCCCTTGAACTAAAGTGCTTCTATCAAGTTCAGTGAGAAATTCCGAATTACAAGCATAGGTACTAGAAAAGTTTTGAAAAGCAGTATAGAGCAACATAAGCACATTCATAAAATTAGTGATGTAGAAAGTGAAATTTCCACGTATGGTCACTCCCAGAGAAAAAAAATACGTTTATTTACCTTTTTTAAAAATAGGGGATTTCAGGCCGGGTGCGGTGGCTCACGCCTGTAATCCCAGCACTTTGGGAGGCCCAGGTGGGCGGATCACCTGAGGTCAGGAGTTGGAGGGATGGCAAATCCCATCTCTACAAAATATACAAAAAAATAGCTGGGTGTGTTGGCAGGCGCCTGTAATCCCAGCTACTCGGAAGGCTGAGGCAGGAGAATCGCTGGAACCCGGGATGTGGAGGTTGCAGTGAGCCGAGATTGTGTAACTGCATTCCAGCCTGGGCAACAAGAGCAAGACTCCGTCTCAGGAAAAAAAAAAGGGGGGGTTGGATTTCGCTTGTTGCCTAGGTTGGTCTCAAACTCCTGGCCTCAAGTGATTCTCCTGCCTCTGCCTCCCAAAGTGCTGAGATTACAGGTGTGAGGCACCATGCCAGGTCTCTTACTGTTTGTAATTAAATACATACACATTTTGTGTGTTTGTGTGCAGGTTTATAAAGTCAAAGGTGATAGTAACCCATTTAAGTTCCTACTCAATTTTACTTTCCAGGGATAACTAACTACTTTTTCTTTTTGAGATGGAGTCTCGCTGTGTCGCCCAGGCTGGAGTGCAGTGGCGCGATCTCGGCTCACTGCAAGCTCCGCCTCCCTGGTTCACGCTATTCTCCTGCCTCAGCCTCCCCAACAACTGGGACTACAGGCGCACGTCGCCATACCTGGCTAATTTTTTGTATTTTTAGTAGAGACAGGGTTTCACTGTGTTAGCCAGGATGGTCTCGATCTCCTGACCTTGTGATCCGCCTGCCTCTGCCTCCCAAAGTGCTGGGATTACAGGCATGAGCAACCGCGCCCAGCTGGGATAACTACTTTTTACAGGTTGATATTCTTTTGGACTTTTCCCCTGTGTAAAAATATACTATATTTGTTATGTACATATTATGTACATACAGACACAAATTGGACCATTCTCAGTATAATGATTCTCAGGTTTTTTTTTTTTTTTTGAGGTGGGGAACTAGATAATTATGGACATCTTTCCATACTAGCATATCTAGATCTACCTCATTCTTTTTAATATTTTTGCTAGTATTCCATTGTATGAATGTCCTATGATTTACTTAACCTGTCCATCAATATTTGTTTCCAGGTTTTTGCTATTATAATGCTGCTGCAAAGTACATCCTCACACATCTTTATTTTGTCTATTCATATTTCTGTAAGATAGGTTACTAAAGTTGGAACTGCCAAATTAACACTATCATACTATTTTGTTTTTTAATTTTAATTTTTTAAAAAATGTAAAATGTGCAATTTCAAGAGGAGAAACTTGAACACAAGGAGCAAAATCTATTTTTATAACATCCTATTAAAAGCTTGCTTTACATAAAGATTTTGAAAGAATAGCATAAATACAAGATTTCTATTTTAATTGGATTCTTAGGGCTAATAAAATAATCAGCCTTAGCACTTATTTATTTATTTTTTTTGAGACGGAGTCTCGCTCTGTTGTCCATGCTGGAGTGCAGTGGCGTGATCTCGGCTCACTGCAAGCTCCACCTCCCGGGTTCACACCATTCTCCTGCCTCAGTCTCCCGAGTAGCTGGGACTCCAGGCGCCCGCTACAAAGCCCGTCTAATTTTTTTTGTATTTTTAGTAGAGACAGGGTTTCACTGTGTTAGCCAGGATGGTCTTGATCTCCTGACCTTGTGATCTGCCCGCCTCGGCCTCCCAAAGTGCTGGGATTATAGGCTTGAGCCACTGCGCCCGGCCAGCACTTATTTTTATAATTCTTCATGATTACTGTGTTACTGTCCCATGATATTTCTCAATTTTTAAATTTTTCAAAAAAATTAATCCTTAATGTGCATATTTTTGAATTGTTAATATAACTTTTTGAGGTGATGTCTTCATGTGTTTCAACTACTTAAAAACTTTTAAACAGTATATAATAAAAAATCTTCCAGGCCACTCACACCTGTAATCCCAGCACTTTGGGAGGCTGAGGTGGGCAGATCACCTGAGGGCAGGAGTTCGAGACCAGCCTGGCCAATATATATATATTCATATATTCATATATATATATATATTCATATATTCATATATATATATTCATATATTCATATATATATATATATATATATATAGCAAAACCTCATCTCTAATAAAATACAAAAATTAGCTGAGCGTGGTGATGCATGCCTGTAGTCCCAGCTACTCGGGAGGCTGAGGCAGGAGAATCTCTTGAACCTGGGAGGTGGAGGTTGCAGTGAGCTGAGATGGTGCCACTGCCCTCCAGCCTGAGTGACAGAGCGAGACTCGGTCTCCAAAAAAAAACAACAAAAAAATCTTCCATCCTTGTCTCCCATCCACCCCTTCCCCCCAGCATGTACTTGCAGACTTTATGCATATACAGTGAGTACTGTATATACACAAATAATAAAAAAATCATATATATAATATATGTAATTCCCCTTTACATGAAAGGTAGCACACTGGTCTGTACAGTCTGTCTGCACTGTGCTATTTCACTTTATATTTTTATAGTTTGACAGAGTTCTAACATTTCTTTTTTTTTTTTTTTAACAGAGTCTTGTTCCTGATTGTTAAATTTTAAAGCATCCCAAAGTTTGGTTTCACACTTGAATGAATACCATGTAAGGATTCACTTACATAGATGTGGTTGCCTGAATCTTAAGAATAAAATAACATTGTTTGTATTTATTTAAATTAGTGTTCCTTTTATGGTTTGCCTGAAAGCACAACAAAATCCTCACCAAGATATTACAATTATGACTCCCATACAGGTATACTGTTTAGAGATTGGCAAGCACCTTTTAATTAAAGGAGTCAGCCAGCTTAGTGTGCAGTATTTATTTCTGCCGGAAGAGGGAGCTTCAGGGACAGACTTTGGTTTAGTCATGAAGCCTGCAGCACTCCCAAGCGGTTGTGGTTGACCAAGCAATTTATGCTTTTACCTTTCTACTTCCAGAGGCTTGTTTACTTATCAGTAAGCATTAATTTAGTGTCCCCTCAGATGCCTTTTACTTTCTTCTTTTCTGCCTAGAATAAGCTGCTCTTCCAATTTTGCAGCTACATGTTTCCACCCCAGTTGGAATTTCTCCATAACATCCATTGTAGCTATCCTTCAATCTACAGCCTCTATTTCCTGTTATAGCTGGTCAGGTCTAATCCCTCAAAATACTCTGTCCCCTGCTTCCCTTATCTGCTGGCCACCTTTTTCCCCCACATACACACTGCCATGTCCCACCCTTCACTCAAGTTGTTCCCTGCCACCTCAACAAATTTAAGTCCATAAAATAGAGTAAGTGTTCCTGACTGTTAAATTTTAAAGCATCCCAAAGTCTGATTTCACACTCGAATGAATACTATGTACGGATTCATTTACATAGATGCGGTTGCATGAGTCTTAACAAAAAAATAACATTATTTGTATTTATTCAAAGTACTGTCAAGATATAATGTCAAGATCTAATTCAAAGGTTCCACAAAGCCTTCCTTGACTGCCCCCAACGAAGATTATCCATTTTCCCTGAAATCCCATTGACTTTTCTATTTTGTAAGGAGGCTCGTGAGACTCTGTCTAAAAACAAAACAAAACAAAAAGAAACAATCAAACGGCTTGCTTCTGTTCTTTGATCTGCTAGTAAGCAAAAATTACACATGGTGACAGGAGCTATGTGAGGCTGTCAGGTTGAATGGGAGGAGTTTGGGATCCTGCTTGTGGATGGTTGGAAGAGGCTTTCGGGAAAGACAGTATTTATGTGAGACCTGGAAGATGGGCCTTAGCTTTGCAGAAGGTGGAGAGGCAGGAAATAGCACGGGGGCCCTGGGGCTGGAAGACTTGGGCATATTTGAGGAACAGAAAGGAGACCAGCATAACTGAGGTGGGAAAAGCATGTGAAGAGATGGGGCTGGAGGAGGCCGGGAGTGGTGGCTCACGCCTGTAATCCCAGCACTTTGGGAGGCCAAGGCAGGCGGATCATGAGCTCAGGAGATTGAGACCATCCTGGCTAACACGGTGAAACCCCGTCTCTACTAAAAATACAAAAAAAAAAAAAAAAAAAATTAGCTGGGCGTGGTGGCGGGCGCCTGTAGTCCCAGCTACCTGGGAGGCTGAGGCAGGAGAATGGCGTGAACCTGGAAGGCGGAGCTTGCAGTGAGCCGAGATTGCACCACTGCACTCCAGCCTGGGAGACAGAGAGAGACTCCGTCTCAAAAAAACAAACAAACGAAACAAAACAAAACAAAAATTAGCCAGGCGTGGTGGTATGCACCTGTAATCCCAGCTACTCGGGAGGTTGAGGCAGGAGAAACGCTTGAACTCAGGAGGCGGAGGTTGCAGTGAGCCGAGACTGCGCCACTGCACTCCAGCCTGGGTGACAGAGGGAGACTCCATCTCAAAAAAAAAAATTTTTTTTTTTTTACAAACGGTGTCTCCCTCTGTCGCCCAGGCTGGAGTGCAGTGGTGTGATCACAGCTCACTGCAGCCTCAACCTCCCCAGCTGAAGCCATCCTCTTGCCTCAGCCTCCTAAGTAGCTGGGACTACAGGCGCGCACCTCCAGGCTTGGCTCTTATTCTTTTTATTGTTTTTGAAACTATAGAACCTATTTTTAAAAAATGTTTTGGTTGTTTTTATTGCTGCTTTTCCTTTTGGGGTTAGAACACAAGTTTTGATGGGAAACAGGTTAGAACACATTCATCTCTTCCCATAGCGATGGTCATAGAAAAACGGGGCATATTTATAAACTCTCAGTTGATCTTAAAATGTGCAAAAGCTGCCGAACTCCCGGGAGTGAAGGGCGAAGCTCGTTAGCATCAACTGTGGCTGGGGAGTGACCGTAGGCAAGAGGGAGGGGCAAGTGTGACTCAGCGCTGTGTGGGCCAGTGTTTAGAGGCCAGCGTGTCCCTGCAAGCACGTGGGACAGTGGTCTGTTCTGCACTGTGCGTGACTCCTCGAGGAAGTCCACTTACCAGTTTCTCCTCACTGGTATTTTTGGGAGTTTCTGAAGAATGCTTGCACTCTTCACAAATCTGTGCTTGTTGTCATTTGTCACTCAGCCAGCTGGCTGCCTTGGGAGATTCTGCCCATGACCTCTGACATCTTAGACTTGGCTTCTCTGGGTTGCCTCAGGGATCTGGCTCTTTCCTTAGGACAGCTAGACATGGGGGTAGTGAAAGGAAATTGCAACGCGGAGAAATCACAATTGTGTGCCGCAGATATTAATGCTCCAGGGTCCTGCTCCTTCCCTGGGGGATCTGATAGGTCATTCCTGTCTTTGGCCCAGAGCTGACATCCTTCCTTAGCTATATCCCCCAAACCTGGAGCCAAACCTCACCCCCTTCTGTGGGGCCCAGTGTAAGGAGAAAAAAAAAATTTACCTCCCACCCAGATGACATCATCATAACCTCCAGATGATGTTATTACCATTCTGCTCTCAATGAAGACAAAGTTAACGCTAGTTTGCAGGAATTTTAGCATATGTATGTATGCATATATATATATATATATATATATATATATATATATATATATGAAACAGAGTTTCACTCTTGTTGCCCAGGTTGGAGTGCAGTGGCATGATCTCTGCTCACCACAACCTCTGCCTCCCGGGTTCAAATTATTCTCCTACCTCAGCCTCCCGAGTAGCTGGGATTACAGGCATGTGCCACCACACCTGGCAAATTTTGTATTTTCAGTAGAGACGGGGTTTCTCCATGTTGGTCAGGCTGGTCTCAAACTCCTGACCTCAGGTGATCCGCCTGCCTCGGCTTTCCAAAGTGCTGGGATTACAGGTGTGAGCCACTACGCCAAGCCGGTTCTTTTCTTTTAATATCATATTAAAATAGAATTTTGGCTTTTCCTTTGGGCCAAAACAATCATTAAATTTTTTTTTTCTCAGAACAAGAGTTGTCTTTCCTCAAATGATGAATTAGAAAAATATTGAAAGTTTGAAATAACAGCACTCTCATGCTTCCAGACACCAAGCAGATGCTTGTTCTTAAACCATTTACTGGCAAAGGGAATGGGATGGCCAGTGATAGGTCAAGGTTAGCCAGGATCTTCTCCTGGGGGTGGGATTGCCATCCCTGAAACAAGTGAATGTGAAGAGAATTTTTATTTATATTTTTAATTAAACATATTATTTAAAATTTTTTTTTAATTTTTTTTTTTTTGACACGGAATCTCGCTCTGTCACCTAGGTTGGAGTGCAGTGGCTCGGCTCACTGCAACCTCCACCTCCCAGGTTCAAGCGATTCTCATGCTTCAACTTCCCGAGTTGCTGGGATTACAGGTGTGCACCACCACACCCAACCAATTTTTGTATTTTTAGTACAGATGAGGTTTCACCATATTGGCCAGACTGGTATTATTACTATTATTTTCTGAGACAGGGTCTCACTCTGTTGCCCAGGCCAGAGTGCAATGGCGAGATCATGGCTCACTACAGCCTCGACTTCCCCAGGCTCAAGTGATCCTCCCACCTCAGCCTCCCTGGTAGCTGGGACTAATAGGCGTGCACCACGATGCCCAGCTAATTTTTGTATTTTTTGTAGAGGCAGGGTTTCGCCATGTTGCCCAGGCTGGTCCCAAAGTCCTGGGCTCAAGCGATCCACCTGCCTCAGCCTCCAACAGTGCTGGGATTACAAGTGTCAGCCACTGCGCCTGGCCCCTAACTTTTTACTCTGCAGAAGAGAAGCATCAGGCCTATAAGCAGAACTGAAATTGAAATCTCATTGGTCCACCAACTAGAATTAGACTAAGTGGTAGTACACAGATTAGGAAACAGAAAAATCAAACTACAGAGGTTTAAACAAGAGGGTATTTAAACACCCTACAGGAAAAATCAAACTACAGAGGTTTAAACAAGGGGATGTAAATTTTCTCACATAAGAAATCTAGCTGGGGACGGTGGCTCATGCCTGTAATCTCAGCACTTTGGGAGGTTGAGGTGAGAAGATCACTTGAGGCCAGGAGTTTAAGACCATCCCTGGCAACATAACAAGACCCCTTTCTCTACAAAAAATAAAAAATTAGCTGGGCTGATTTAAAAATAGATTCTATAGTTTCAACAACAATAAAAAGAATGAGAGCCAGGCCTAGAGGTGCATGCCTGTAGTCCCAGCTACTTGGGAGGCTGAGGCAGGAGGGTTGCCCGGTAGGTCAAGGCTGCAGTGAGCTATAACTGCACCACTGCACTCCAGCTTGGGAGACAGAGTAAGGTGCTGTCTCAAAAAAAAAAAAAAAAAAAAAAAGGAAGAAGATGACATCTGGATTTGGATATAAGGGACTCTGATGTCAGGGTGTGATTCTGCTGTTCTTTCTCTCATAGTTGCAAGATTATTGTCACAAATCCAGACACATCTGTATTCAAAGGAAGAAGCAGGGAAGATTGGGGTCAGCCACATGAGTTTCTTTTATGAAGAAAAGCGTTCACTGACTTCCTTCAGGTCTCATTGGTCAGAACTGGGTCCAGTGGCTGTCAATAGCTGCAAAGGAGGCTGTGAAGCAGGGAATAGGGTTTTTATGTTTGGTTTAGACCAAGGTTTCTCTAACTCAGCACTATTGACTGACGTATTGGCCTCGAGAATTCTTTGCTTGGGGCTGTCCCGTGCATTGTAGGATGATTAGCAGTATCCCCGGCCTCTATCCCGTGGACCCCAGTCATCCTTAGTTGTGACAGCCCAGAAAGTCTCCAGACATTTTCTAAGTTCCCTGGGAGGCAAAATTTTCCCTCCTTGTAAACCACTGGTTTAGACCAATTATAACCCATTAGTTGAAGCTGAATGTGTCGCCACCCTGAAAAAACAATCAGAATGCCATATGGGTTTGAGGGTAGGCAGCTGAAAGCAGCGGTGATGGAACCTAAGGGCACCTACTTTTGATCTGTCTTCTGGATAAACTCAATGTACACATCCTTTTTTTTTTTTTTTTTTTTGACATGGTGTCTCGCTCTGTCACCCAGGCTGGAGTGCAGTGGTGCAATCTCAGCTCACTGCAACCTCCACCTCCTGGGTTCAAGTGATTCTCCTCTGACTTCTTTCTCCCAAGTAGCTGGGACTACAGACATGCGCCACCATGCCCAGCTAATTTTTGTGTTTTGTGTAGAGACGGGGTTTCACCATGTTGCTCAGGCTGATCTCAAACTCCTGGGCTCAAGTATCTGCCTGCCTCGGCCTCCCACAGTGCTGGGGTAATAGGCATGAACCACAGCACCCAGCCAAGGCTATTTCCTTTTTTAAAATGTAAACAGGTGCCATGCTAAACTACTCTGTATCATTTCAATTTTAGCATACATGCTGCCGAAGTGAGCACAGGTATTTTATTTATTATTGTTATTATTAGTTTTTGAGACAGAGTCTTGCTCTGTCGCCCAGGCTGGAGTGCTGTGGCATGATCTCAGCTCACCGTAGCCTCGACCTCCCAGGCTCAAGTGCTTCTCCTACCTTAGCCTTCCAAGTAGATGGGACTGCAGGCATGCACCACCATGCCTGGCTAATTTTTGTATTTTTCATAGAGATGGAGTAGCACTATGTTACCCAGGCTGGTCCCAAACTCTGGAGCTCAAGTGATTGGCACACCTCAGCCTCCCAAAGTGCTGGGATTACAGAAGTGAGTCACTGCGTCCGGCTGGCTATTTTTATCCATAGATTTTTGCCCTTGTGTGCATATATATCTGAAAGATAACTTCTCAAAGTGAACTTGCTGGGTCAAAGGCCATATGCATTTTAAATTTAGACAGGCTTTGTCAAATTCCCCTCCAAAGAGGTTACACAAATTTACCCTTCTACCAACAGCCGTCAGCAGTGCCTTCCTCACACCCTAACAACACAAGGAGCTCCTCACACTTTGCTTATTTATCTGCCAGGTGAATTACAGTATCTCATGATAGTTTTCTTTCTTTCTTTTTTTTTTTTTTTGAGATGGAGTTTCACTCTTGTTACCCAGGCTGGAGTGCAATGGCGTGATCTTGGCTCACTGCAACCTCTGCCTCCCGGGTTCAAGTGATTCTCCTGCCTCAGCCTCCCGAGTAGCTGGGATTACAGGCATGTGCCAGCACACCCAGCTAATTTTGTATTTTTAGTAGAGATGGGGTTTCTCCATGTTGGTCAGGCTGGTCTCGAACTCCTAACCTCAGGTGATCCACCCGACTCAGCCTCCCAAAGTGCTAGGATTACAGGTATGAGCCACCGTGCCCGGTGATAGTTTTACCTTAAAAATTATTCTGTGTTCCCTCACACAATAAGGACCTCATTGATTATTTCACTTGACAAAGTCACTTTCCATGTAGAAAACACTTCTTGAAGCCCTTGGGATCTCAGCTGGGGACGCGGAGACTTTGCCCTCCAGGAGGGCATCTAATGTTTGTGATGATTGCCTCATCTGTCGTTTGCACTGAGCTTGTGTTGCTAATTATTAGCTATGGTGGATGCAGAGAGAAAGACGGAATTGGATATGGAATGGCAGAAGCTATGACAAACTGCAAGAGTGCCTGGCTGTCACTGTTTAAAAAATTATAATGTTTCTCAAAGGTAATTTTGTTATAAAGTAATTGTGCAGTTTGTTCATTTAACTGTGCAGTTTGTTTATTTGTTCATTTAACAAATAAGGGACTGTAGAGATGGCGTCTTGCTATGTTGCTTGGGCTGGTCTGGAACTCCTGGGCTCAAGTGATCCTGCTGCCTTGGCCTCCCAAAGTGCTGGGATTACAGGTGTGAGCTACTGCACCTGGCCAGCAGGGCTGTCCTTTTTCACTTGCCCCAACCTCAGTGGCTGATGGACTGATTTGCTCCTGGAATCTAAGATTCATGCAGCCACAGAGGGACAACCCTGGTGACTTAGCTGAAGCGTGTAACATTGAAAATAATTATAGCCGGGTGCAGTGGTTCACACCTGTAATCCCAGCACTTTGGGAGGCCGAGGTGGGTGGATCACGAGGTCAGGAGTTTGAGACCAGTCTGCCCAACATGGTGAAACCCCGTCTCTACTAAAAATACAAAAATTAGCTGGGCATGGTGGCATGCATGGTGGTGGGCAGGAGGATCACTTGAACCCGGGAGGCGGAGGTTGCAGTGAGCTGAGATCGCACCACTGTACTCCAGTCTGAGTGACAGAGCAAGACTCTGTCTCCAAAAAGAAAAAAAAAAAAAAGAAAAAAAAGAATTATGGTGTGCCCATGCTCACAGCCGAAATCAGAAAACAACCCTAAAAAACAACCCTAAAAGTCCACCAGTGTAGACCAGGCACAGTGGCTCACGCCTGTAATCCCAGCTCTTTGCTCTGTCACCCAGGCTGGAATTCAGTGGCACGATCTCAGCTCACTGCAACCTCCACCTCTCGGGTTCAAGCGATTCTCCTGCCTTAGCCTTCCGAGTAGCTGGGATTACAGGTGCCTGCCACCACAACTGGCTAATTTTTGTATTTTGAGTAGAGATGGGGTTTCACCACGTTGGTCAGGCTGGTCTTGAACTCCTGACCTCAAGCAATCCACCAGCCTCGGGCTCCCAAAGTGCTGTGATTACAAGCATGAGCCACTGTGCCCAGCCAAGAACAGTTTTTATATTTTATTTTCACATTGAAAATCAGTCACATTTGCTTCAGCCTCAAAGAGCGTGTTTATGTAAAATTAAATGAGTGCTGGCAGCAAACTGCACTTTTTTTTTTCTAAACAGGAAATGGGTTAATGGGTATGGAGTTGTAGTTTTGCAGGATGAAAATGGGGACCGAGTTTCAGTCTGGGAAGACGAAACTGTTCTGGAGATGAATGGTGGCAACGGCTGCACAGCAATGTGAATGCCCTTAGTGTCACACACACAAATGGATAAAATAGTTAAAAACTATGTGCATGGTGGTAAGACGTGGAAAAATGTTTAGAAAGCAGGCAGAAACAGGAAACAATTGTTGAGTCTTCCATTTGGGGGGCTTCTAAAATGTTCCCAGATGGTGGAGCACTGCCCCCTCCCAGCGTGGGGAGGTTTCTGTGCGTGCTCACGGGCACCACGCTGAGTTAGGGGCTGGCAAGGGCCCTGGTGAAATGTTACCGAACCTAAATTGAGAGTCCATGGCCAAAAGCCAGAGCATCTCTCAAGCGTATGCAGGCTGTCCTGGCACCCCGGTTCTCTCCAAGGCCACCACAAAAAACATAAGGCAGCCACAAGGGGGAGTGGGGAGGTGACTCGCTCCTAGCCGGGTGCTGGCATCACCTAAAGGAAGTGGGCACGGAGCGTGGTACCCGCAGGTGGCGCCACCGTTCCCCACACCGTCCCTGCACCCCTCCATCTCCGCACCCCTCCATCTCCTCCGTCCTTTAAAAATTGTGGTAAAATACTCATAACACAGAACTCGCCATTAAAAAAAAATTCACCATTTTAACCATTTTGAGTGTACAGTTCAGTGGCATTTAGGACATTCACAATGTTATGCAACCACCTCCTCCATCTAGTTCCAGAACATTCCTTCATTCCCAAAGGAAACCCCTGTACCCATTAGTAGTCACCTCCTATTTCTCCCTCTCCCCAGTCCCTGGTGAACACCAATCTGTTTTCTGTCTCTTTTTCTTTTTTTTTTCAGACAGGGTCTTGATCTGCCATCTGGGCTGGAGTGTAGTGGTGCAATCATAGCTCACTGCAGCCTCAAATTTCTGGCCTCAAACAATCCTCCTGCCTCAGCCTTCCAAAGCGCTGAGATAACAGGCGTGAGCCCCTCTGTGTTCTGTCTATGGATATGCTTACTCTGGAGATTTCCTATAAATAGAATCTTGCACTGTGTGGCCTTTTGTATCTGGCTTCTCTCACTTTTTTTTTTTTTGAGACAGAGTCTTGCTCTGTCTCCCAGGCTGGAGTGCAGTGGTGTGATCTCAGCTTACTGCAGCCTCCGCCTCCCGGGTTCAAGTGATTCTCCTGCCTCAGCCTCCCAAGTAGCTGGGACTACAGGCGCCTGCCACTATGCGTAGTTAATTTGTTTGTACTTTTAGTAGAGACGGGGTTTTGCCATGTTGGCCAGGATGGTCTTGAACTCCTGACCTCAGGTGATCTGCCCACCTCAGCCTCTCAAAGTGCTGGGATTACAGGCGTGAGCCATTGTGCCTGGCCCTGACTTCTCTCACTTAGCAGCAGGTTTTCGAGGTTCATCCATGATGTAGTATGTATCAGTGTTAAAAAAAAATTTTTTTTTTGAGATGGGGTCTCTCTATGTTGGCCAGGCTGGTCTCTAACTCTTGACCTCAAGTGATCCTCCTGCCTCAGACTCCCAAAGTGCTGAAATTAGAGGTATAAGCCACCATGGCCAGCCAATATTTCATTTCTTTTTATGGCTGAATCATATTCCGTGGTATGGACAGGCCACATTTTGTCATCCATTGATGGGTATTTGAGTTGTCTCCCAAATAGTTTTTTAAATGGTTAAAAGTGAATGAGTATTATGTGATGTGTATTTTTGCTTTTTGCTGTTATGAATACTGCTGCTATGAACATGCATAAACAGGTGTTTGTTTGAGTGCCTGTCTTCAGTTCTCTTGGATGTATGCCTAGGAGTGGAATTCCTGGGTCATATAGTGATGCTATGTATAACTTGATTCTTTTTCTTTTCGTTTTTTTGTTTCAATCAAGCAGACCCTGAACCAGAATAGGTTCAGAGAGACTCCCTGTATGTTTAACTTGTTGGTGAACTGCCAAACTGTTTTCTTCCCCTTCCTTTCGGATTATGATGAGCAAAACTTCTCAATATAGAGACTTTCAGCTCATCCTTGAATCTCTCTGCAAAGCAGCCAGGGATTGCCTTAAAACTGGTACACGACTCCTGCCCCATCCCTGCTTAAACCCCATCAACTGCTTCTTCCCAATGCATACACAAAAAATGCAACTTCCTCTGCGAAGGCTACAAGGCCCTACAGGACCAGGGCCTCCCGATCCTTGCCCCCCTGACCACTCAGGTCTGAGGTCAAAGTCAGTTCCTTGGAGAGACTCCAAGATTGTCCTATCTGTTGTTTGTCCCACACCGTCTCTGTCTCCTACATGAACCTGAGTTTGTTTTTCATCATCCTCATCCCAGCCAGAGCAGAAGGAAGGATGATACCTCGCTGCAGACCACAAGGTCCAGCTGCCCTGGGCCCGTCCCTGGTGCCACTCTCTGTCTCACGGTCTGTGCTCCAACTGCCGAACCAGCTCCTGCCACAGGCCCTTTGCACTTGCTGCCCACCCCTACCCAGAATGCTCTGCTCTCATGGGTGACTTTTTCTCAATCATTTGGTTTTGATTCAGATTTTATCCATCAAAGAGGCCCTCTGTGGTAGGCTGAACAATGGCTCCTCCAAAGATGTCTGCATCCTAATTTTCTGGGACCTGTGACTGTGTTACTTTGGAATTAAATTAAAAGTGCCGAGATGGGGAGATGATCTGGGGCTTATCTGGTGGGTTGATGTAACCACAAGGGTCCTTATGAGAGGGACACAGGAGTCAGTCTTGGGGAAGAAGGTGACGTGGACACAGGGGCAGCGGCTGGAGTGATGAGCTTTGCGGGTGGAGGAGGGGGCCGTGAGCCAAGGAGTGCAGGCGACCTCTAGAAGCTGAAAAAGGTGAGGAAACGGATTGTCCCCTAGAGCTTCCAGAAGGGATGCAGCCCTGCAGACTCCTTGACTTTAGCCAGGTGAAACCGTTTTGGACTTCTGACCTCCAGAAACGAAAGATAATGAGAAGATAATCAATTTGTGTTGTTTTAAGTCACTATGTTCATGATTTGTTACAGCAGCTAACAGAAAGCTCCTTGACCAACCCAGGCCCCATCCCAGGCAGAGTCTAAGCCGCTCTTTTCTTTTTTTTTTTGGGGGGGGGGACGGAGTCTCACTCTGTCGCCCAGGCTGGAGTGCAGTGGCGTCATCTCGGCTCACTGCAGCCTCAGCCTCCGTGGGCTCGAGTGACTCTCCAGCCTCAGCCTCCCCAGTGGCTGGGACCACAAGCACACACCATCACACCTGGCTAATTTTTAAATATTTTGTAGAGATGAGGGTCTCACCATGTTGCCCAGGCTGGTTTCAAACTCCTGGACTCAAGCAATTCACCCACACATCAGCCTCCCAAAGTGTTGGGATTACAGGCGTGAGCCACCACACCCAGCAGTTTGCAAATTTTAAAACTTTCTGACTCCGTTGCCAATCTGTCCTTCAGAAACATGTTGCCAATTCCCAGCCTTACCCACAGCAAGGGAGAGGTCGCTTCCCTCTGCTGTTGGCGTCGTGGCTACAGAAAACACTGCTGCCCTCCCTGAGGGCACCATTCCCTCTCTCCCCTTCCCTTGACCACCAGTTAAAGGATGTGCAGCCTCAGTCTCCTGGGCTGTTGACATTTTCACGTACTGTTCCCTCTGCCTGCAAATCTTTTCCCAGCTTTGAGTGGCAGGCCTAATTTGTCATTTCCAGGTTAGTTTAACTCAGAGAGGCCTTCCCTGACCTCCCAACCTAAGGTTGCCATCCGGTCCTGCCTGATCCCATCTGTTTTACTTCTTTACTTAGCACTTTTGGCTCCCTGGTATTTACTTAAGTCTCCAGCATTCTCCATGAGCAGGGGCCTCGTCTGTCTCACTGCTGTATCCCGGTGCCCAGAACAGGGCTTGACAATAGTAGGTGCTCAATAAATACGTGTAGACTAAATAATGAATGGATAATAATTTTTTTGCTATCTTGGTGAGCTGTTTCTGTTACAGTTTTGAGTCTTATCTTCCCAAAGGATCCTTCCTAACTTCAAACAATTCTTAATTAGTTCTCAAGATGGAGTAATAGGAATGGTATTTAGGTAGGAACATAAACAAGTTTTCAAATGTCAACAATAGTTGATTTTTTTAAATACAAGAGACAAAAAGGCCACATATTGTATGACTCCTTTTATGGGAAATATCCATAACAGGCAGATGCACAGAGACAGAAAGCAGATGAGTGGCTGCCAGAGGCTGGAGGAGGGGGAGTGAGGAGGGAGTGTTTAATGGGTACAGGGTTTTATTTTGGGGTGATAAAAATATCTGGAACTAGGTAGAGGTGGTGGTTATACAACACCGTGAATGTAGTAAATGCCACTTTTTAATTAATTTTTTTGTTTTTGAGATGGAGTCTTGCTCTGTTGCCCAGGCTGGAGTGCAGTGGCATGATCTGGGCTCACTGCAGCCTCTGCCTCCCAGGTTCAAGTGATTCTCCTGCCTCAGCCCTCCGAGTAGCTGGGATTACAGGTGCCCACCACCACGCCCAGCTAACTTTTGTCTTTTTAGTAGAGATGGGTTTCACCATGTTGGCCAAGCTGGTGTTAAACTCCTGGGCTCAAGTGATTCTCCCACCTTGGCTTCCCAAAGTGCTAGGATTATAGGTGTGAGCCATTGCACTCGGCCACTTTTTAATGTAATTTAATTTTATGGTTTTTTTTTTTTATTTTCTTGAGACAGGGTCTTGCTCTGTTGCACAGGCTGGAGTGCAGTGACGGCATCTCGGTTCACCGCAGCTTCAACCTCCTGGGTTCAAGTGAACCTCCTGCCTCAGCCTCACGAGTAGCTGGGACTACAGGTGCATACCACCATGCCTGGCTAATTTTTATATCTTATTGGTACAGAGTGCGTCTTGCCATGTTGCCCAGGCTGGTCTCAAACTCTTGGCCTCAAGTGATCCTCCCACCTTAGCCTCCCAAAGTGCTGGGATTACAGGCATGAACCACTGCACTTGGCCTGCTTTTTTTTTTTTTTGGAAGCAGCCCTCTGGATGGGTGTGAGGTGATATCTCACTGTGGTTTCAATTTGCATTTTTCTGGTTATGAGTGACGTTCATCTTTTCATTTGCTTATTGGCCATTTGTATATCATCTTTGTAGAAATGACTGTTCAAGTCTTTTGCCCCTTCCTGCTTTTTCTTTTTCTTTTCTTTTCTTTTTTTTTTTTTTTTGTGAGTCAAGGTCTCGCTCTGTTGCCCAGGCTAGAGTGCAGTGGTGTGATATTGGCTCACTGCAACTTCCACCTCAGCCTCCTGGGTAGCTGGGACCACAGGCACACGCCACCACACCCAGCTAATTTTCTTTGTATTTTTATAGAGATGGGGCTTTCACTATGTTGGCCAGGCTGGTCTTGAACTCCTGAGCTCAAGCGCTCCTCCCACCTCAGCCTCCCAAAGTGCTGGGATTAGAGGCGTGAGCCACCAACCTGCCCCCGACACTTTTTTTTTTTTTTTTGAGACAGGGCCTTGCTTTGTCGTCTAGGCTGGGGTGCAGTGGTGTGCTCACGGCTCATTGCAGCTTCAGTCTCCCGGGCTCAAGCAATCTTCCTGCCTCAGCCTGTAGCTGGGACTATAGCATTCACCACCACATCTGGCTAATTTTTTCATTTTTTGGAAAGATGGATTCTTGCTATGTTGCCCAGTCTGGTCTTGAACTCATATCAAGTGCTATGTCTACCTTGGCCTCCCAAAGAGCTGGGATTGTAGGCATGAGCCATCACAATAAACTTTTTGCCCATTTTAAAAACTGGGTTATTTGTTGATGAGTTTTACCATATTCATCCTTTGTTAGATACATGATTTGCAAATAATTTCTCCCATTGTGTGGAAGGAACTCTGTTGATTGTGTCCTTTGATGCATAGTAGGCTCTGCCTTTTTATGGAGAAATCTTAAAAGAATTCACAACTGTTTTTTTTTTTTTTGAAACGGAGTCTTGCTCTGTTGCCCAGGCTGGAGGGCAGTGGTGTGATCTTGGTTCACTGCAGCCTCCACCTCCGAGGTTCAAGCAATTCTCCTGCCTCAGCCTCCCAAGTAGCTGAGACTACAGGTGTGTGCCACCACCCCCGGCTGATTTTTTGTAGTTTTGGTAGAGACAGGGTTTCGCCATGTTGGCCAGGCTGGTCTAGAACTCCTGACCTCAGTGATCCACCCACCTCTGTTTCCCAAAGTGCTGGGATTACAGAATTCATAAATGCTTTAAAACCATCCCTGACCAGGCGTGGTGGCTAATGCCTGTAATCCCAATACTTGGGGAGGCTGAAGCAGGAGGATCACTTGAGTCCAGGAGTTTGAATCTAGCCTGGGCAACATGGCAAGACCCTGTCTCTATAAAAAATTTTTAAAAAATAAGCCGGGTGTGGTAGCAAACACCTGTGGTCCCAGCTACCTGGGAGGCTGAGGTGGGAGGATCTCTTGAACCCGGGAGGCAGAAGTTGCATTGACACCCAAGATCACACCACTGCACTCCAGCCTGTGCGACAGAGCCAGACCCTATCTCAAGAGAGGGAGAGAGGGCCGGGCACGGTGGCTTACGCCTGTAATCTCAGCATTTTGGGAGGCTAAGGCGGGTGGATCACGAGGTCAGGAGTTGGAGACCAGCCTGGCCAACATAGTGAAACCCCCGTCCCTACTAAAAATACAAAAAATTGGCTGGGCGTGGTGGCATACGCCTGTAGTCTCAGCTACTCAGGAGGCTGAGGCAGGAGAATTGCTTGAACCTGGGAGGCAGAGGTTGCAGTGAGCTGAGATCGTGCCACTGCACTCCAGCCCAGGCGACAGAGCAAGACTCCATTTCAAAAAATAAAAATAAAATAAAAATAAAAATAAAAAAAGAGGGAGAGAGCGGATCACGAGGTCAGGAGATTGAGAACATCCTGGCTAACACGGTGAAACTCTGTCTGTACTAAAAATACAAAAAATTAGCCAGGCGTGGTGGCGGGCGCCTGTAGTTCCAGCTACTTGGGAGGCTGAGGCAGGAGAATTGCTTGAACCCGAGAGGCGGAGCTTGCAGTGAGCCGAGATCGCGCCACTGCACTCCAGCCTGGGTGACAGAGCAAGACTCCGTCTCAAAAAAAAAAAAAAAAAAAAGGGAGAGAGAGAGAGACAGAGAGACAGAGAGAGAAAAGAAAGCCATCACTGTATATAAAAGGGGTTTTGGCAAAAAGTAAGTCTTGCCCTGCCTTGACTGCCCTCCCCAGAGGCAACCTCTATTATCAGTTTCTTGTATAGCTTTCCAGAGATTTTCTTTGAGTTTTCTAATGTAACATTTCCATAGACAATTGTGCAGTTTGTTTTTATGCAAAATGAACCTTGGCTATGAGTGGTCTCTCGGAGCCTCAGTATCCCCATTGGTTAGACAAGGGAGTTGGAGTGGATAATTCCTAAAGACTGCTGGGAGGATCACAGCCCGCATGCCAGGAAAGAGCCCAGCCACGCTTCTTGGCCCTCCTTTCATGAAGGTTTATGAAGGCTCTGTCTTGAAATTTTTTTTTTTTTTTTGAGATGGAGTTTCGCTCTTTGTTGCCCAGGCTGGAGTGCGATGGCGTGATCTTGGCTCACTGCAACCTCTGCCTACCGGCTTCAAGTGATTCTCCTGCCTCAGCCTCCCAGGTAGCTGGGATTACAGGCATGCACCACCACGCCTGGCTAATTTTGTATTTTTAGTGGAGGTGGGGTTTCTCCATATTGGTCAGGCTGGTCTTGAACTCCTGACCTCAGGTGATCCGCCCGCCTCAGCCTCCCAAAGTGCTGGGATTACAGGTGTGAGCCACTGCGGCCAGCTTTGTCTTGATTTGAGAGGTTATTTCTTTTTGTTGTTGTTATTCTTTTGATAGAGGGTCTTGCTCTGTCGCCCAGGCTGGATTGCAGTGGTGTGATCATAGCTCGCTGCAACCTCTACCTCCTGGGCTCAAGTGATCCTCCCACCTCAGCCTCCTGAGTAGCTGGGACTACAGGCATGCATCACCACACCCGGCTTATTTTTGTATTTTGTATTTTTTGTAGAGAAGGGGTCTCACTGTGTTGCCCAGGCTGGTCTCAAACTCCTGGGCTCAAGTGATCCTCCCGCCTCGACCTCCCAAAATGCTGGGATTACAGGCATGCACCACCATAACCTGGCCCCAAAGAGGTTATTTTTTAAAGGAGAAAGCCATTTTCTCTGAACAGCATCAACGTCTGTTCTGTGGGAATACAAGAGTTCTTGTTTTGTTCCACTTAATAAGAATGCAGTTCCTCTTGTCAGCTCGATGCTGGGAAAAACTCTAATTTCAGTTCTTTATTTTTCAGAAATTCCAAAGAACATGGAAAGGAGACCACAGGAAGAATCCAGAACTGCTGCCCATCATAAAATTTTTCCATCTGCAATTTGTGTCTACAGTGTGCCAGTTATTGATGAGGGTGAGGCTGAAGGTGGGACAGTGTGGGGGAGATTTTTTAATTGCTCCCCAATTACCATATTCCTCTTTTCTTTTCTTTTTTCTTTTTGAGACAGAGTCTCGCTCTGTAGACCAGGCTAGAGTGCAGCGGCGCAATCTCGGCTCACTGCAACCTCCGCCTCCCGGGTTCAAGCAATTCTCTGCCTCAGCCTCCCGAGTAGCTGGGATTACAGGCGCCTGCCACCATGCCCAGCTAATTTTTGTATTTTTAGTAGAGACGGGGTTTCACCATCTTGGCCAGGCTCGTCTCGAACTCCTGACCTTGTGATCCACCCGCCTCGGCCTCCCAAAGTGCTGGGATTACAGGCGTCATGCCCGGCCCACATTCCTCTTTTCTTTTTAGTTTTAGAGTCCCTAAAATTCCAGATGGGCATATGTCACCCAGCCAGAGGTGATGTTTTCCAGCTTCCACTGAAGCTAGGTGTGACCTCGAGACTATGTTCTCGCCTATAAGATACAGGTGGATGATGTGACGGGAACACTTCCAGGCCAGATGGTTAGAAGGGAAGCTGGTTGTCCACCTCTATTTCCCACTCCCTTTGAGCTGGAACGTGGACAGGGTTCGAGAAGCCAGCTCTGTCCCTGGGGATGGTGGAGCAGCAGGAGGTGGGGTCCCTGGGTCCCTGGGTGACCACGTGGAGCCGAATCTCCTGCCTTCTTGGACTAGCAGCCATCTCTGCGATGTTAAGGGAGAGAGGAATACGTTTCTAATTTGTTAGAGTCACTGTATTTTGAGGTCTCTTAGCAGCTTAACGTATACCCTAACACAGGTGGCTTTCACCTTTTTATACAACTTTGTTTTTTTTTTTTTTGAGACAGAGTCTTGCTCTGTCACCCAGGCTGGAGTGTAGTGGTGTGATCTCGGCTCACTGCAACCTCCACCTCCCAGGTTCAAGTGATTCTCCTGTCTCAGCCTCCCAAGTAGCTGGGACTACAGGTGCCCGCCACCATGCCCAGCTAATTTTTGTATTTAGTAGAGACAGGGTTTCGCCATGTTGGCCAGGCTGGTCTCGAACTCTTGACCTCAGGTGATTTGCCCGCCTTGGCCTCTTGAAGTGCTGGGATTACAGGCATGAGCCACCATGCCCGGCCGATTTTTACTTTTTTAAACAGTGGTTTGCACTGAAATAGAAGTTCTTTGAGAATAGGAACTGTGCCTTTTTGTCTCCCATGATATCCCAGCCCCTGCCAGACAGTAGTAGGCAGTGAGAATGGTTCTTGGACATTAGCTTGCCTTAGGATTGGCTGGGGCATGGATTAGTTGAAAATGCAGCTTTCTCAGGGGCTCATCCCAAATCTGTGGAATCAATCTTTGGACCCGACTTTATAAATCTAACTTTATTTATTTATTTATTTGAGATGGAATCTCGCTGTGTCGCCAGGCTGGAGTGCAGTGGTGCTTGGAGTGGAGTGCGACGTCGACTCACTACAACCTTGATCTCTTGACCTCGTGATCCACTCGCCTCGGCCTCCCAAAGTGCTGGGATTACAGGCGTGAGCCACCGCGCCTGGCCCTTTTTATACAACTTTGATTTTTACTTTTTTTTTTTTTTTTTGAGACTGAGTCTTGCTCTGTTGCCCAGGCTGCAGTGCAGAGGCACAATCTCGGCTCACCGCAACCTCTGCCTCCCGAGTTCAAGTGATTCTCCTGTCTCAGCTTCCAAGTAGCTGGGATTACAGGTGTGCACCACCACACCCGGCTAATTTTTGTATTTTTAGTAGAGACGGGGTTTCGCCACGTTGGCCAGGATGGTCTCGATCTCTTGACCTCATGATCTGCTCACCTCGGCCTCCCAAAATGCTAGGATTACAGGCGTGAGCCAGCACGCCCAGCCACTTTACTTCTAATGAAAGAAAAGGTCTTGTTTACAATAGCAACTGTACTGATGAAATATTTAACAGCAAACTTCCCAAGAAATGTGGAGGATACAAACATAAAAAGCTTTAAAAAAATTCTACTATTGTTGTAATATAAAAAGAGACTTGCATTCATGGGAAGACAATCTTTGTTCTTTGAGAGGAAGAATCAGCTTTGGAAAGATGCCAAGAGCTTGCTAAATTTAACTAGAAATCCATACAATCCCAGTTAAAATACTAACACAAAATTTTGGGAGATTTGAGAAAATGGTGCCAAAGTTCATCAAAGGATGTGAATGAAGGAAAATTGCCAGGAAAATTCTAGAAATAAAAAATAACGAGGGGGCCAGGCACTGTGGCTCCTGCCAGTAATCCCAGCACTTTGGCAGGCTGAGGTGGGAGGATTGCTTCAGGCCAGGAATTCAAGGCCAGCCTGGTAAACACAGCAAAATCCCATCTCAACAAAAATTTTTTAAAACTCAGAGCAGGCATGATAGCTCACACCTGTAATCTCAGCGCTTTGGGAGGCCAAGGTAGGTAGATCACTTGAGGCCAGGAGTTTGAGACCAGCCTGGCCAACATGGTGAAACCCTGTCTCTAAGAATACAAAGAAATATTAGCCGGTGTGGTAGCAGGCACCTGTAATCCCAGCTACTTGGGAGATTGAGGCACGAGGATTGCTTGAACCCAGGAGGCGGAGGTTGCAGTGAACAGAGATCGCTCCACTGCACTCTAGCCTGGGTGACAGAGCGAGACTCTGTCTTAAAAAAAAAAAAATCAGCCAGGCATGGTGGCATGCACCTGTAGTCCCGTCCTAGCTACTCCGAAGGCTGAAGTGAGAGGATCGCTTGAGCCCAGGATGTAGAGGCTGCAGTGAGCTATGATCGCACCATTGCACTCCAGCCTGGGTGGCAGAGCGAGGCCCCATCTCTAAAAAAAATTATATATATATATATACACACACACACACACATACTATATATATATATATTTCAATTTTTTACTTGGTTTTATTTATTTATTTATTTTGAGACAGAGTCTCGCTCTGTTGCCCAGGCTGGAGTGCAGTGGCATGATCTCAGCTCACTGTAATCTCTGCCTCCTGGGTTCAAGCTATTCCCGAGTACATGTGTCACTAAACCCAGCTAATTTTTGTATTTTTAGTAGAGACAGGGTTTTGCTATGTTGGCCAGGCTGATGTTGAACTCCTGGCCTCAAGTGATCTGCCTGCCTTGGCCTCCCAAAGTGTTGGGATTACAGGCGTGAGCTACTGCGCATGGCCTATTTTATTACTAGTTATTGTTGTTAATCTCTGACTGTGCCTGAATTATAAATTAAATTTTATCATGGGGAAAAACAGTCTATACCGGGTTCAGTGCTATCTCAGGTCTCAGGCATCCGCTAGGGATCCTGGAGCTTATCCCCCGAAGATAAGGAAGGGCCCCCGCTGCTCCGCTGGAATTCAAAATAACCCTCCCACTGCGCAGTGAGGTGGGTAAAAGCCAGTCTGACGGTCTGACAGTGCTTTGATGATCTTGTACTCTCTACTCTTTGCTTTTGCAGAACATTAATTACCAAATGTTTTCCAAACTTTGCAAGAGGAGTACAGGTGTCGGGGGTGAGGGAGGGCCTTGTTTTCATCTAATAGACCTTTCTGTTCTTTCTGTTTCACTTGGATTTTGTGAAGCTCAGACTCCAGCATCTGACAACTCAGGTTCAAATTCGGGCCTGGTTACTCCCCCGCTGTGTCCCTGTGTGACCTTGAACAAGTTACTTTATTTCTCTATGCCTCAGTTTCCTCATCTGAAAAGTAGACATAATATTGGTTTTGACTCCAGAGGTGAATGTGGGATTCAATGAGCTAAAATGTAAAACAGTTAGAACACTGCCGTGCATGAAGTTCAGTCTTAATGAATATCAGCTATTATTATGATCAATATCTGCCATGGGGCCGGGTGCAGTGGCACATACCTATAATCCCTGCACTTTGGGAGGCTGAGGTGGGAGGATGACTTGAGCCCAGGAGTTGGAGACCAGCCTGGGCAACATAGGGAGACCCTGTCTCTACAAGTAATAATAAAAAAATAGGCCAGGCACGGTGGCTCACGCCTATAATCCCAGCGCTTTGGGAGGCCGAGGCGGGTGGATCACCTGAGGTGGGGAGTTTGAGACCAGCCTGGCCAACATGGTGAAACCCCATCTCTACTAAAAATACCAAAAATTAGCTGGGTGTAGTGGTGTGTACCTGTAATCCCAGCTACTCAGGAGGCCGAGACAGCAGAATCACTTGAACCCAGGAGGCAGAGGTTGCAGTGAGCTGAGATCGCGCCATTGCACTCCAGCCTGGGCGACAGAGCAAGACTCCATCTCAAAAAAAAAAAAAAAAAAAAAAATGCTGGGCACGATGTGCATCCCTGTGGTCCCAGCTACTCGGGAGGCTGAGGCGGGAGGATTGCTGGAGCCCAGGAGGTCAAGGCTGCAGTCAGCTGCGATTGTGCCACCGCACTCCAGCCTGGGTGACAGAGCCAGACCCTGTCTCAAAAGAAAAATAAAATCTGTCATGGGTTGAATTGTGTTCCCCAAAAAGATATGCTGAAGCCCCATCCTCTGACGCCTCAGAATGTGACTTCATTTGGAAGTAGGGTCATTGCAGATGAGTTAAGGTGACATCCTGCTGGAGTAGGTTGGGCCCCTAATCCAACAGTACTGGTGTCCTTGTAAGAGCAGAGCCATCTTGTCAACACAGATGTACAGGGAAAGATGGTGTCATGATGGCCCCATGACTGCAGAGGCATCTGTAAGCCAAGGAGCTCCAAGGATTGCCAGCCAGCCCCTTGGAAGCTGGAAGAGGTGAGGAAGGAGCCTCGGAGCCTTCAGAGGGAGTGTGGCCCTGCAGACATCCCCATCTCAGACTTCCAGCCTCCAGAACTTCCAGAGAGTAAACTTTCTGTTTATTCATATATTTGTATTTTTTTGAGATAGGGTCTCACTCTGTCACCCAGGCTGGAATGCACTGGCACAATCTCGGCTCACTGCAGCCTCAACTTCCCTGGGTTCAGATAATCCTCCCACCTCAGCCTCCCAAGTAGCTGGGAGTACAGCCAGGCACCACCACACCCAGGTAATTTTTGTATTTTTTTGTAGAGACAAGGTTTCGCCATGTTGCCCAGGCTGCTCTCGAACTCCTGGACTCAAGTGATCCTTCTGCCTCGGCCTCCCCAAGACCTGGGATTGCAGGTATGAGCCACTGCGCCCAGCTTTCTGTTGCTTTAAGCGGCCCGGTTTGTGGTGCTTTGCATGGCAACCCTAGCAAACTAACACTATGTCTATTCACAATTATTTGATAAAACAAAAACAATTCTTGAAAGCATCTCTTTCTCCCTTCCTTCCTGTGCCTGGGGGTGGGTGGGGAGTCTGTGTTGAGCACCTCAGCTGAGACCAGGCAATTGCAGTGGCCTGCGAAGGTGTTTGGACTTTGTCCTGCAGACCGTGAGAGGCCCCTGGAGATTCTACACTGGGGAATGACAATTTCCTAGGTGTTTTAGGAAGCTCAGCCTGCCTGCCGGTGGAGGGGGAAGGGAGGAGGGGAGAGGGTTCCGGCCAGTTAGGGGATTGGAGCTGTCATCCAGGCAGGAGATGGTGTGATCTGGATCAGCAGTTCTCAAAGTGTGGTCCCCAGACCAGCAGCACCAGCGTGTTCAGGAAACTTGCTGAAAATGCAGTTATCAGGCCCACCCAGACCTACTGAATCAGGCACTCCAGGGGCGGGGCCAGCCATCTGGGTTTCACTAAACCTCCAGGTGGTTCTGCTGTTTGCTCAAGCGCAAGAATGCTCGCTGGGCTAAAGGAAGAGGGTGGAGAGGGTACGTAAGTCCCTTGGGCCTGCGGGACAACGTGCCACCAACTGGGTGGCTCAGAACAACAGAAATGCATTTCTTACCTTTCTGGAGGGCAGAAATCAGAAACGAAGGCATCAGCAGAGCCCTCTGAAGCCTGGGGTGGGGAGAAGCCTTCTTTGCCTCCTTCGACCTCTGGTGGCTGCCAGCAGCCCTCGGCATTTCTTGGCTTGCAGATACAGCACTGCAATCTCTGCCTCAATGGCACATGACATTTTGTATGTGCCTCTGTGACAAGATGTCCTTCTTCTCCTTCTTTTTTGTTTTTTTTTTTTTTTGAGGTGCAGTTTCGCTCTTGTTGCCCAGGCTGGAGTGCAGTGGCACGATCTTGGCTCACTGCAACCTCCGCCTCCCGGGTTCTAATGGATTCTCCTGCCTCAGCCTCCTGAGCAGCTGGGATTACAGGTGCCCACCACCACGCCCAGCTAATTTGTTGTATTTTTAGTAGAGGCGGGGTTTCACCACGTTGGGCAGGCTGGTCTCGAACTCCTGATCTCAGGTGATCCGCCCACCTCGGCCTCTCAAAGTGCTGGGATTATAGGCGTGAGCTACCGCGCCCGGCCGGATGTCCCTCTTCTCATAAGGACCCCTGTCCTATTGGATTAGGGCCCGCCAGAATCCCTCAGGCCCTCCTCTTGATTTAATTGCATTTGCATCTGCAAAGACCCTATTTCCAAATAGGGCTGCAATCACAGGGACCAGGGGCCTAGGACTTGGACATATCATTTTTTGGAGGGACACAATTCTACCCACCTCAGATGGGGAGAATGAAAGGAAGCAACAAACAGCAAAACAAGAGAAATGTTAGTGATTAGATGTGGGAGTGGAAGTAGGATGAAAACAGAAAGAACTCAAATGCCCTGCCGTTGTTACATGAATAACAAAGCTGGGGTAACCGCGGTGTCCTTTTTCCCTTTTTCTCAAAGAGGGACATCCTCAGGCTAGTATTTCAGAAACTTTATCCTAAGTTCTTGGGACTCATAAACACATTGCTGAAACAAACTCCGTCTCACCTGACGACCTCTCTCTCTCCCCCATGGGGCAGGGCTGGGGAAGAAGGAGCGAGCAAGGCCCCTGTCCACCTCACGGAGCCAGGGCCCAATTGCGTTGACTCTTGCTGAGGGCGACACTTTAGAGCCAAGTTCGAGTTGAAGTTCAAGGGCCCAGGATCTGGAGGCATCTGAAGCTGCTCCAGCTCTCAGCTGCCTCAAGGGAAAAGATAGTCTCAGAGATAGTCTAGCACCTGTCTTGGTGAGGAGCCAGGCAGCACATAAGTGTGGGAGCTCCTGCCTCTGACACCAGACATGGCTGAAAGCATTTGTCCTTCTGGAAGATTCCACTTCACCCATCACTCCAGAGTGAGTCAGAAGCCCCTGGAGGGTTTGTGAAAATGCAGATTCCTGGGCCTTACTCCCCAGTGTCTGAGTCACAGGTCTGGGGTGAGAACTCAGAATCTGCTTTCCTTCTTTCCTTCCTTCCTTGCTTCCTTCCTTCCTTTTCTTTCCCTCTTTCTTTCTTTCTTTTTTCTTTCTTTCTTTCTCTTTCTTTCTTTTCTTTCTTTCCTTCCTTTCTCTTTCTTTCTTCTTTCCTTCCTTCCTTTCTCTTTCTTTCTTTCTTTCCTTCCTTCCTTCCTTCCTTTCCTTCCTTCCTCCTTCCTCCCTCCCTCCCTTCCTTTCACTCAGAATCAATTTTCCTTTCTTTGACTCAGAATCTGCCTTCCTTCCTTCCTCTTTCTTTCTTAGACAGGCTCTTGCTTTGTTGCTCAGGCTGGAGTGCAGTGGTGTGAACATGGCTCACTGCAGCCTCGACCTCCCAGGCTCAAGAGATCCTTCCACCGGCCCGATGTCCCTCTTCTTATAAGGACCCCTGTCCTATTGGATTAGGCCCCGCCCGAATCCCGCAGGCCCTCCTGTTGATTTAATTGCATCTGCAAAGACCCTATTTCCAAATAAGGCTGCAATCACAGGGACCAGGGGCCTAGGACTTGGACATATCATTTTTTGGAGGGACACAATTCTACCCAGTTACCTGAGTAGCTGGGGCTAGAAGCACTTGCCACCGTGCCTGGCTAATTAAAAAAAAATTTTTTTGCAGAGATGGGATCTCACTATGTTGTCCAGGCTGGCCTCGAACTCCTGGGCTCAAGTTATCTTCCAGCCTTGGCCTCCCAAAGTGCTGGGATTACAGGTGTGAGCCACCACACCCAGCCTGAGAACCTGCATTTCTATCACATTTCCAGGTGGCCTGGTGCTGCTGCTGCTCTGGAGAACACCTGGAGGAGAACAAAGGCCCATGATGAACGGTTCTCAGCCTAGTGTGCATATGAGAATCACACAGGGAGTTTCAACACACACCAACCCCTGTGCCCGACCCAGACCCTGGGAAACCGCTGAGGGCGGGGTACAAGCGCTGGCCCCCAGGGAGTTCTAATCACTGGCCAAAGTCGGGGTGCACAGCCCAACTCCTTCTCACCCGTCAATGCCACTTCAGATACCACTTCTTCAGCAAGCCTTTCCTGACTTCCTCCAATGGGGTTAGGTCCCTCATTCATGCATTCATTCATTCATTCCACAAACCATCATGCCCCTTGTATGCACCGGGCCCTGTGCTGGTGCTGGGGATTCAGCACCCTCGTGGTGTTTCTCTACAGAAACATGGAGGAAACAAGTGGTGAAAAATCAGGACAGATGATGCCAGGGTGTGATGAATATAGAACAGGACGACGACATAAAGAGCATTCGTTAATTAGAGACAGGGTATCACTCTGTTGGCCAGACTGGAGTGCAGTGGTACAATCGTGGTTCACTGCAGCCTTGAACTCCCAGGCTGAAGCAATCCTCCCGCCTCAGCCTCCGGAGCAGCTGGAACTACAGACACACCTATCACGCCCAGTTAATCTTTTCTTTCTTTTTTTTTTTTTTGAGACAGAGTCCCACTCTGTCGCCCAGGCTGGAGTGCAGTGGTGCAACCTCGGCTCACTGCAACCTCTGCCTCCCGTGTTCAGGTGATTCTCTTGCCTCAGCCTCCCGAGTAGCTGGGATTACAGGTGCACACCGCACCTGGCTAATTTCTGTATTTTTAGGAGAGATGGGGTTTCACCATATTGGCCAGGAGGGTCTCGAACTCCTGAACTTAAGTGATCGGCCCACCTCAGCCTCCTAAAGTGCTGGGATTACAGGTGTGAGCCACTGTGCCAGAGAAGAGGGTTACTTTAGATGGGCTGGTTGAGGAAGGCCTCTTTGAGGAGGTGATGTTGGAGCTGCCCCTCAAAAAAGCCTCCGTGGAGCCCTTTTAAACAAGAGGAGCATTTGAAGCGGGGCTCAGAGCCTGTGCTGAGGTCCTGCGGTGGGCACAGGCTGACCCCATAAGAAGAACCTGAAGGAAGCCAGGGTGGCTGCATCCCAGAGAGCGGAGAGGGAGGCAGAGGAGGGCAGCCCGGGGAGGACCTGGAGTTTATGCAACAGGAAACCAACAGAGTTCAAGCAGGAAGTAACACAATCCCACTCGCTTTGAAAAAGGTCCACTCTGTGCCCCTGGAATGCGCCCTCACCGAGGTGGATTCCTCTCCCTGAAAGCGTTTTTCTCAGGTGTCACGGCAGACTCATTGGTGTGAGAAGAATCTCTTTGTCCCACTGGTGTGTGATCTTTATGAGAAGGTGATTAACGTGCCCCCTTGCCCATAGGAAGTGCTCAGTCGGCACAGTCTGACAGAGCTGGGTGTGGTGGCGGGTGCCTGTTGTCTCAGCTACTAGGGAGGATCACCTGAGCCCAGGAGTTTGAGGCTGCAGTGAGCTGTGATCACCCCACTGCGCTCCAGCCTGGGTGACAGAGCAAAACCTTGCTCTGAAAAGAAGTTTGACAAATGACCCTGTGAGTGTGTATCCAGTGGTCCTCCTTGGCACTGCCCATCCCTGCCCAAACAGGAGCCTCAGCTACCACCAGATGTGTCCAGAAAGATATTTCTGCCCATTGTTTTCCAAAGGATATTTTTGTTTTTGTTTTTGTTTTGTCTTTTTTTTTTTTTTTTTTTTTTTTTGAGGCTGAGTCTTGCTCTGTCTCCCAGGCTGGAGTGCAGTGGTGTGATCTCGGCTCACTGGGTTCAAGTGATTCTCCTGCCTCAGCCTCCGAAGTAGCTGGGATTACAGGTGCCCACCACCATGCCTGGCTAATTTTTGTATTTTAATTAGAGATGGGTTTCACCATGTTGTCCAGGCTGGTCTCGAACTCCTGACCTCAAGTGATCCACCTGCCTCGGCCTCCCAAAGTGCTAGGATTACAGGCATGAACCACCACGCCTGGCCCCCTCCACCTTTTTTTTTTTTTTGAGACAGAGTTTCACGCTGCTACCCAGGCTGGGCGGCAGTGGCGTGATCATGACTCATTGCAGCCTTAACCTCCGGGGCTCAAGCGATCCTCCTGAGTCAGCCTCTGGAGTAGCTGGGACTACAGATGCGTTTGCCACCACACCTAGCTAATTTTTGTATTTTGTAGAGATGGGGTTTCGCCAAGTGGCCCAAGCTGGTCTTGAACTCCTGAGCTCAAGCAATCCTCCTGCCTCGGCCTCCCAGTGTTGGGATTACAGGCGTGAGCTACTGCGCCCAGCCCAAAGAATATTTTTGGAACCAGCTTCTCTGTGGGCTCCAGCCATCCCTGGCAGACGCCTCGGCCTGCAGCCTAAGAACAGTTCCCCCTCAGGAAAGAAACTGACAGCTTTGTGGTTCTGCGTTGAAGGGTAAGGGCATCTCCTAAGCTCCAGTGTTCTTGGTACCCACGCTGGTTTCAGGGAGGCACCTCCTGCCTCGCTCCATGGCAGCTGGCCTCTCTGATGCTGTGGACGGTATCCCTGGGCCTCAGTGGGCCCTGGGCAGAGCGGGTGGGTGTTGGAGACAAGGGGCCAGTGGCAAGAGCTGCAGTTTTCTGGGCAGGAAGGAAAATGTTGGTCCAGTAGGAAAACAGGCAAAACAGATGGGGACTAGCTGGACATGGAGCTGTTTGGTTATGCTGAAGCATGAAACTTCGGCTTTCATTTTAAAAGCCTGTGTTTGGCAGGGCATGGTGGCTCATGCTTGTAATCCCAGCATTTTGGGTGGCCGAGGTAGGCGGATCACGAGGTCAGGTGTTTGAGACCAGCCTGGCCAACATGGTGAAACCCCGTCTCTACTAATAATACAAAAGTTAGCCAGATATGGTGGCGGGCGCCTGTAATCCAAGCTACTTGGGAGACTGAGGCAGGAGAATCGCTTGAACCCGGGGGGTGGAGGTTGCAGTGAGCAAGATTGCGCCATTGCGCTCCAGCCTGGTGACAGAGTGAGACTCCGTCTCAAAAAAAAAAAAAAAAAAGAGCCTGTGTTCTTCAGGCCCATGCACGGTGAGAGGTCAGGTGGTTCTCTTGAGTTAGAAAGTGAACCTCAAAAACTCATCTCCGATTCCAACATAGCAGAGCCCTTAAACACTGGGCCCGGGAGCAAAAGCCCAAAGAAAAGGGGAGAAGGCTGGGTGCAGTGGCTCATGCCTGTAATCCCAGCACTTTGGGAGGACGAGGCAGGTGGATCCCTTCAGCCAAGGAATTTGAAACCAGCCTGGGCAACACAGTGAGACCCTCATCTCTACAAAAAAAATACAAAAACTAGCCAGGCATGGTGGCAGGTGCCTGTAGTCCCAGCTATTCTGGAGGCTGGTGTGGGAGGATTGCCTGAGCCCAGGAGTTTGAGGCTGCAGTGAGCCAAGTTTGCGCCACTGCACTCCAGCCTGGGCGACAGAGAGACCCTGTCTCAAAAAAAAAAAATTTAAAAAATTTAAAAAAAGGGAGGCGAGAAATTCGGACTGTGGACCTTTTGTTCGCTTTTACATACTTTCTTGAAAGCTGCTGCCACGATTGTGATGCTCTCACATTCCACGGTTCAGTTCCTCCGACGCACAACGTTCACTCCTACCTCAGGGCCTTTGCGTGTGCCGTGCCCTCCGCCTGGAATGCTCTCTCTGGGTCTTCCCATGGTTGGCTCTTCATTCAGTTCTCTGTTAGATGTCACCTTTCCAGAGAGCCCACACCCTCCCTCGCTCTCTCTCAAACCGCTGGGTTTTGTTTCTTGCCAGTATTGAACATTATCTGAAGCTGTTTTGATGCCTTATTCCTGGACTTGCTTTGGTGTCTGTCTGCAGCCTCTGGAGTGCACCTCTAGGAAAGAAACCCCTTTTCATGAGCTGTAGTGCCCAGTCCTGGTGCACTGAGGGCACTCCGTGAATACTCACTGAAGGACAAAGTCAATAAAACTGTTGATTGTGGCTGCTGGCTACTTGCCAGCCGGGTTTATATCTGTAGCCATTGAGACTGCTTTTGGCTGAAAGTCCTAGAAAGCACCCAAGAGGTTTAACAATAAAGATATTTATTATTTCCATATAAGGGGAAGTCCTGAGATAGGGCAGCTTTGGGGTTCTCGATTTCATTTTTTTTTTTTTTTTTTTGAGATGGGGTCTCACTCTGTCGCCCAGGCTGCAGTGCAATGGCGTGATCTTGGCTCATGGCAACCTCCACCTCCCAGGTTCAAGCGATTCTCCTGTCTCAGCCTCCCGAGTAACTGGGATTACACGTATGTGCCACCATGCCCGGCTAATTTTTGTATTTTTAGTAGAGACGGGGTTTAGCCATGTTGGCTAGACTGGTCTCGAACTCCTGACCTTGGGTGATCCACCTGCCTTGACCTCCCAAAGTGCTAAGATTACAGGTGTGAGACACTGTGCCCAGGCTTTTTATTTTTAAAATAGAGGCAGGGTCTCACTATATTGGCCAGACTGGACTTGAACTACTGGCCTCAAGCAATATTTCCACCTTGGCCTCCCAAAGTGCTGGGATTACATGCATGAGCCACGGGGCCTGGCGTTCTCAATTTCTTTTTAAATTTTATTTATTTATATTTTTATTTTAAAAATACAGACAGGGTCTTACTATGTTGGCTAGGTTGGTCTTGAGCTACTGGCCTCAAGCAATCCTTCCGCCTCGGCCTCCCAAAGCGCTGGGATTACCTGCGTGAGCCACTGCGCCCAGCTGGCTCTCAGTTTCAATGTCAAGGGGATCCCTGAAAAGCCAGGTTCTCTGCATCTCTCTGCTCTGGCATTTTCTGCAGGGCACAGTGGCTGCCTCTGTCTGGGCATCTCATCCAACAGGACACATGCAGGAAGCATCTCTTCCTTGGTCCATTTTTATCAGCAATGAAACCTTTGCAAGAATTCCCCCAGCTCACCCCCTCTCGTGTTTTTCACCAGCATGTGCTCACATGTCCACCCCTAAGCCAATCGTAGTGAGAGGAACTGTATTACCAAGATGGCTGAGAATAATCAGGATTTCTTCCAGATGGGAAAATGAGGTCCCCCTCTTTGAGCATCTGTGACTGCCGGGAAGCAGATAGACCCTCTGCCTTCAAGAAAGAAGGGGTGAGAAAGCATGAATTTCAGAAAGGCACCAATGGTATCTATCATCACACTTGTTTAATTTCATCCTCACAAAAACTCTCTGAGGTATTACTTGTCCCCATCAGCATGTATCTTGTATTTGACCTCTGAGTGGATCATCTTTTTAATTTTTAAAATTTTTGTGGGTACACGGTAGGTGTATCTATTTATGGGATACATGTTTTGATATGGGCAAGCAAAGTGTAATAATCATGTCATGGAGAATGGGGTGTTCATCCCCTCAAGCATTCATCCTTTGTGTTACAAACAATCCAATTCTACTCTTTTTTTTTTTTGAGATGGAGTTTTGCTCTTGTTGCCCAGGCTGGAGTGCAATGGTACGATCTCAGCTCACTGCAACCTCCGCCGCTCAGATTCAAGTGATTCTCCTGCCTCAGCCTCCTGAGTAGCTGGGAAAACAGGCGCCCACCACCATGCCTAGCTAATTTTTGTATTTTTAGTAGAGACGGGATTTCACCATGTTGGCCAGGCTGGTCTCGAACTCCTGACCTTGTGATCTGCCCGCCTCGGCCTCCCAAAGTGCTGGGATTACAGGCGTGAGCCACCGCACCCAGCCTCCAATTCTACTTTTTTAGTTATTTTACTATGTACAATTAAGTTATTATTGACTCTAGTCACCCCATTGTGCAAACAGTAGGTCTTAGTCATTCTTTCAAATGATTTTTTTTGTACCTGTGAACCACCCCCAACTTCTCCTTTCTTTTAAATTAGAAAAAATTATTTTCGAGATAGGGTCTCACTGTGTTGCCAGGGTTGGTCTTGAACTCCTGAGCTCAAGTTATCCTCCTGCTTCAGCCTCCCAAAGTGCTGAGATTACAGGCGTGAGCCACCCTGACCAGCCTGATATTTATTTTTATATCCCTGTTGTGTAGAAATAAAGAAAAAAAGAGATATTTATTCAAATTCAGTAAAATATTGTGTGTGTGGCTGTGTGTGTTGTGTGCGTCTCTGCATGTGTTTGTGTGTCTGTGTGTGCCAATGTGTGTGTCTCCGTGTGTGTGTGTCAATGTGTGTGTCTGTGTGTGTGTTTGTGTGTCTGTGTGTTGTATGTGTCTCTGCATGTGTTTGTGTCTGAGTGTGTTAATGTGTGTGTCTGTGTGTGTCAATGTGTCTGTGTTTGTGTGTGTCTCTGCATGTGTTTGTGTGTCTGTGTGTGTCAATGTGTGTGTCTGTGTGTGTGCAGGGGCATGTGGAGTTCTCTGAACTAAACTCCATGAGGAATATAATATTTATTAAAAGGAAAGTAATATGATTGTACTAATCTGAAACTCACATATGTATTATTAAAACTCAACCACAGCAATTGTTTAGTCCAAGGATTGACAAACTCTTTCTGTAAAGCAACAGATAATAACTATTTTAACTTTTTGCACTACAGGGCCTCTGTTAAAATTCCTCAACTCTGCCACTGTAGCCTGGACACAGCCATAAACTATATGAATAGGTGTGTCTGGGTTCCAGTAAAACTTTATTTACAAAAACAGGCTGGGGGTCAGGTCAATAAAACTTTATTTACAAAAACAGGCTGGGGGTCAGGTTTGGCCTTCGGGCTGTAGTTTGCCAACTCCCAGTTCAGACTTAGACCAATAAAAGATTGTTTCAGGAGGAATGTTTTATCGCTGACATTTTTTAGAGTTACCGGTGCACAGTGATAAGAAATAGCAACCCGAGTTTGAATAGGCTGGGGGCTGTATCCACTGTTCCAACCTTGGTACACCTCTCATTCCCACTGTGCAGAGGGGGCCCAGGGCTCAGAGGGGCACCCAAGACTCAGAGGGGATACTGTGGGCTGAGAAGGGCAGCTGGAGCTCAGAGGGAATACCTGGGGCTCAGAGGGGCAGCCAGGGCCTTGAGAAGGTGAGCAACTTGCCTAGAAATCCAGTCTGTGTCGCCCAGAGTGTGAATATAACAAAAATCCTCTTGGGCGGCTCCGATCCCTCCTCCCCGTGTGGTGGGGACTCCTTTCTGGGACAGACCCTGGGTCTGAGTCTGTGTTGCTCAGGGAAGCTGACACGGACTCCTGTCACACTCGCCAGCACTTTTCTCTGTGGCTCAGGACAGGGTGGAAAAGTTAGAAAGTCGCCAGGAGTGGGCTTGGGGACAGTTTGGGGGCCCCGAGTCCCCTCATTTCCCTGTCTGGAGGCGCAGAGAACACTCCAGAGGGCCCGGTGGACCTGCTGTCCTCCCTGAGCCCGCCCCACTCACATCTTATCTCTGCCTCCCTGGTTCTCGATCAAAGACAGATCACAGCTGCTCCTCATTGCTCAGGTCCCCTCAAGTCTCCTAACAGATTTCTTGACCCCAAACTTGCACTTTGTGGGAGGCTCCTACCCTCTCTCTGGCTCAGCCTTTTGTTGTGTAGTTTGTTTTTACCATCTTAACCATTTCTAAGTGTACATTTCAGTGGCATTAAGGACATCCACATTGTTGTGTAACCATCACCACCATCCCTCCTGGCACTTTCTCATCTTGCAAAATAGAAACTGCATATGCATTGATCAATAATTCCCCTTTCCCTCTCCCCCAGCCCCTGGCACCCACCATTCTCTTTTCTGTCTCTGTGGATCTGGCTACTCTAGGGAGCTCATGCAAATGGAATCGTACGGTATTTGTCCTGTTGTGGCTTATTTCACTCGCATAACTTCCTCAAGGCCCGTGCATGTCGCAGCGTGCGTCAGAAAGTCCTTCCTTTTCCAGGCTGAATCCTATTCCACCGTGTGGATGGGCCCCAGCTTCTTACCCACCACCCATCAGCGGACACTCGGGTTGCTCCCACCGTTGGGCCATCGTGAACAGCGCTGCAATGAACGCGGTGGCCAGATTCCTCTTCAAGTTCCCAGTTTCATTTCTTTGATACCCAGAAATGAGATTGATGCATCACATGGTAATTCTATGTTAATTTCTTTTTGTTGTTTTTTGTTTTTTGAGACAGAGTCTTGCTGTCGCCCAGGCTGGAGTGCAGTGCCATGATCTCAGCTCACTGCAACCTGCACCTCCCAGGTTCAAGCGATTCACTTATTCCACACCTCTGAGGTGGGTCTTATTAGCCCCATTTTACAGATGGGGCAATCGAGGCCCAGAGAGTTAAGTAACGTGTCCATAGGAGAGCAGGGTTTTGAACCTGGACTGTCTGGCTCCAGACTTGCTGTTTTAAACTATTAGTCAGTTAAAACTAGTAGCCTTCTTCTTCTTTTTTTTTTTCTTCCTAAAGACAGCCTACTTTCTTTTTTTCTTTATTTTTGAGTCAGGGTTTCACTCTTGTTGCCCAGGCTGGAGTGCAGTGGCACGATCGTGTCTCACTGCAGCCTCTACTTCCTGGGCTCAAGCAATGCTCCCACCTCAGCCTCCCGAGTAGCTGGGACTATAGGCACGTGCCACCACGCCTGGCTAATTTTGTGTATTTTTAGTAGAGATGGGGTTTCACCATGTTGCTCAGGCTGGTCTTGAACTTGCTGGCCTCAAGCCATCCTCCCGCCTCAGCCTCCCAAAGTGCTGGGATTACAGGCGTGAGCCACTGCGCTGGCCGTTACCTCCAGGCTTCTACCGCAGCTGCTGGACACTGCCTCTGAGCCTCTCTTTCTCTCCTCTAATTCCTTTCCCACCACAGAATCAGTTCCTGTAGTAGTCTGAGCAGGAAGTGGAGAGAACACTCAAAATTGGGGACTTTGAAGATATATACAAAGGAGCAGGGAAAACGAAAGGGAGAGTGAAGCTGCTCCCCACCCTGGGGCTGAGGGGAGGAGGGCAGGGAGTGTCACCTGGAACCCGGGAGGAGAGAGGAGTCGAGAGAGGTCTGCCTTCCAGGGACCGTGACCTCTGCTCAAGAGCTGCAGCCAGCCTGTGTGTTTCAGTGCAGTGCAGTTGGGGTATCACAGACCACCCCACATGCAGTGACTTGGAGGTGCTATTAATGATACTATTGGGGCAAGAGGTATAAACCGGGGTGACTGCACCGTCTAAGGTGCAGGGGTCCCTGATTGTCTGTTCCTTGGGCACACTGAGCACCTCCCTGACACAGGGCCTTTGCACTTGCTGGTTTGTTTGCCAGAAAGGTCCTCCCCAGGTTCCGGTCTCCCCCCGCCAGCCCCCATCTCCCTGTGGCATTACCTTTTTATTTCTCTCATTAGCACGTAGCACCATCTATAATCCTTATCTATTTATTTGCTTATACATATATTTATAGATAAATAAAAAAACATATATATATTTTAATATCTCTCTCTCTTTCCCTTACTAAAAAGGCCAGGGCAGACCAGACGTGGTGGTTCACACCTATAATCCCAGCACTTTGGGAGGTCGAGGTGGGAGGATCGCCTGACTCCAGGAGTTCGAGACTAGCCTGGGCAACATAGTGCGACACCCATCTCTATTAAAAAAAATAAAAATTAAAAAAAATTAGCTTGGCTGGGTGCAGGGGCTCACACCTGTAATCCTAGCACTTTGGGAGGCCAAGGTGGGTGGATCATTTGAGGTAAGAGTTCAAGATCAGCCTGGCCAACATGGTGAAACCCCATTTCTACTAAAAAATACAAAAATTAGCTGGGAGTGGTGGCAGGCGCCTGTAGTCCCAGCTACTCGGGAGGGAGGCTGAGGCAGGAGAATCGCTTGAACCCGGGAGGCAGAGGCTGCAGTGAGCTGACATCACACCACTGCACTCCAGCCTGGGCGACAGAGCAAGACTCTTGTCTCAAAACAAAACAAAACAAAAAATTAGCTGGTGTGGTGGCACATGTCTGTAGGAGGCTGAGGCGGGGGGATCGCTTGAGCCCAGGGGGTGGAGGCTGCAGTGAGCTTTGAACTCCAGCTTGGGTGACAGAACCATACCCTGTCTCAAAAAAAAGTAAGGCCAGGGCACAGAGGACCTGCCTGCTTTCTTCCCCATCTACCCCCAGGCCCTAGCACACAGTAGGCCTGATACATAGCGAGTGCTCAGCAAGTATTTGCCACATAAATGAATGAATGAGCATGTCCATCCCTTCTCTGGTAGGTAGGACAGGACCAGGTGGTCTCAGAGGAATCTTCTGGTTCCTGGGATAGGAATCATCCTCCTTTCTCCAGCTGCTGTTGAGAGTGGCAGCTGATAGAAACTTCTGTCCTCCAGTGACCTGGCCCACGGAGCAACGTATTAGCTCGCGGCTGCCAGCTGGGTCCTCCCCACACACTTGCACCTTTGTCCTGGAAAGCACGTCTGTGTTGGAGGGTTAGCCCTTGCCAGAGAGGACATATCAGAGTCCCCAAAGGCCAGGGACAAAGGCAAGGATTGATCGCCAGCCCTGAGTCAGAGAGGAAAGACTCCTGGAGGGAAGTCAGTGATCGGGGACTCAGAAAGGCGTGATTCTGAAGGAAGACAGGATTTACAGGGCATCTCAGTCTGCTCAGGCTTCTAAAACAGAGTACCATAGACGGGGAGAGCTTACAGACGGCGGACATCTATTTCTCACATTTCTGGAGGGTGGGAAGTCCAAGATCAAGGCGCCAGCAGATTTGATGGTGGTGAGGCCCTGCGTCCTGGTTCACAGATGGCAGCTTCTCTCTGTGTCCTTGCCTGGTGGAAGGGGAGATGCAGCTCTCTAGAGCCTCGTGTGTCAGGGCCCTAATCCCATCGATGAGGCCTCTGCCCCCATGACCTCGTCACTTCCCAAAAGCCCTACCTCCTAATACCATCACATAGTAATTAGGTTTCAACGTACAAATTTCAGGGGACACATTCAGACTCTAGCACCGGGGCTAAAGTCCAGGGGCAGAGGCTAAGTTTCTGGAGGGGCTGTTTAGGGGCTCTGGAGACCTTCTCTGATATTCACAATATTGCAGGGGGCATTTTGACCTACTGAAGAGAAACAGCTCCTAAAAAGTCACTTGTAGCAACATGAGAGATTCGCATTCTGATTAAAATCTATGCAGGCACCTCCTGCCTCAGAGTCGTTGCCCTGGCTATTCCCTCTGCCTGGAATGTTCTTCCCTGGATCTCAACACATTCCTGCACTTCCTGCAGGTCTTTGCCCAAATGTCACCTTCTCACTGAGGCTGTCTTCAAACACCCCATTTAAATGGCAACCCCTCTCCCCCAGTAGCATTTACACTGTTCTGTTTTTCCCCTAAAGCACGCATCGTCCTCTAACTGCCTGTCCCATGGAAATGCAGCATGCACAAACCACACACACAATTTTAAAAATTTTATGACAGAGGAACCTGTTCTGAAAAAAGAAAAAAAGGTAAAAGAATTTTAGGGGTCATATTTTAAAAAGTAAAAAGAAACAGGTGAAATTAATTTAACTTGTAATATTATTCAACCCTTGGTCAGTGTGTGTGGATGAACCACGTCTACCAGAGTCCAAGGTAAAAGCCTGCCTCTGCCGCCGGGCCACGCAGCTGCCTGGCATGGTGGCCTGGGGCAAGTTGCTCAGCCTCTCTGTGCCCCGGCTCCCTTATCGGTGATATTCAAATAGTGTCATTTCAATGTGTAATCAATATAAGAATATTGAGATGTTTTACGCTCTTTTCATATGAAGCCTTTGAAGTCTGGGATGTATATGACATGGCATATCTCATTCAGACTAGCCCCGGGTCAAGTGTCCCATAGCCACATAGGGCCAGTGGCTACTGTATTGGATAGCACAGCTCTAATATCTTTTTGTTTTGTTTTTTGAGATGGGGTCTTGCTCTGTCGTCCAGGCTGGAGTGCAGTGATGCCATCTTGGATCACTGCAACCTCTGCCTCCTGAGCTTAAGTGATCCTCCCACCTCAGCCTCCTGAGTGTCTGGGACCACAGGTGCGTGCCACCATGCCCAGCTAATTTTTTTTTTTTTAATTTATTGTAGCAACAGGGTTTTGCTATGTTGGCCAGGCTGGTCTCAAACTCCTGAGCTCAAACAAAGTGCCTGCCTCGGCCAAAGTGCTGGGATTACAGGTGTGAGCCACCGTGCCCATAGCTCTAACATTTTATAAAATCCACCAATGATGATGTTTATCACTAATTGTTATTGCTTGTCTATTAACATACCGGACCCGCAAGGCTAGGGGCTTGCTTATGGTCCCTGCTGGGTCCCCAAACGCCCAACATAGTGCCCAGCACAGAGTAGGAGCTCAACGTGAACTGAATGAATCCAGCAGGCACACGTGAGCTCTCTTTCCTCCCTCACCAGCAGCAATCCAGGTGGCAGATGTGGCTACAATGCTTTCCTGGCTGGGCGCGGTGGCTCACGCCTGTAATCCCAGCACTTTGGAAGGCCGCGGCGAGTGGATCACTTGAGCCCAGGAGTTCGAGACCAGCCTGGCCAACATAGTAAAACTGCATCTCCATTAAAAATACAAAAATTGGCCGGGTGCAGTGGCTCACACCTGTAATCCCAGAACTTTGGGAGGCCAAGGTGGGCGGACCACCTGAGGTCAGGAGTTCAGGACAAGCCTGGCCAACACGGTGAAATCCCGTCTCTACAAAAATACAAAAATTAGCCAGGCATGATGGCAGGTGCCTGTAATCCCAGCTACTCAGGAGGCTGAGGCGGGAGAATCGCTTGAACCCAGGAGAAGGTTGCAGTGAGCTGAGATCACACCATTGCACTCTAGCCTGGGCGACAGAGTAAGACTTCTTCTTAAAAAAAAAAAAAAAAATTAGCCAGTCGTGTGGCATGCACCTGTAATCCCAGCTGCTCAGGAGGCTGAGACAGGGAGAACTGCTTAAATCCGGGAGGCGGAGGTTGCAGTGAGCTGAGATCACACCACTGTATTCCAGCCTGGGCCACAGAGCGAGTCTCCACCTCAAAAGAAAAAAAAATAAGGTTTCCTCTTCCTTTGCTTTTTATTTTGTCCTTTCTCTCACCCGTCTCTTTGCTTTCCTTCACTTTCTTCCTCTTTTTCCTTTCCCTCAGCAAACAGCGTAGTGGTCATGTGTGTGGCAAGTCACTGGTTCACATCTCTGCTCTCTGCTCGCCAGGAGCCAGCTGTGCCTCCTTTAAGGAAGCCCTTCAGCTTCCATTCACTGTGTTCTATTGCCGCTGGGGATGAGCGTGATTCTTCCCAGGCTGGGGTGGGAATGCGGCTGCCTGCAGGAGGTGTTGGCTCCGCCTCACACAGGCACCTTGCTAAGCATATGACCAAGATGAGCCCATGTAATCCTCATGACCACCCCAGGGTGCAGGCATGACTCAGACCAATCCCAAGGCACCGATAAGGGAGCCGAGGCACAGAGAGGCTGAGCAACTTGCCCCAGGCCGCCATGCCAGGCAGCTGCGTGTTCCGGCGGCAGAGGCAAGCTTTTACCTTGGACTCTGGTAGATGTGGTTCATCCACACACACCGACCAAGGGCCTACTGTGGGCCACGTGCTGTTGGGGAGCCGGGGGCACAGCAATGGACGAAACAGGCAGATTCCTGCCCCGTGGAGCTTTTTTTATCCTAGAAGAGGAAGGAAGCCAATCAAACAAGCAAACACCCGCCCTGGAGGGCGGTCGGTGCACAGAGAGAAATGAAGCAGCCAAGGGGGATAGGGAGGGTCCTATGGGTGGTTTGTAACTTTCAAAGGGTGGGCAGGAAGGAAGTCATTGCTGAGAAGATGGCATTGGAGCAAGGACCTGAAGGAAGGGAGGGTGAGTCTCCTGGGTGTTAGGGAGAGGAGCATTCCAGGAGGGGACCAGGGAGTGCAAAGGTTCTGGGGCACGAGCCGGGCAACAGGTGGAGGAGCTCCAGGGAGGAGGATGTGGCTGGAGCAGAGTGGGCAAGGAGAGGGAGGGGGATGAGGTCAGGGAGATGTGCCCATCTGGGTGCGTTTTGACTTTGTCTCTCTAGTATGAGATGTGGTGATCTTGTGGGCCATGGTGAGGGCTTTGGCTTTTATGCTGAATGAGGTGGGAGCCACGGAAAGGTTTCTTTCTTTTTGTTTTCTTGAGAGACAGGGTCTCACTGTGTTGCCCAGGCTGGAGTGCAGTGACACAATCACAGCTCACTCACTGCAGCCTCGACTTCCTGGGCTCACGTGATTCTCCCACCTCAGCCTCCTCAGTAGCTGAAACTAGAGGTGTGTGCCACTTTACCTGGCTAACTTTTTATTTTTTGTAGAGATGGTGTCTGGCTGTGTTGCCCAGGCTGATCTCGAACTCCTGGCCTCAAGGGATCCTCCTGCCTCAGCCTCCAAAAGCACTGGGATTATAGGCATGGGCCACCATGCCTGGCCATTTCTTTAAAATAACAGTTTTCATTGAGATATAATTTGCATATCATACATTCACCCATTTAAAGTATATAATTTGGCCAGGCATGATGGCTCACACTTGTAATCCCAGCGCTTTGGGAGGCCAGGGTGGGAGGATGACCAGAATTTTGAGAGCAGCCTGGGCAACAAAGTGAGACCCTGTCTCAACAAAAATGAAAACATCAGGTGTACATAGTGGCATATACTTGTTGTCCAAGCTAGTCAGGAGGCCGAGGCGGGAGGATGGTTTGAACCCAAGACTTCAAGACTGCACTCCAGCCTGGGTGACAGAGTGAGACCCTGTCTCTTGAAAAAAAGAAAAAGTAAATAAAGTGTGTAATTTGATGGTTTTTTGTATATTCACGGAGTTGTGCAACCATCATTACCATCACTTTTACCGTCACTTTTAGAACATTTTCACCACTCCAAGATGAAACCCCAAACCTGTAGCAGTCACTCCTCATTCTCCCCAGCCCCTGGCAACCACTGGTCTACTTTTTGTCCCCATAGATGTGCCTACTATGGACATTTTATATAAGCAGAATCATACATGTGGCCTTTGTGTCTGGCTTCTTTCACTTATCAATGTTTTCAAGGTTCATCCATGGTGTAGCACGCGTCAGCCCTTCATTCCTTTTTATGCTGAGTCATATTCCAGTGCGTGGTTATGCCACATTTTATTTACCTATTCACCAGCTGATGGGGGTGTGGGTTATTTTCACTGCTTGGCTGCTGTGAACATTTGTGTCCAGGCTTCCGTGTGGACATGCTCTTTCCTTTCTCCTGGGCATATACCCAGGAGTGGAACTGCTGGGTCTTAGGGGACCCCTATGTTTACCTTTTGAGGCTGCACCATTTTACAATCCCACAAGCACCTCAAGAGGCTTCCAACTCCTCCAGGTCTTTGCCTGCAGTCATTCTCCGTCTTTGATCACGAAAGGACTCTGAGCAGAGGAGGAAAAGCATCTGACTTGATTTTCCAGGAGCCCTGTGACACCATGTTGATCATATTTTGTTATCAGCACTCTTTCTTTTCTTCTGTATCTTCGACTTTCCCCAGGGCAAGACCTCTCTCTCAAACATGACGAAGTCTTTTTTTCCCTTCTTAAGCTGCCCTCCCTGCCACCGGAAGTGACTCCCCTCAGCAAGGCCAAGGTGGCTCACGTGTCCCATCACCCTTTCATCTCTGCCCTTCTCTCTCGAGTGACAGCATGGCGTGACATGAGGGCTCTCCAGCCATGGCCTTGCAGCCCTCTTGGGTAAGCATCACGTACATTTGGACCTTGAAGACTTGGTCATGAATCAGAGTTAGATTGGGTGAGATGGTCAAGGCAGGTCAGTATCAAGGAAGTGGAGGAGGGTGTCAGGGCCAGGCAGACCGCAGATTTTAGTTAACTGGCTAATTTCCGAGAACTACAAAAGTCATTAAAAAAAAAGGCAACTGCATAGCTGAAGGCTGTTGAAGGCCTTAAGGAATTCAATGAAGTGATATTAATTAATTAATCAATCGATCAGTTACTTGATTAATTAATGAGTTAATTAGCTGATTGAGTAAAGTATTTATTGAGTACCTGCTATGTGCCAGGCATTTTTCCAGGTGCTGGAGATACATCGATAAGCAAAACAGGGTCAGCTTCTGTCTCTCGGGAGCTGGAGGAGATGAACAAGGAAACAGATAAGACCATTTCACACAAAGCAAGGTGGCCTGACAGAGTGGGCTGGGACTCCTGTTTTCAACAGATGCAACAGCAAAGGCTTCTCTGAGGAGTGGGTTTCAGCTGAGCCCAGAAGAGGAGAGTGGGGAGCCATGGAAGGATCTAGGGGAAGCGTATCCTAGACAGAGGAACAGGAAGTGCAAAGTTCCTGACACAAGAAAAAGCTGGGGATGCTCAATGAACTGAAACAATGGGGGAGAGGGCAGGAGATGGAGGCAGAGAGATGGGCAGGCGCCAGTTCATGTGGGTCCGGAAAATAACGACGACACTCCCCAGCTCAGTTGCACTGACACATTCCAGGGACTGTTCTAAGCACTGGCACATTTTTTGACTTGTTTAATCCTCATGGTAGCCCTTGGAAAGGGGCTCTTCTAATCCCCGTTTCGTAGATGAGGAGACTGAGGCACAGAAAGGCCCAAACCACTTGCCCCAGGACTCCAATGTGGGAAACCCCAGAGCCTGGATTTCTCTGAACCTGTCCCCCGGGGCTACCACAGTCTCACCTCAGCCACTCTGACCTCCCTCAGGAGTTGGGCCCTGCCCCTTGGGGCACTGGACCATATTCGGCCTCCTTAGAGGAAGGCAGTGCCAGGCAAAGCTGTCTAACGAGAACATAGCAGGTGCTCTGTAAATATTGGTTCAGGCGAAGACATGTTGCTTAAGGATGGCCCTGCGAGAAGGCTGCTTTCTTCTGGAGTTAAATAAGAGGTTTAGAAAGCCTCCCTCGGAGCACTCAAGGACTGAGCCTGCCTTACCCACGTGCTGGGGACACCACCCTCCTGTCCCTGTGTAACCCAGGAGTCTCTTCTCAGTAACTTCATTCAGAAAATGAGGGGACTGGCCAGCACTTCAGGGACCAGAAGGCAGGCCAGGTGGGGTGTGGTGGAGGACTTCAGGGGGGCGTGGAGGGCTTCAGGGATACACTCACCCATCTAAGGGCAACTGCCACTTAGTGCCAGCCCACTTCTCTCCCTTTTTTCTTTTTTCTTTTTCCCCCAGGGTCTTGCTGTCACCCAGGCTGGAGTGCGGTGGTAAGATCAGGGCTCACTGCAGCCTTGAACTCTGGGACTCAAGGGATCCTTCTGCCTCAGCCTCCTGAGTAGCTGGGGCGACAAGCGCATGCCACTGTGGCTGGTTAATCTTTTCATTTTCTGTAGAGACTGGTCTCACTATGTTGCCCAGGCTGGTCTCCAACTAGTGGCCTCAAGTGATCCCTCACCTGGACCTTCCAAAGTGCTGGGATTACAGTTGTGGGCCACCATGCACCGGGCCTGTTCTGTTTTCTTGGAGCACTTGCCTGCAATTATCCTTCATTCATTTGCTCACGTGCTCATCATTGGTTTCCCTCTTCATTAGAAAGTGGGGACTTGGTTTGGGTTAACTAAGCTTCCCTGTGCATCAGTTTTCATTTCTTTCTTTCTTTTTCTTTTTCTTTTCTTTTTTTTTTTTTTTGAGATGGAGTTTCGCTCTTGTTGCCCAGGCTGGAGTGCAATGGCGCTATCTCGGCTCGCCACAACCTCCGCCTCCCGGGTTCAAGCGATTCTCCTGCCTCAGCCTCCCGAGTAGCTGAGATTACAGGCATGCGCCACTACGCCTGGCTAATTTTGTATTGTTAGTAGAGACGGGGTTTCGCCATGTTGGTCAGGCTGGTCTCCAACTCCCGACCTCAGGTGATCCATGAAGTCCACCCGCCTCGGCCTCCCAAAGTGCTGGGATTACAGGCGTGAGCCACCTCCCAGTTTTCTTATTGTAAAATGGAGCCATTGTGTGCAAAGCACTCAGGACAGGGGCCAGCACCTAGAAGGCTCCTCAGTCATTCATTCTAGAATATTTACTGTGAGCAGGCATTCCCTGCCAGGCCACGTTCTAGAGCTCAGGACGCGTGGGGGGGGGGGCCCGCCTCACGGGTTGGCATCCCAGTTGGAGCACATGGTCAGAATGCAAGGACGCAAATGAACGTGAACCTGCCAGGGGGTGCTCAGTCATAGGGTGATGGTGGCACCAGCGTTACGAAGGATAGGGCCAGGCGGATACCTGGGAGAACAGAATTGCCTGTGCAGGGTGTATGGAGGCCCTGGGGCTGGAGCCTGCGGGGCTTCTTCCAGGGACAGTGAGGCTGGAGATGGACTGCGGAGATGAGGGTCTAGAAGGTGGTGGCGGGGCATGTGGACCGTTGTAAGGGCTCTGGGGTTCCTGGGTGGGCTGGCGAAGTCCTACTCACAGTGACCAACCATGATGATGGTCCCGATAGAGGAGGAGAGGGAGGAGGAGGGAAAAGGAAGGGTGAGGGGCTCAGAGGGGAGAGCTGGGAGGAGGGGAGACATAGGTGGGGGAAGGGGTAGGAGAAAGGGGAAGGGAGCAAGAGGGTGAGGGGCACCAGGCCCCATAGACGTTTTGGCTCAGCGGCCACGAGGCCTCCTCAGCTCCCGCCCCAAAACGGAAGCGAGGCCGTGGGGGCAGCGGCAGCATGGCGGGGCTTGTCTTGGCGGCCATGGCCCCGCCCCCTGCCCGTCCGATCAGCGCCCCGCCCCGTCCCCGCCCCGACCCCGCCCCGGGCCCGCTCAGGCCCCGCCCCTGCCGCCGGAATCCTGAAGCCCAAGGCTGCCCGGGGGCGGTCCGGCGGCGCCGGCGATGGGGCATAAAACCACTGGCCACCTGCCGGGCTGCTCCTGCGTGCGCTGCCGTCCCGGATCCACCGTGCCTCTGCGGCCTGCGTGCCCGGAGTCCCCGCCTGTGTCGTCTCTGTCGCCGTCCCCGTCTCCTGCCAGGCGCGGAGCCCTGCGAGCCGCGGGTGGGCCCCAGGCGCGCAGACATGGGCTGCTCCGCCAAAGCGCGCTGGGCTGCCGGGGCGCTGGGCGTCGCGGGGCTACTGTGCGCTGTGCTGGGCGCTGTCATGATCGTGATGGTGCCGTCGCTCATCAAGCAGCAGGTCCTTAAGGTGGGTGAGGGAGACCCCAGGGGGTCCGCGCACGGACCCGGGCTGTTGGGCGCTGGGCGCCGGGAGGACCCGCGCGTTGCGGTGGGTGGGCGACCGCAGCGGAATCGGCGCCCGGGCCTGGCGCCGCAGAGCACGAGGGAGGCCAGGCGCTTCGGGAGGGGCTGCTGCCCGCCTCCCCACCACCCTCACCGCCCCAGACTGAGGCTAGGGGGGAACCCAGGGGCTTTGCTGGAGGCGCAGGCCAGGGTTGGGGAGGCCTGGACGGGAGACCACCCGGGCGCCTGACCCGCCCTAAAGGGTCTGGGCGCCCACGACGGATCAGGAGTGTGGACAGGTTGCTTCCGTGGTGCCGCCCGAAGGAGCCCAAGAGTGTGTGAACGTCTGCTTTCACAGCAGCCGGTAGCAGGGTCCGGTAAAATTAGAGCTGCACTTTGCTTGTATCCTGTGAGCCCAGGAGGACAGGAACCTTCTGTGAGACCCACGTGGGTGCCCAGCTCACATGGTAGGTGCTCAGCTGAGCATCCTCCACTGCCCAGAATCTCCCCATAGGAACCCTCTCCCAGAGGCAGAATGCGCGACTCTGTTCTCCCTGCTCACTGCCTCCATGATTCAGTCTGGAAACTATAAGCCGCTTTTCTCCCCAGATTCATGCAGAGGCAGGCAGCAGCCCAAGGTCCTCTGAGTGCACGCAGCCTTAGGTCTTTCCTCTGATCCTAACTTTGCATACCATTGCCCTTTCAACCAGGGAGACAGATTAGGCGGTCAGCTGGTCTGCAGACGGACAGACTCTGCCCTGGGTGCCTGGGTGGCCTGTTTGAATGAGCCTGGAGTTAGGGAAGGGCTGGGAGATTGCAGAGTATCACATTTGAACTAAAAGCCATTTAGAGTTTTGAAGCCCTGGGAACCCACACATGCAGTGGCGGGGAGGGGAAACTGGGGCTCACTCTTATCAAAGTTCTAGCCAGATGCAGAGCTGGGGTGAAGATGTGGACATTGTCACTCTAATGGACGTCTTTTCCCCTTGGCCTGCCTCTTTGGACTGGGTTTCTTAAGAATGGTTCCTTGTCCACATTTCATGTCTGTTCCCTCATTCACAGAGCGAATGAATGAGTGAATGAATGAAGGATCTGCTTAGATCTGGCTGCCACACTTCTTGGGACCCAGCTAGCTGGCCTTAAAGATGGAGCAACATATGGTCTCTCTCAAGGTCTCTGGGTGAGCAGTTGTCTAGGGCATCTTAGCCACGTTGTGTCTATTTTTGATTTTTCAAATCTTGTCCCGCCAAAGCCTGTAATCTGACTGCAAAGAGGTCCCGGTGGATGGTGACACTGTCTCTGGGGATGGCAGGAAAATCAGCAGAATGGCCTCTTCTCCCCCATGACAGCTCAGAGGCTTTCTCTGTTACACTGAGGGAGCTTTATTTTTCTGTGGCCTACTCATACTGAAACGTGTGTGTCAGTGACAGCCTTGTGGCTGCTGCAGTGCCAGGACCCCACTGTGTGTATGCAGGGTCCCTAGAGGGGCTATCACTCAGGCAGTTCAAGCATGTGACCCTGTGCTGTGAGTGAGCACCTGGTCTCTTGCTATGGGAGTGTGGGGACTTATGCCAGGTAAAGAGTCTTGCCAACTCAGTTATTCGGGGGCTTATTTCAAGGTGTTTTCTTTCTCAGGATGTCATCAGGTTAAGTATGTCAGTAGGATGTGTGTGTGTGTGTGTGCACCACACATGCATGCACCACCAAATTTCCCCACTCCTCTCCTGGGCTTCTAAAGAGGAAAACCACATTGTCCTCAATTGTCCTGGAGCTAGGAGCATCTGGCTTAAAGTTGAACAGGAGCCTCCCAGCATCCTTCTGTGGATATCCCAAAGGCGATTGGTTTGGGGCCGAGTGGTGTGAAGGCAGGAAGACACGCCCAGCCCAAGACGGCCACTTCTGGAACCGCCCAGGCTGGAGCAGCGGCCAAGTGCCTTAGCATGGAAGAAGAGAGCCTGTGTTCAGGGGACCAGGCGGGTGAGACACACGCATAAGCAGGGACTGCCCGCTGGTGTTTTCTTTGGCTACATGAGTCTGTGTGCAACTTGAATGGGAGGCCTTGTGCTTTTATTTTTTTTTTTTAATGTGCTTTTTGGTTAACAACAGAAGTCCCTACAGTTGGCCCTCTGTGTCTGCAGGTTCTGCATCCGTGGATTCAATCAACTGCAGATGAAAAGTTTTCAGAAAAAATCCCCCCAAAATAACAATACAACTAAAAAAAGACATAAAAACAATACTGTATAACAACTATTGACATAGCATTTACATCGTATTAGGTATTATAAGTAACCTAGAGATGATTTAAAGAATACGGGAGGATGCGCATAGGTGATATGCAAATACCACAGCATTTTATGTCGGGGACTTGAGCATCTGCAGATCTTGGTATCTATGGGGGTCCTGAAACCAATTCCCCTCTGACATTGAGGGACGACTTTATATAAAATATATGAATACTTGCTCGTAAAAAAAAGTTCAAATGGAGGAAAAGAGAGAAAGTTTCCCCCATTTTATTCCCCTCCTGAGCTATTATCACCATCATTGATGTGGATCTTTCTAGACCCTTTTCTGTGTACCAGGAGCCTGTATGTATACATATTAATATATATTTTACATAACTTGAACTAAGTGTAGGTGAACTTGAACATGTATAATTATCTTGCAATTTGTTTTTCAATTCAAAGATACCAGCTGAAAAATTTTCCATGTCTCAGCAATAAGTCTACCCCGCGTTTTCCTTCATCACTGCTGGTATTCCTTTGAATGGTTATAGACTTGTTTACCTGTTTCTCCATTGACTGATCATTTTCTCTGTCACAAATGACAGCGATATCCCGACACATCCCTCTTCGTGTGGTTCATGAACATTTCCATAGGGTGGATTTCTAGAAGTGGGGCCTTGGGAGCAGGTGTGCTCAGTTTGAGTTTTGATGATTACGGCCAAATTGCCCTTCTGCACAGCTCTGTTGCTGCATCCACCCACAAGGTATGGGACTGTGCTACTTCCCCTATCTCTGCCATCACTGGTAATTACTGATTTATCATTACCATTTTTTGGTAGCCAAGTTCCCGTGTGTCTCTGGTCCTCCAAGGAAGGCCCAGCTGGTGGACATGGGGGAGAGGCCCCTCACTGCAGCTGGGCTGCAAAAAAGGGATGCTCATCTTCCGAGGCTGCTGTCTTCAATGATGAGCTGGGGTGAAGATGTGGATATTGTCACACTAGTTGACATCTTTTTCCCTTTGGCCTGCTTCTTTAGACTGAATTTCTTAAGAATGGCTTCTTGTCCACATTTCATGTCTATGTCCTTTTCACAGAACTTGGATGTGTGCCCCCAGGGATCTGAACCATGTCTTCATTATTCACCGGATCACCTGAGGTCAGGAGTTTGAGACCAGCCTGGCCAACATGGCTAAACCCTGTCTCTACTAAAAAATACAAAAACTAGCTGGACATGGTGGTGCACGCCTGTAATCCCAGCTATTCGGGACGCTGAAGCAGGAGAATAGCTTGAACCTGGAAGGCTGAGGTTGCAGTGAACTGAGATCACGCCACTGCCCTCCAGCCTGCGTAATAGAGTGAGACTCCATCTCAAAAAAAAAAAAAAAAAAATGAAGGAACTTAGAAATATGTCTCAGCATGGGTAGGCCATAAAAACACATTACTAATTGAAAAAAGCTCTGGTGCTATTTATGTTTAAAAAAAACCCACCAAACAATATTCTATATTTTCTTTCCATTTTTATTTTTATTTTCGTAGAGACAAGGTCTCACTATGTTACCCAGGCTGGTCTCGAACTCCTGGCCTTAAGTGATCCTTCTGCCTTGGCCTTCCAAAACACTGGGATGATAGGTGTGAACCACCGCGCCCTGCCATTATTTTCAATGGCTTAATATTAGAATATGTTAAAGTTTGGGAAAAGGTGAGACTAACAGAAGTGGCTACTCTAATGAGAGAAGGCAGGACACTGGGGGTGTGGCCAAAGGAAACCTAATACTTTATCTGTAATGCTATTTTTTTTTTTCTTTTTTGAGATGGAGTCTCGCTCTGTCGCCCAGGCTGGAGTGCAGTGGCACGATCTCGGCTCACTGCAGCCTCTGCCTCCTGGGTTCACACCATTCTCCTGCCTCAGCCTCCTGAGGAGCTGGGACTGCAGGTGCCTGCCACCACACCCAGCTAATTTTTTTTTTGTATTTTTAGTAGAGATGGGGTTTCACCGTGTTAGCCGGGATGGTCTTGATCTCCTGACCTTGTGATCTTCCCCTCTCGGCCTCCCAAAGTGCTGGAATTACAGGCGTGAGCCACCATGCCCGGCCATTATTTTTGTTTTAACAGAGAAAATGTATCCACATGCTACGTGTTTGATTAAAAATTACAAGGCCAAGCATGGTGGCTCAAACTTGCGATCCCAGCACTTTATGGGGCTGAGGTGGGAGGGTCACTTGAAGCCCTGAGTTTAAGACTAGCGTGGGCAACATAGTGAGACCCCCATCTCTACAAAACAAAACAACAACAAAACTAAGCTGGTGCATGGTGGCATGCACCTATAGTCCTAGCTACTTGAGAGGCTGAGGTGGGAGGATATCTTGAGCCCAGGAGCTCGAGGCTGCAGTGAGCTGTGTTTGTGCCACTGTACTCCAACCTGGGCAACAAAGTGAAATCCCATCTCTTTTTTTTTTTTTTGAGACGGAGTCTGGCTCTGTCGCCCAGGCTGGAGTGCAGTGGTGCGATCTCGGCTCACTGCAAGCTCCACCTTCCGGGTTCACGCCATTCTCCTGCCTCAGCCTCCTGAGTAGCTGGGACTACAGGCGCCCGCCACCGCACCCACCTAGTTTTTTGTATTTTTAGTGGAGACGGGGTTTCACTGTTTTAGCCAGGATGGTCTCAATCTCCTGACCTCGTGATCCGCCCGTCTCGGCCTCCCAAAGTGCTGGGATTACAGGTGTGAGCCACCGCGCCCGGCCAAAATCCCATCTCTTAAAAAAAAAATTACGAATGAACAGATACATAGTTTTCCTCAAAGACTGGCCAGATGAATGCGCCACACAGACCGATGAGGCACACTGCAAAGGGGCCCTGTGGTCGAGGTTGCTTGGAGAGGCTTTGGGGAAGCGCAACTCATTTCTTTTCCCTTCTGCCAGTGGGTAGGATTGGAGAGAGGTGTTTGGACAGGCACACTAAGGGCCGCGATTGTGAACTTCATGGCATCCATTCATGGGCAGCTTACTGTGCACCAGGCAGGGTTCAAAGCACCTTTGTGAAAATTGTCTCATTTAGTCCCTGCAGAGGGCCGTGACATATGATTTATTGTCTTCAGTGTCCGTTAAGGAGACAAGCTGAAGAGAGTAATTTGCCCCAAGTGACCTCGCTAGTGTATGTGTGTGCGTGCATGTGTGCACGTGTGTGTGTGTGTGAAGGTGTCTGTCTGTCCCAGAGGCAGATGCCATGAGAATGGGGACTCTTGCTCCCATTCCCTGGATCTGAGCCTGGCATGCAGCTGTGCTCAGGTATGTGGGTGAGTAACGAAGGCCTGGTTCAGGTCCTGGGGGGCACACATCCAAGTTCCCGTATGTCTCTGGTCCTCCAAGGAAGGCCCAGCTGGTGGACGTGGGGAGAGGCCCCTCACTACTGCTGGGCTGCAGGGAAGGGGTCATCTTCCAAGACCACCATCTTCAATGATAGGCCTCATGGCCTTCTTCCATGTCCAGGAGAGAACCTGGGTCCCCTCTGCTGTCTTTAAGTTGGTTTTCTAGATGGACTCAACCTCGGTTGCCTTGTCCTGCTGCTGGGCTTCCCCCACCTATGATCCCTGTCTCAATAAACGGCACCTCCTTTTGTTTCCCCTGGGGTAGAGGCAAAAACCTTCGGTCATCTTTGCCTGCATGCTTTTTTCCTGATACCCCTGTATCTGCTGAGGCAGGGGCTTTCCCATCACTGTCACTGCAGCGTCCCCGAGGGCCATAGCAGCGCCTGAGCTCCTTGCCACCCCTTCAACACCAGTCAGGTTACAGAATGAATGAGGCGGGCGCGACCCCCAGCCCTGGCCTCAGGCTCTTTAGCTCACCCCTGCCTCCCTCAGCCAGAGCCACACAGTGAGCCTTGGGGAGCCCCGGCACCAGGGCCAGCCAGGGATGTCACCGGCTGTCCCTGAGTTTGTGCCTTTTGGGAAATCTTTGTCAATCAGTTAAAAGATGGGGGTTGATGGGAGATAACAGTCAATGGGCACTCGTTGTGGCCGGATACTGTTCCAAGTGTTTATGTGCATTATTCATTTTAGTATCTAAAATAGGTACTATTGTGTCTTATTTTATTGAGGGAAATGGATGCACAGAGGCGGAAAGTAACTTGCCCCATGTCACATAGCTCCAAGCGGTTGAATCAGGATTTCAAGTCTGGGGGCCGACTCCACAGCTGGTCCCGGTGGCCTCTGCGCACTGCGTCCTCCCGGTTCTCCGTGTGTCTGAGCAGGTCGACTGCATGCTTAAGGCGGGCGGCGGGGGGTGCCCTTCTTATATTCTCTTCCTGGGCTGCCCCTTCCTTTTCTGTGCATCACCAGGGAACAGCAGGGTCCCTTCGAGGCTTTGTCCTAATCATCACCCCGCCAAACTTTGCTGGTGCAGAGTGCACCCTGGCCTCTCCCTTCCGGGGGTAGTCTGAGACCAGGGACATGTTCTCCAATCAAAGGCACCAAGTGAGGCTCCCGGGGAGGCCACCTGTTCCTAGCCCAGGGCTCCCAGTGACCCCGGGGGCTGGACTCCCACCCATCCTGCAGGGGCCGCCCGCTCTGCGCCTTTATCAGCCCCCCTGCGGAACCTGGGGGGGAGGCCCAGTGTCTCCACCTACCGGGCGTTTCCTGTAGGACCCCCTTGTTTGGACATGTGGGGCAAAGCCCTAGAACTGATCACTGGGCACAGGTGGGGAGGGGGCTCCTCGAGGACAGCTTGGATCACAGGTGTGTGCCAATTCTGTTTTGTTTTTCTTCCTCTTTCCTGCCATTGAACTTCCTACTCCTTCTAGCATGTGAGAGACAGCTTCAACTTACTCCCTGGCGACGGCTGAAAAACATGGGCTATTTTTAGTTTGTGTGAGTCTAGTTTATTTGCTCCTGGTAGATTTGCCTCTCCCTGTCTTCGTGAGTGTGTGTGTGTTTGCACACACGTGTGTTGGTGTGTGTACACAAGTGCTGATGGTGAAAACAGTGACACACACACCTGTGTAGGCATGCACACACCTGCCTTGATGTGTGACGACGTGATGATGTGTATGCAGACACCTGTGTTGATGTGTGCCTACATATGTTGACACAGGCACACATGGTGTGTCTGTACATGCAAATGGACACACATGAACACACGTGTTTATGCATGTCCTTGTGTGTTGATGTGTCTGCACATACATGTTGATGTGTCCCGCTGTGGTTGGCCTTTCTGGGGCCAGGCCCAGCACCTGGGGTTTCCAGGAAACATTCCCTGTCCCTTCCCGGAATGGCCGGTACTTGCTGTGCCTCCGCCGGGAGATGCACCCTGATTAACTAGAACGTGGCGAAGCTCAGCCACCTGGAATCGCCTTACCCTGGCCTTTGGTTTCTAGCAAATGGGATGGAAGTGAGTCCCCATGGAGGGCTTGCTCCATGAAGGTGTTTTTCCTGGATGAGTCTTGGCCCCAGTGGCGATTTGCTGCAGGCTTGTTGGCACTGTCATTCGTGGGTCCTGCATGGAGGTTCCTTAGTGTCCAGAGGGTGATTCCATGTCTGTGGTCAGCAAAAGAGAGGCCCCTGGGGCCATAAGCCACACCCCCCAAGGCTGAACCCAGAGAGTTTGTGGTTTAAATCTTGGGCCTGGAGGATTCTGTGGAGGAGAGTTCGGTCCAGGCCTTCTGCTCCAGGAGGCGCTGGCAGCTCCGACACCACAGACACATTAATTGTGCGGAGAATTCAACGCTAGGGCTCAGTCAAAAATCAAAAACGCAAAACAAAAAGAGAATCCCTTTTATTTACCTCGTCTCCCTCCCCCTGTTTGGACATGACCTTGAGCTCTGCTGGCCCACAAGTGGCCAGGCTGGAGCTGTCTTGCAAAGAGAAACAAAAACAACACAAAAAGCTGCGTTCTTGACTTTGAAGCCTTAAAGGGCCCAGGGGCTGGCTCCCTGTGGGTGTTGGGGGCGATTTTCCTCCCAAAGCCTGCGTGAGATATGGAGACACTCCGCCTGCTCAGAAGCTCCCCAGGTCCCGGGTTCCAGGAAGCCTCATGGCCCAAGGCCTGGCCGTCTTAATTTTCTTGTTTTCTTTCCCTCCACTCCACTGTTTCTTCCTGTTCACTGATTGCCTGTGCTGGGGAGGGGGAAGGAACGGGAGGGGCCTGACCTTGTTCACTTCCTGGCATTTTGGGTGAAGTTCCTTACACCTTCTCTGGAAGCTTCTAGAAGGACCCTTGAGGCGCTTTAAATCTCCATTCTCTGGGTTTTCCTCCCACCTTCCTGGCTGCTCTGTCTTCTTGCCTGCTGATGCCTCCTCATCTCCCTGGCCTCCTGCCTCCTGCTGGTGGAGCTCCAGGCATCCTTTCTGTGTGTCCTCATCCCTCATCCCTGGGGTGGGCTCCTCCAGCCTTGCGCCTGAATGGCATCTCTGTCCTGACCACTCCCAAATTGGTATCCCTGGGCCCAGACCTTTCCCCTGAACCCCACCCCCGAGTGTCCAACAGCAGAGTCCGTATCTCAACTCGGGGTCAAAGGCAGCTCACGCTCGCCCCGGCTGGCTCCTCATCACCCTCGGCCACACCTGTGGCTCCCACCAGCTTCCCACTCCATCATAGCCCCCCCATCTTCCAGTTGCCCGGGCCAACATCTTGCACTCAGCCTTGACTCTGTTCTCTCCACTTCCCTCAGAGAACCCGTCAGAAAGTTTTCTAGCTTCATCATCTAAATATACCCAGATTCCAACTACTTCTCACCACGCCCGAGGCGCCATCACCTCTGGTCCAAGGCACCATCACCTCTCCCCCAGATTCCTGCATCCGCCTCCTCACTGGCCTCCCTGTGCTCATCCTTGCTCCCCAGTGGGGTTTCTCAATAAGCAGCCATGGGAGCCCATCAAGATTGCACTTAGCACCTCCTCCCCTCAAAGCCCTGACATGGCCAGACCCGTCCCCTAGGAGTCACAGCCAGGTCCTAACCTGGCCCAGGGCCTGTGCCATCCACCCCTGCCACTTTTCTGGCGACGTCCGCATTCCCTTTTCCCTTGCACAATGGCCTCCTGGCCATTCCTCAGCCCCATGGGCCCAATCGCCTTAGCTCTCCTGACACAAGCCCTCTCATCTCCCGTAGGTCTCTGTTCAGCTCTCACTTGCTCACGGAGACCCTCCCCTGATTCCGTTTGTGCATCATGCAGGTTCCCCCTTGTCCCCCTGTGCTGCCAGCCCTCCTTACCCGCTCTGCTTAGACCTGTCAGCCACTGTAGATACCCTGGAACTTCCCTGGGTATCATGTTGATTGTTTATTGTCTATTTCTCCCCATGAGAATGTCGGACTGTGAGGGCAGGGACCTTTGTGTTATTCGTTGCCGTGACCCAAGCCCCTGGAACGATGCCTAGCACATAATCGCAGGTTCTCAAATATTTATTGAAAGGATGTTTAAAAGACAAGGGTTGTTTCACAGGATGGTTCGTGACCAGTGGCAGGTTGTGGTCCTGTGCAGGGCAATGGGGCCTACTCCTCCACCTGCCGTGGCCGTCGCCCCAGACCGAGCTGCCACCGTTGTTTCCCAGTGGATGCTGGAGTGTCATCATGGGGCTGTTTGCTCTGCTGATTTATACCACACTGTTGTCACTTCTCCCCATCAAAGCCAGGATGCTCTTTAAAACATGCAAATTGGGCCGGGCACAGTGGCTCATGCCTGTAATCCCAGCACTTTGGGAGGCCGAAGTGGGTGGGTCACCTGAGGTCAGGAGTTCAAGACCAGCCTGGCCAACATGGTGAAACCTCATCTCTACTAAAAATACAAAAATTAGCCAGGCGTGGTGGCATGTGCCTGTAATTCCAGCTACTCGGGAGGTTGAGGCAGGAGAATTGTTTGAACCCGGGAGGTGGAGGTTGCAGTGAGCCGAGATTGCACCATTGCACTCCAGCCTGGGTGACAGAGCGAGACTCCGTCTCCCAAAAAAAAAAAAAAAAAAAACAAAACTATGCAAACTGGATCATTTCAAGAAGCTGAATAAAATCTTCCTGCATTTGGTATCAAAGCTGTGAGCCTCATTTTCGTGGGCCCTGCCCATCTCAACTCAGCATTCTCACCCCACTGCAACCTCACAGGCCTTCCTTTTCCTCCAACGTGTCACATGCTGTCCTGCCTCAGGGCCTTTGGAAGTGCTTTTCTTTCTGCCTGGACCGTCTTTTTGTCTCCCTGGCTCTTATGCTTGGTTCCTCTTTTATGTTTAAATGTAACCTTTTGAAGCTTAAATGTAACCTTTTGAAGAAGACACCCCGTGATTGCCCACCCCACCCAATGGACAGTTGCCCCCCACGTCCACTGTCTGTGCCATCTGTGTGGTTTTTCAGCTGGAGGGCAATGGCCCCATCTCGGCTCACTGCAACCTCCTCCTCCCCGGTTCAAACGACTCTCCAGCCTTGCCTCTTGAGTAGCTGGGATTACAGGCGTGCACCACTATGCCCAGCTAATTTGGTATTTTTAGTAGAGATGGGGTCTCACCATGTTAGCCAGGCTGGTCTCGAACTCCTGACCTCAGGTGATCCACCTGTCTTAGCTTCCCAAAGTGCTTGGATTACAGGCATGAGCCACCGCGCCTGGCTTGCGCCATCTGTGTTATAACCACACCATGCTATTCCCTTCTGAGCCCTTAATAGTCTCTGAAATTATCTCATCCACTTGTGTGAGTTCCATGAGGACAGAGACTTTATCTGTCTCGTTCATGGCTGCATTCCATAGTTGGAGACCCTTGTCCAGGGCAGAGAACCACCTAGCGTAGGACCTTGGGCTAAGGCAGAGAGGCCCCAGTGGGGGTCCTCCGCAGCGTGGACTTTGGAACCAGACTCCCTGAGTTCAGCAGTGGCTCTTGCACTTCCTGTCTCTGTGGCTGTGGGTGAGTTGCATAACCCTGCCGGGCGTGTTTCTCCGGGCCTCCCTCCTCGGGCTGTAGCGAGGGGTAAGGGAGGTCATACGCCCTGGGGAACACCCCAAAGCCTGGGTCCCTGGGATGCATCCACAGATTGTAGGCCTGAGTCTTAACACACTCCATCTGGATTTCAATGACTTCTGCCTGGTTCCAGTGCTGGGCTGTTTCCCTGTCTGAGCTTTGGTGGCTTTTGATTGACCCCTTTCCTGCCCCAGCATGAAGGTGGAGTAGCCAGAAGGAAGGGATGCGGGTGTATAAAGATGTCATCGGGGCTGTCTGTGGATGGTGGGTAAAGAGACAGCACCTGTCATGGTGGAAGGGCCACAGGAAGCGTGGAGGCTGTTTCTGGGGCCACCTCCTGCCTCCAGGAGGAAGCAGGGATCCTCCTGTTGGCATCTTGGTCCCATCAGGTGTCTTGGATGGGGCTGGGGCTGGGAGTGTTTCTCTCCCTGAGCATTTAAGCCAAGGTTCATTATTTAGAATGGAACCATTTATAGGCCGGGCGCCATTATTACATTATTCCTAAAGTGTTAGGATTACAGGTGTCATGCCTGTAATCCCGGCACTTTAGGAGGCTGAGGTGGGTGGATCACTTGAAGTCAGGAGTTCGAGACCAGCCTGGCCAACATGGTGAAACCCCATCTCTACTAAAAACACAAAAATTAGCTGGGCATGGTGGCACACACCTGTAGTCCCAGCTACTTGGAAGGCTGAGGCGGAGGACTGCTTGAACTCGGGAGGTGGAGGTTGCAGTGAGCTGAGATCGCGCCACTGCACTTCAGCCTAGGTGACAGTGAGACTCCATCTCAAAAAAAAAAAAAAAAAAATGGAATCCTTTATGTTTCACTTTGTTCTCATTAGCAGGACTGTGCGAGGCTGAGTCAGGAGACCGAGGTCCATTCTGCTTGTGATTTTGCTCCGTGCAGGAATGTGGAGGTGTGGCCCATAAGCATGTCATTCATGCAAAATCATCTACATGCATTCAATTAGAAAAAAAAAGGAAAACAGCAGTGACCCTCATAAGTAGACTTGGTTAGTGTCAATGTAGGGAGTGAGTTTCTTGTGACCCTGCTGTTCTTCCTGGGTCCCGTGACAGGGCATCTGGACAGGCTGAATGCGATTCTAGAATTAGATTCCTATGTTTTTATATGTACGCCCCAGTCTCACTTGCCAGTGGCTTCCTCTGACGCTTAGAAAATAAATGGCATCTGCACCACGTCAGGGAGAAACTGACTGCTTTGGAATTCCCAGAAGCTCTTGGAAGGGAACCTTCCTGAGGGATATTGAAGGAGAATTAAAGAATTTTCTCAGTGGCTGGCACAACTTATGGAGTCAATGCTCATTGGCTGTGATTGGCTGAGCTGGGATCACATGTGCATCCTTGGACCAATTGCTGTGGCTCGAGTAATGGACTGCTGTGATTGGTCAGCCTTGGGTCGCCTGCCCATTTGGAGCCAGGGAGGGAAGTAGTTCTTGCCCACAGAGACTCAGGTAGGAGTAGGGTGGTTCCCAAAAGGCAAAAAGGAGGGGCTGTTGTCGGGGGAAGAGGCGGCCATAGGCAGCAAAAATGGGGCTGAGCCCCTTTGCCCCCAGGTAGCTTCCCACTTCATCCCCACATTGCCTTTCACTGTCTCTGGCTGTTACAGTATTAGAGATTATTTTGTTTGGCTGACTATTCTGTTTACCAAGGCCTCTTGAGGAGGTAGTAGCTTACCAGCTGTTTATTATGTATGTATTTACTTATATTTACTTACCTATTTATTTTGAGACGGAGTTTCTCTCTTGTTGCCCAGGCTGGAGTGCAATGGTGTGATCTCGGCTCACCGCAACCTTTGCCTCCCAGGTTCAAGCGATTCTCTCACCTCAGCCTCCCAAGTAGCTGGGATTACAGGCTGCGCCACTGTGCCCAGCTAATTTTGTATTTTTAGTAGAGACAGGGTTTCTCCATGTTGGCCAGGCTGGTCTCGAACTCCTGACCTCAGGTGATCCGCCCACCTCGACCTCCCAAAGTGCTGGGATTACAGGTGTGAGCCACGAAGCCCGGCCTATTTATTTATTTTTTTGAGACATGGTCTCAGTCTGTCGCCCGGGCTGGAGTGCAGTGGCATGATCTTGGCTCACTGCAACCTCCGCCTCCCGGGTTCAAGTGATTCTCCTGCCTCAGCCTCCTGAGTAGTTGGGATTACAGGTGCCCACCACTACACCCGGCTAATTTTTGTATTTTTAGTAGAGGCGAGGTTTCACCAGGTTGGCCAGGCTGGTCTGGAACTCCTGACCTCAAATGATCCACCCACCTTGGCCTCCCAAAGTGCTGGGATTATAAGCATATGCCACAGTGCCCACCCTTTATTATTTATTTATTTAGATTTTTTGAGACAGGGTCTCACTCTGTCACCCAAGCTGGAGTGCAGTGGCATGATTACGGCTCACTGCAGCTTCAACCACTCAGGCTCAATCGATCCTCCTACCTTGGCCTCCTGAATAACTGGGACTACAGGTGTGCACCACCATGCCCAGCTAATTTTTAGATTTTTTGTAGAGACAGGGGTCTTGCTATGTTGCCCAGGCTGGTCTTGAACTCCTGGCCTCAAGCAATCCTCCCACCTTGGTCTTCCAAAGTGCTGGGATTACATTCATGAATCACTGTACCTGGCCTAATTGCTCTAACGGGGAAAGTTTCATCAGCTGTCAGATTGTTAGATCTGGACTGACTTGGGTTCCGAAGCTCAGTTCTATCTTTTATTTTTCCTTTGGAAACCAAATTCTGTAGGTAGCAGAGGTTTACTCAAGGCCACGGAGATAGTTAGCAGCCAGTGCTGGGTGGGGCCGACTGTCCCAGGCTAGCTGGATGGAGGCCAGGAGGGCCCGGGCAGCAAGGGTGGAAGGGGCCTGGGTGGGTGCCGGAGGAAGTCACTAACGAATGTTCTTCAGGCAGAAAGTTCCCAGGGTCCCATTGATACCCCTGCCTGTTCACATCCTGGCGGCAGGACTGGGATGAGGCATTTTTTAAAAAGTTGGGGAGATATCAGGGCTGGTGTGCCAAAGTTCAGGCTTTGTCCACCCAAGGTGAGAGGCTGCAGGGGTGTGCCGTGGGCAGAGAGGGGATGAGGTAGGGGTGGGAGGGATGAGCTGCCCAGATGCACCCGTGGAGGAGTTGATCTGGAATCCTAGCCACTGGGTTTACCCTGCAGTGTGTCCCAGCAGCATCCCAGGCTTCTCTCCAGCCTTTGGCAGGGCTTTAGCTTCCAGCAGCTCAGGTGGACCCCAGCATATGGACTTTGAAGGCAGGCAGCCCAGGTTCAAATCCTGGCTTGGCCACTTCCCAGTTGGGTGCCTTCAGGCAAGTGACTTACCCTCTCTGTGCCTTTTTTACTTTTCTGTAAAATGAAGTTAATAAAAGTGTCTCCTACATAGGGCTTTTAAGGTGGCAGAATTGGCACATGTCACACTTCAAATAGCAGCTCGGCAAGTGTCAAGTAAGGGCTGGCTGTTTCCAACATCTTAACCGGATAGACACAGACATAGAGAGGGATCCATCTGTCAGCAGTTTGCTGAAATGGGACCATACTATGCACGCTTTGCTGCACCGTGGGTTTCTCACGCTGTCATCGCTTGTCCATGTCGTCCTCAGTCAGCTGGGATTTTCTGGTGATGATCACGCTCTGATTCTCTAGATGCCTGGAAACGCTCCACGGTGCGGATGTACCACGGCTCGTTCTGCCGTTCTCACGAGGGAGGCATCCAGCTTGTAAAATAAAGCAGCCCAGTGTGTTCTTCCACCACCACATCACCCAAGGTTCTATTTTCAAAGATTTTATTTTGTAAAAACGGGAAGAAAAGTACAAGTTGCTGCATGTGCATCCTCTCTCTCTCGTTGCTGAGCCTTTTGGGTGCATCCTAAGGACAAGGACGTCCTTCTCCATGGCCGTGGACCACGGCCCCACTCAAGAAGGCCACGAGGATCCACACCTTTAATCTGACAGTCTGTGTTCAGATTCCCTTACGGCCCCAATAACACTTTTTGTCATAGTTGTTCATTAAAAAATTTTGAATTGGCCGGGCGTGGTGGCTCACGCTTGTAATCCCAGCACTGTGGGAGGCCGAGGCGGGTGGATCACAAGGTCAAGAGATTGAGACCATCCTGGGCAGCATGGTGAAACCCTGTCTCTACTAAAAGTAAAAAAATTAGCCAGGCATGGTGGCGCACACCTGTAGTCCCAGCTACTCGGGAGGCTGAGGCAGGAGAATCGCTTGAACCCAGGAGGCGGAGGTTGCAGTGAGCCGAGATCGTGCCACTGCACTCCAGCCTGGGCGACAGAGTGAGTCTCCGTCTCAGAAAAAGAAAATTTTTTTTTGAATCCAAGGTTGCATGCTGTGTCTGGTTGCCTCATGTGTTTTTCCTCTTTAATCCAGACCTGTTCTCCAGCCCTTTTCTCTTTGCTGGGTCTTTCAGGACACTGGCATCTGTAAAGGGGCCAGGCGGGTGCTTTTGGCAGGATGGCCCTTGATTTGGATTTGTCTGATTGCTTTCTCAGGAGTGCACGTGGTCTTCCCACAGACTCCCACACAAAAGCCTCATTGTGTGAATCAGATTGGAGCAGAGTGTTTCTGATGAGCCGGGGTTGGGTGCCTGGATCCTCCCCCAGCTCCCAGCCTGGCAGTCACAGTGCAAGTCTGAACCTCTTGGGTTGAAGAAGCCTGCAATTCCTCCTGGTCCCTTCCTCCACCTGCTTTCTAAAATTTCTGGCTCTCATTCCTTGCCTTTGAGCGGTGATGTGTCCATCCTTCAGCGGCCCTCGGCCAGCCTCTGCCCACCCCAGTGCCATCACATGGGAAGAGATGGCGGATCTGATCCCTGACTCATCCCCTGGGCCAGGAAGATTGTGGAAACCCTGGGGTCTCAGGGCTGGTCGGGTGGAAACGGGAGGCTGGATGGAGTGGCAGGTGGGGGCTTTTCCTGTTTTGCCTCTCCCTAACTGGGCCTCCCGGCAGCCACTAGCCCAGATGCCCAGGCCTCAGAGCCTTGTGGAAATTCTTGTGCCAGATCATCTTGGCCCTGTCTGGCCTCCTGGCAGGCAGGTGGAGGTCAAACTGGCCTTACTTGGCCGAGAGCCCATTGCAGCCAGGATCCCTTGGCAGCTCTGGGAACAGCCAAGTCTCCCCTGTCCTTGGGATTTCCTTCCACTGTCTGTTCCCAGGCTCCTGGACTCCACCTGCTGCAACCCCTCGCTTTGCACTTTCCACCCAGAGTCTTGGATTTCTGTTTTTTGTGAAATTTGCTCACTTTGAGGAAAGTGTAAGACATATGCAATCAAATATGTAACTAAGATGAACATGCATGCAATCACCCCACGTGAAGAAGAGGGAAAGCTCATCTGCCCCGAAGCCCCTGCAGAAGACACTGTGTTTGGTCCCAGCTTGCTTTGCTTTTTATAGTATCACTCCCTCATAGCCATCCCTAAACACCGGGATTAGTTTGGTCCGGTTTTGGACTTAACTTGGATGCAGGCATACTCTCAGTATTTTTGTTTGGTTTGGTCTTGCTGGTGTTACTTCATATGGTATTTGTGGGATCCACCCACATTGCTGCGATAAGCTGCACTCTATTTTCATGGCCATGTCATATCACAGTTCATGATGCTAATCGGAAGAAGCTGAGTATCACAGTTCATCTGTCTTTTTTTTTTTTTTTTTTTTTTTTTTTTTGAGATGGAGTCTTGCTGTGTGGCCAGGCTAGAGTGCAGTGGCGCGATCTCAGCTCACTGCAACTTCTGCCCCCCGGGTTCAAGCAATTCTCCTGCCTCAGCCTCCCAAGTGCACCACCATGCCCAGCTAATTTTTGTATTTTTAGTAGAGATGGGGTTTCACTATGTTGGCCAGGATGGTCTCGACCTCTTGACCTCATGATCCGCCTGCCTCGGCCTCCCAAAGTGCTGAGATTACAGGCGTGAGCCACCACGCCCGGCCAGTTCATCTGTTTTAACCCTGATGCCGGTGACTGTGTTCACTTCTGGGTTATGACACACTCGTGTCCCTGCCTGCAAGGGACATGTGCCTGAATCCCTCTAGGGCCCGACAGTCAGAGTAGGGGGTCTGGTCATGGCGTGCGTGTCTTCACCTGCATGGAGAAGGGCCAAGCTCTTGTCCAAAGTGGTTGCAGCGTTTCCAATCCTATCATTTGTTTTTCATTTAATAATTTATTGAGTTCAAATTCACATAACATATAATTAATCCTTGTAAATCGAATAATTCAGTGATACCACCACTTCTACCTAGTTTCAAAACATTTCCATCCCTCCCAAGTAGAATTGCCCATTCTCCACTCTTTGCAGCTCCCCAGCCCCTGGCAATCACTCATTTTCTTTCTGTCTCTACAGATGCACCTGTTACGGACATTTCTTTCTTTCTTTCTTTCTTTTTTTTTGAGACAGAGTCTTGCTCTGTCGCCCAGGCTGGAGTGCAGTGGTGCAATCTTGGCTCACTGCAACCTCCGCCTCCCGGGTTCAAGCGATTCTTCTGCCTCAGCCTCCCGAGTAGCTGGGACTACAGGCGCCTGTCACCACACCCGGCTAATTTTTTTTTTTTGTATTTTTAGTAGAGACGGGTTTCACCATGTTGGCCAGGCTAGTCTCAAACTCCTGACCTCAGGTCATCCACCTGCCTTGGTCCCAAAGTGTTGGGATTACAGGCCTGAGCCACCGTGCCCGGCCCTGGACATTTCTTTTTTTTTTGAGGCAGAGTCTTGCTGTGTCACCCAGGCTGGAATGCAGTGGCGTGATCTCGGCTCACTGCAACCTCCGCCTCCTGGGTTCAAGCGATTCTCCTGCCTCAGCCTCCCCAGTAGCTGGGACTACAGGCGCCCGCCACCACGCCCGGCTAATTTTTTTTTTTTTTTTTTGTATTTTTAATATAGACGGGGTTTCACATGTTGGCCAGGCTGGTCTCAAACTCCTGACCTCAGGTCAAACACCTGCCTCGGTCCCAAAGTGTTGGGATTACAGGCCTGAGCCACCGTGCCCGGCCCTGCACATTTCTTATAAATGAAATCATGCAATGTGTGGCCTTAAGTGCCTGGCTGCTTCCGCTTAGCGTCATGTTTTGGGGTTCATCCGTGGTGTGGCATGTGGAGTGCTGCTTTCCTTTTTGTAGCTGAGCAGGCCTCCACGGTGCGGGTGCACTGCATGCTGTTTTTCCGCGCCTCTGTGGATGGGCGTCTGGGCTGGTGGCTGCCGGGAGCGGTGCTGCTGGGAGCGCGCATGTTCGGGAACTCGCTTGGCTTCTGCTTTCAGTGGTCTCCTTTTATGCCCTCCTTCCCCTCACCCCTCTCGCTCTTCAGCCCGCCCTGCCCCTGCGCCCATCCTCTGTGTGGCTGCGTCTGTAAACCTGAGTGTGTCCTTGGACCTTGTGCAGTCCTAGATTCCGGAGCCTGCAGGTGTGGGTCCAGATCCCGGCCCTGCCTCCTGCTGCTGTGTGACCATGGACAGGCTCTTCGAGTCTCTGGTCTCTGGTGGGTGTCTGAGTCTGCATGGGAGGCAGAGGTTGCAGTGAGCCGAGATCGTGCCACTGCACTCCAGTCTGGGCAACAGAGCAGGACTCTGTCTCAAAAAAAAAAAAAAAAGAAAGAAAGAAAGAAAAAAATGTCCATAACAGGTGCATGGGCCAAAGACCATGTATTCCCGTACAGTTCTGGAGGCCGGAAGTCTGAGATCAGGATGTTGGCAGGGCTGGCTTCTCCGGAGACCCCTCTCCCGGCCTCATAGACGCCACCTTCTCCCTGTGTGCGCACATCCCCGGTGACTCTCTGCGGGTCCTAATCTCCTCTTTTAAGGGCGTCAGTCAGATTGGATTAGGGCTCACCCCACTGACCTCATTTAAACGTAATCACCGATTTAAAGGCCCTGCCCCCCGCGCCAATACAGTCACATTCTGATGCACCGAGGGTTAGGGCTGCAACATGGGAATTTTGGGGGGACACTGTTCAGCTCATAATAGTAGGGTGCCTATAAAATGGGCTAAAACCATGCCTTCCTATAGGATTCAGTGAGGACCGAGGGAGCTAGAGGTGGAAGTGCTTTGAGCTGGGGGTGGCACAGGGAGGCCCCCTTCATGTGGCCTGTCACGTCTGAGGAGAGGGCGGCTTTTCCATGCCATGCACGGTAACTCGTGTCAACATTCCTCGTGCTGCCCTGTTTAAAATCTATCCGTGTTCCTATGTGTGTATCAGGCTTATTGCTTCCTTCTGCTGCCTGGACCCCCTAATTCATGTTCATCCTGTTGTATTTATTCCCTTAGCGACGGGGGTACCTTGGTTATGTCTGACTCCTGCCTCCACAAACAGCAAATATGCTGGACCCTGCTGCCTTGTACTTCTCCACAATTTCCTGGGGATGCGCAGGAGTGGAATTGCTGTAGGGCAGAGGGGGAGCCATTTTCACCCAACATGCCTTCCAGAAGGGCCACTGCTGTTCACCCTCCCAGCTCTCACATCCTCTCCAGCACCTGAGACGATTTAGTCTTCGAGAATGTCTGGGGTCTCAGTGAGGGTACGTGGTGCAGCATTGTTCTCATGTGCTTTTCTGAGGTGTGAATTTGAGTCTTCTTCCTTTCATAAGTCCTCAGGTGGGGGTCTGAGGCTCAGAGATTTTGAGGGCCATGTTGGAGGGTCACAGAGCAAACTGGGGCTAGACCCCACCAGCTTGGGCTTGGAGGGCCTCCAGCTTGGATGTAGGGCCCTTCATAAATCCAGGATGATCTCATCTTGGGATCCTTAACTTGGTAACATCTGTAGAGACCCTATTTTTAAATAAGGCCACATTCTGAGGTTCTAGGTGGGCATGAATTTGGCAGGGGACATGCTTCAGACCAGCACTATGTGTGCAGGTGCCCAATCCTCAGATCTGCAGAGCTCTGGGTTCAAATCCAGGTCCCATTACTTGGGTCCTGTGGAAACTCACTTTTTTCCTAAAAGCCGATTTCCACCTCTGCACATGGGGCCAATGTTCTTCCATCTCACAAACCAGAAGTCAAGGCCAGGCGCAGTGGCTCATGCCTGTAATCCCAGCACTTAGCGAGGCAGAGGTGGGAGGATCGCCTGAGGCCAGGAGTTCAAGACCAGCCTGGGTAACATAGTAAGACCCCCCCCCCCATCTCCACAGAAAGTAAGAAACAAAAACAAAACAAACTGGAGGCCAAGGAGAGCAGCTGCGGATGGTCACGTGCCTCTCCCTGGGTGTGCCCAGCTCTTACCCAGAAAGCCCTGGCTGGCATTAAAAATAAGGAAGGTAAAATAGGGATATGATCAAACAAATTAAAAGTGTACGGAAAAAGAGTCAGCCTTCTGGAAAGATCACAGCACGACACTGCTCCCCTGGCCCCAGCTGGTCTTTGCTCCAGAGGTGACTTGGGTTAATAGTTCCTTGTTTTTCCTTCCTGCAATAAACATGTTTGCGTCCACAGAGGGGGACCCACACCCGTATCCTTCCCGTCCGTGGCACACGTCCCACAAGGGCACACGGTTCCCATGCTTTTCTGCCTCTTGGCTGGGGCACCTAGGTGGATCTTGGCATCTCTTGTTCCCGCACAGAACCCATCCTCATCCGAGCCCTGGGCCTCTGTCTCCCAGCAGGCTTTGCAAATAGGACCTTGTAAAGGACAGGGCTGTGTTTCCCAAAGGCCAGAGCAGTGAAGAGGGGCATGTGGGGTCGTGGGGCACACCTCTAGGACATTGGGGTCCAGGGGTCCTTTCCAGTAAGACCTTGCTGTGCTGGAAACACCCCTGTGTCTTTCAGGGCTGTTTTCAGAGTCAGGGTTGATGTGACCGCCACGTTTCCTCTGGGCCTGACAGCTGTAATCTGTGGCTTGGGAGTGCAGATAAGTGTGATGAAGCTGCCAGCAGGCCTGGGCATCTGTGTCCTTGGTGGGGGCAGGGAGAAGAGACAGGGACTGGGATGCTGGGGCCAGGGCCAGAGCCCCGCTGAGATATGAGGTCCCCTTCCACCCTGGGAGGTGTGTGGGGAGGAGCTTCCTCGAACCCCTTTAGCTGGGACGGATGGAAGAATGAGCAGCTTTGCATTTCCGGCAGCGTCTCCAGCTTTCCTGGGGCTTTCTCGGCTTGTGTTATTGATGAACTCCAGTGCGTGAGGCCATTGGAGCCTTAGAGGCCTGTTTCCCCTGGACAGGTGACTGCCTGGGCCAGAGGCAGCACTGGCATGGTGCCCTCTTGCTCCTGGCTGGGAGTGACACGGGGCGTGGGGCGCTTTGCATTCATCCCCAGCTGTTTGGGCACATTTACAACCCTCATTTTACAGATGGGACAAACCCCAGTGGAGAATCTGCTCCGGGCAGCTGTTTATGAACCACCTGAATGGGGCACACAGGACTGTGGGAGGAGGAGGAGGGACCCCCAGGGCTGAAGTGGCAGGGAAAGCTACTCATCCTTTCGGCCCATGTTTACTGCTCACAAATTGTGGGCCAGGTCTCGTGCCAAGTGTTGGAGCTACAGCCGTGGACAAAAGAGACCTGGTCCTGCTCACGGCAGCTACGCTTTAGCAGGAGGGATGGGCCATGGAGAAGCACATGGAAGAGGTGGGGTGGCGAGAAGAGCTAGGAAGGGGACGAGGCAGGTGAGCTGACATGGAGCCACTGCTGGGAAGGGGACTCCTTCTGATGTGGGAGTCAGGAGGGCCTCTCAGAGGAGGGGCTCTATGAGCTGGGGAGCAGCTGGCAAAGAGCACAGCAGGTTCAAAGGCCGGAGGTGCGAAGGAGCCTGCTGTGTTGGAGGAAGAGGGAGCAGGCCAGTGGGGTTGGGAGAAGTGACTGGAGGGGGTGAAAGGGGACAGGCATGTGGGGGCCTTGCAGGACACCTGGAGGAGTTCAGATTTGGTTTTCAATTCCATGGAGGGTTCTGAGCAGGGAAGAGCCATGATCTGACTCAGTATTTTTTTTTTTTTTTTTTGAGACAGAGTCTTTCTCTGTCGCCCAGGCTGGAGTGCAGTGGCATGGTATCAGCTCACTGCAACCTCCGCCTCCCGAGTTCAAGCAATTCTCTTTTTTTTTTTTTTTTGAGACGGAGTCTTGCTCTGTTGCCCAGGCGGGGGAGTGCAGTGGCGCAATCTCCGCTCACTGCAAGCTCCGCCTCCCTGGTTCATGCCATTCTCCTGCCTCAGCCTCCCGCGTAGCTGGGACTACAGGCGCCCGCCACCACGCCCGGCTAATTTTTTTGTATTTTTAGTAGATACGGGGTTTCACCGTGTTAGCCAGCATGGTCTCAATCTCCTGACCTCGTGATCCGCCCACCTCGGCCTCCCAAAGTGCTGGGATTACAGGCGTGAGCCACCGCGCCCAGCCTCAAGCAATTTTCTTGCCTCAGCCTTCTGAGTAGCTGGGATTACACGTGCGTGCCACTACACTCGGCTAATTTTTGTATTTTTCGTAAAGATGGTGTTTCACCATGTTGGGCAGGCTGGTCTTGAACCCCTGACCTCAGGTGATCCACCTGCCTTGGCCTCCCAAAGGGCTGGGATTACAGGTGTGAGCCACCACGCCCAGCCTGACTCAGTCTTGAAGAGCTCTCTGGCTGCTGTCTGGAGAAGGGAGTGTCGGGGGCCAGGCTGGAAGCGGGGAGGCAGAGAAGATGGTGATTTGAGCCAGGTGGGGGTAGTTTTCTAAATGGAAAGAAGGGAACATATTCGAGTTTTTTTTCAGGGAGAGTCAACAAGATAGGTCAGTGGACTGGGGTGCGAGGGAAGGAGAGGAATCAAGGGTGGTTCCTCAAGGTTTGAGGAGTTTGGTAGATGGTGGAGCCATTTTCCGAGACGAGAAGATCGGGGGAGGGAGGTTGAGAGCAGATGGAGTGTGGGCCTTAACTCTGGTCCTAAAATCAAGCGAGGACAACTCAACAACAAGAGTCAGACAACCCCATTAAAACACGGACCAAGCACCTGCAAAGAAGACATGCAGGCAGCCAGGCGCGGTGGCTCACGCCTGTAATCCCAGCACTTTGGGAGGCCAAGGTGGGCGGATCACAAGGTCAGGAGTTCGAGGCCAGCCTGGCCAAGATGGCGAAACCCCGTCTCTACTAAAAATACAAAAATTAGCCGGGTGTGGTGGCAGGCGCCTGTATGTAATCCCAGCTACTCAGGAGGCTGAGGCAGGAGAATCGTTTGAACCTGGGAGGTAGAGGTTGCAGTGAGCCAAGACTGTACTCCAGCCTGGGCAACAGAGCAAGACTCTGTCTTAAAAAAAAAAAAAATGCAGATAGCCAACGGGGACATGGAAGTGTGCTCAGCGACACTCGCTCATCGTTAGGGAAATGAGAATCAGTGAGACACACTCATACCCATTAGGATGGTCACTTGAGAAAACAGAAAATCTCAAATATTGGTGAGGATGCGGAGAAATCGGGGCCCATGTGTGCCGTTGGGGTGAGGGTGCGGAGAAATCGGGGCCCATGTGTGCCGTTGGGGTGAGGGTGCGGAGAAATCGGGGCCCATGTGTGCCGTTGGGGTGAGGGTGCGGAGAAATCGGGGCCCATGTGTGCCGTTGGGGTGAGGGTGCGGAGAAATCGGGGCCCATGTGTGCCGTTGGGGTGAGGGTGCGGAGAAATCGGGGCCCATGTGTGCCGTTGGGGTGAGGGTGCGGAGAAATCGGGGCCCATGTGTGCCGTTGGGGTGAGGGTGCGGAGAAATCGGGGCCCATGTGTGCCGTTGGGGTGAGGGTGCGGAGAAATCGGGGCCCATGTGTGCCGTTGGGGTGAGGGTGCGGAGAAATCGGGGCCCATGTGTGCCGTTGGGAATGTAGGATGGTGCAGCTGCTGTGTGGAGGCCCCCCCAAAATTTAACATAGAATTACCATATGGTGGGGCAACCCCACTTCTGGGTATCAAAGAAATGGAAGTGGGAACTTGAAGAGGAATCTGGCCACCGCGTTCATTGCAGCGCTGTTCACGATGGCCCAACGGTGGGAGCAACCCGAGTGTCCGCTGATGGGTGGTGGGTAAGAAGCTGGGGCCCATCCACACGTTGGAATAGGATTCAGCCTGGAAAAGGAAGGACGTTTGGACGCACGCTGCGACATGCACGGGCCTTGAGGAAGTTATGCGAGTGAAATAAGCCACAACAGGACAAATACCGTACGATTCCATTTGCATGAGCTCCCTAGAGTAGCCAGATCCACAGAGACAGAAAAGAGAATGGTGGGTGCCAGGGGCTGGGGGAGAGGGGGTGCAGAGCTCTTTTTCAGTGGGTACAGGGTTTCACTTTTGCAAGATGAAAGAGTTCTTTAGATGGATGTTGCTGATAATTGCACAACATTGCAAATGTCCTTAATGCCACTGAACTGTACACTTAAAAATGGCTAAGTTGGGCTGGGCGTGTAGTGGCTCATGCCTGTAATCCCAGTACTTTTGGAGCCCAAGGTGGGTGGATCACGAGGTCAGGAGTTCAAGACCAGCCTGGCCAAGATGGTGAAACCCCGTCTCTACTAAAAATACAAAAATTAGCCTGGCATGGTGGCAGGCGCCTGTAATCCCAGCTACTTAGGAGGCTGAGGCAGAGAATTTCTTGAACCTGGGAGGCAGAGGTTGCAGTGAGCTGAGATCACACCACTGCACTCCAGCCTGGGTGACAGACCGAGACTCCATCTCAAAAAAAAAAAAAAAAAAGGCTAAGTTGGTAAATTTTATGTTTACCCCAATTAAAATTAAAAACTGTGGCAGGGTTTAACCTGAAGGGAGAAATGGTACCGGCCCCTCCTGCTTGAATGGGTTGGGCTGTTGGTTTGTAGATGGTAGACCAGACGGCCCAGCCTGTTGGCCAGGGTCAAATTCCAACATGCTGAGCCTGTTGCAGAAGACTTAGCCTTTGAAGCAGGCAGCCCTGAGCTTCTGATTCCTCCAGGCCCAAACCACCGTTGCCCTATTTTACAAGACCTTGGCTGGCTTCATGACGTGTTCTTGAACTGGAGCCAGTGGTGAGCTCAGGGAGGCTCCTGTAACAATAGTTCCCTGAGGCATGTTTATAGCCGGGTGCCCTCTTCACAACAGACACATGTCCTGGGTCATCTCATTCTCTCTGCACTGCCACGGGGAGGATGGGGAGGCAGTCACGTCTCCATGTGGCATATCAGGGGACCGGGGTGGGAGGGGCTGACTGAGCCGAGGCCAGAACTAGGTCTGCGCCCTGGCCCTCTCCCTAATGGCCAGATCCGGCCTCACCCGTGAAGCTGGCCTGGCAGGGGATGGCCCTTCCTGAATTTCTGTGTGGTCTAGGCTGGGGTTGGCATGCTTTTCTGTACAGAGACAGATAGTCAATATGCTCAGCTCTGCAGGCTGCACGGGTTGTGTCTCAGCTACTCAGCCCTGCTGCTGTGATGCTGAGGCTGCCATTGACGACACAGAAATAAGTCGAGGTGGCCGCTGTGGGCCAGTGCCACTGCATTTATGAACACCAAAATGTGAATTTCATATAACTTTCACATGTCATGAAATGGCATTTTTCTTTCAATTGTTTGTTTATTTATTTTTAACATATTTTTTGGAGACAGGGTCTCACTGTGTCACCCAGGCTGGGGGGCAGGGGCACCATCATGGCTCACTGCAGCCTAGACCTCCTGGGCTCGTTATCCTCCCACCTTACTCTCCTGAGTAGCTGGGACAACAGGCATGTGCCACCACGCCTGGCTCATTTTTTTTTTTTATAGGTTGGTGGGTGGGTGTGTAGGGGGGGTCCTCACTATGTTGCCCAGGCTCGTCTTGAACTCCTGGCCTCAAGTGACCCTCCCACCTTGGTCTCCCAAAGTGTTGGGATTACAGGCGTGCAGCACTGCACCCAGCTGGCTGACTTTTCTTTTCTTTTCTTTTCTTTTCTTTTCTTTTCTTTTCTTTTCTTTTCTTTTCTTTTCTTTCTTTTTCTTTCCTTTCTTTTCTTTTTTCTCCCTTCCTTCCTTCCTTCCTTCCTTCCTTCCTTTCTTTCTTTCTTTCCTTCTTTCTTTCTTTTCTTTCTTCCCTTTCTTCCCCTCTTTCCCTTCTTTCCATTTGAAAATGCAAAATGATTGTTAGCTTGTGGGGTGAGTAGAAATAGGCATCAGGCTGGATTTGGTCCACAGGCTGTAGCTTGTTGAAACCTTTCTAAGAACAGAGAAGAATAATGTTTTTGCTTGAAAACAGCCAGCTTTATTGAGGTTGGGGTGTTTGAAAGAAGGCATATTCACTGTCTGACTTGTGTGGAAACAGTGGGGCTGGGATCAGCCCTGGTAGAAATTGTTTTTGTCCAAAAAAGCAAGTAGAGGTGGGCTGCCTGGAGTTCCCGTCATGCAGGTGCAACTGGGGAGCAGGATGAGGCCCTGATTTGGCGGGGAAGGAGAGGTTGTGCTTGATTCATCTCTGTGCCCGGGGACCAGGACTGTATGCACCTTCCAGCATTCTCTTCGCTGGTCTGAGCTCCTTACTTGCCACGCCTGTGCTGGGCCTTTACCAAGGCAGTGCCCAGCCTTTGGTCAGACCCAAGGTCAAGACTCTGTGCCAACATTGGGTTTGTGCTCTTGGGCAAGCGAGTGGTTTAATCTCCCTGTACTTCACTTTCTTCATCAGTAAAATGGAGACAAATTATTAGCTTTATTCTATTTTATTTTATTTCATTTTATTTTGAGACAGGGTCTTGCTCTGTCACCCAGGCTGGAGTACAGTGGCACGATCATGGCTCACTGCAGCCTCTATCTCCTGGGCTCAAGGGATCCTCCTGCCTCAGCCTTCCACGTACCTGGGTCTACAGGCATACACTACCACATTTGGCAAATTTTTAAACATTTTTTGTAGAGATGGGGCTCACTGTGTTGCGCAGGCTGGTCTCGAACTCCTGGGCTCCAGTGATCCTCCTGCCCCAGCCTCCCAAAGTGCTGGGATTACAGGTGTGAGCCACCACACCCAGCCTAATTGTTAGGTTTAAATAAATGAAAGCATTGCTTTAAATGGGATGCTTTGAGCTGGAAACAACATAAAACTTGCCTCCAGTGGCTTCTGTAATGCAGATGTTTACTGTTGTGCTTCCTGAGAGATGGGAGGTGGTGGTTTCCAGATGCGTTCAGCAGTTCAGAACATCGTGCTCTGCCTCAGTAGATTTTGCCCAGTGGCTCTCCGAGGTGGCTGTACTGATGGACATTCTGGCCAGTGACACATGCGCGAGACCTCTGGTGCTTGCCAGTGCGTGCCAGTGAATACGTGTGATGTCCCTGAGCTCTTCCTACTGGGTACCTGAGTCACTTGTGAATTGCGTGTCCTCTTCCCCACTTCCTGCTCAGTCCACGAGGGCAGGAATCCTGTTGGATTAACTTTACCCCTGTAGCACTGATCGCCCGCTTTGGATGCTCAGGCAGGGTTGAAATGAATGAATGACTGAGTGAATGAATGAATGAATGAATGCCACGTTCTCATCGTGTGTTACTATAGGACAGGGATTGCAAACTGTGCAGGAACATACATGGGGGAAGGGCCCTGGCATGAGGTGATAGGGAGTGGTGGGGCCCGTTGCAAGCTGGAGGGCACACCCCAACTGTGAAGCGGCTCCTGCTTTGCTCCAGCGGGCTGGGCCACGTGGCATGCAGGCCCAGAGCTGGACATCACCCAGGTTCCCAAAAGAAGCCAGAAGGCAGGAATTTACCTGCTGGTTTAAGATACTGTCAACAGATTCAAATATTTTGAAATATGTGATTCAAAACCCATCTACTGGCAAAATCTGGCCCATGGGCCCAGTTTGTGGCATCTGTTTCAGGAAGAGACAAGACCTAGTTTGTGTTTTTTTTAGTGGGGGCGGGGAGGATGCGGTGTATAAGAAATTTTGAGTGAATTAAAAAAAATTTATGAAAAATTTCAAGGGCTGGGTGCAGTGTCTCACGTTCGTAATCCAGCTCTTTGGGAGGTTGAAGCGGGAGAATTGGTTTAGGCCAGGAGTTTCAGACCAGCCTGGGCAACATAGCGAGACCCCTACAAAAAATAAAATCTACAAAAAATGAAAAAATTAGCTGAGTATGGTGACAGAAGCTGCTGTGGTCCCAGCTACAAGGAGGCTGAGGCAGGAAGATGGTTTGAGCCCAGGAGTTCAAGGCTACAGTGAGCTCGGACTGCACCAGTGCACTCCAGCCAGGGTGACAGAGCAAGACCCTGTCTCTTAAAAAAAAAAAATTCAAACATACATAAAAATAGACCGGTGCGATGGTCACGGGCCCTGTAACTTGCTGAGGAGATACCAAGTCTTGCCTTCTGCACGTGCCTCCATACACTTTCCCCTTTTCCACATTGTTCTGGGGCTCATGTCAGACATTGCCTCATCCGTCAGTGTCTCTAGTATAGCCACGGCACTTCATGGTGCATTGGAGTCTGGACGCTGGAGGGCTCACTAAAACACGGATCACCAGGCCCCAGCCCCTGAGTGTCTGAGTCGGCAGACCTGGCATGGAGCCTGGGAATCTGCTTTTTTATCGAGTTCCCAAGTGATGCTGATGTTGCTGGTTTGGAGACCGCCTTTTTTTTGGGGGGGTGGACAGGGTCTTGCTCTGTTGTGCAGCCTGGAGTGTAGTGGTGCAATCACAGCTCACTGCAGCCTCGACCTTCTGGGCCCAAGCAATCCTCCTGCCTCAGCCTCCCAAGTAGCTGGGACTACAAGTACATGCCACCATGCCTGGCTATTGTAAAAAAATTTTGTTCTAGAGATGAGATCTTGCTATGTTGCCCAGACTGTTGAACTCCTGGGCTCAAGTGATCCTCCTATCTTTGCCTTCCAAAGTGCTGGGATTACAGGCGTGAGCCACCACGCTCAGCCAGGGACCACACTTCAAGAACCACTGCCCGAACAGGTACCTAGTAAACACCACCACAATGATAAAGCAAAAGAAAATCCCCAAGCATGACCACAGTACTATGCTCACACCAAAAGTCGTTCTGTAGGGCAGTAATGAGGTTTGAAAGGTGGACCTGCTCCAGTGTTCAGAAATTGCCCGAGACCTCATGCCTGGAGTGGGAGGCTCTGCCCGGACCCTCAGCCCCTTGTTGGTTGGGCCCCTTTTGGGGGCCTCAGGGGCTGTGGCTCAGGGACCAGCACAAGGGACTGGCACCGGTGACGTCTGTTTCTGGTCCCGGCCCAGCCTGGAAGTTTCTGGGAACCTGAGGACCCTGGAGTGGTTCTGACCTCTGGCTGCCTCCCTGTCCCCCCGTGTGTCCCGTGGGAGCTCACTGGCTTGGGAGGCCTGCTTTTGACAAGACCCCTGGCTCTGGCCTTGCAGGGCCCCTCAGGCCCCTGCTGGCTGTTGCCTGCATTCTTCCTCCCATGTGGCTGAGGATGAAGCTGGCTTAGCCCTTTTCAGGGCGGGCCTCGGTTTGTGTTTCTGGACACCCTCGTGTCACTGGCAGGAGGTCTCGGGAGTCACGAGGAGGCAGTGCAGGCAGCACGGGCACGTCCGCAGCCCAGAGGGCTTGCTTTTCAGATCCCAGCTGCAAGAACAAAGTGCCCCCGCTGAGCTGCTTGAAAGCAGCTGCGGGAGAGTGTCCTGCTCCGCAGATCATTCCCCGGCCCGGGTTTCTCTTAGGACAGCTCAGGCCAAAACACAGCAGGGTTCAAAAGCGGGGGACGTGTGAGCATCCTGGGCGTGGAGCTTCCCATTAAAGAGGACACTGGGCTTCCTGCCGGGTCCACCTTGTTTCTAGCGAAGCCTGCCTTCTGGCCAAGATAGGGCTGTGGGGAGAGGAAGGGGTGCACGGGGCAAATGTCACACTCCCTGGTGCAGGGGTGTTCCCTGGGGTGGAGGGGGCTGTGTGGGAGGATGCTCTGGGGTCTCTGGGTGGGTGTGGCAGGCTGAACAATGTCCCCAAAAGGTGCTGGCGTCCTGATCCCCAGGACCTGTGAATATGTGACCTTCCTCAGCAAAAGTGGCTTTGTAGGCGTGATTAAGTTAAGGATCTTACACCAGGCATGATGGCTCACACCTGTAATCCCAGCACTTTGGGAGGCCAAGGTGGGAGATTTTTGAGCCCAGGAGTTGAAGACCAGCTTGGGCAACATAGTGAGACCCCATCTCTATAAAAAATTTAAAAATTAGCCAGGCGTGGTGGTGTATGCTTGTGGTCCCAGTTATGTGGGAGGCTGAGGAAGGAGGATTGCTTCAGCCCGGGAGTTCGAGGCTGCAGTAAGCCGTGATCACACCACTGCATTCCAGCCTGGCAACAGAGTGAGACCCTGTCTCAAAAAAAAAAAAAAAGTTAAGGATCTTGAGATGGGAGATGAACTTGGATTGTCCCAGGGGCCACAATGCTTTCACAAGGATCTTTGACAGAGGGAGGCAGGAGGGTCAGAGTAGGAGATGTGACCTCAGAAGCAGGGGTTGGAGTGATAAGGGGACAGGAGCCAAGGAATGCGGAGGCCTCTTAGAAGCTGGGAAACGGAAGGCAATGGATTCCCCCTGAGCTCCAGAAGGAAGCACCCTGCCTGCACCGTGACTTTCATCCCATCTCAGGGGCAGTCCCAGTTTGGACTTCTCCCCCCGAGAACTGTAAGATAATAACTTTGTATTGATCTGAGCCAGTGTTAATTGTTAATTCTTACAGCAGCAGTGGGAAGCTAATACAATGAAAATGCTTCCATTAAAGCCAGGTCATTAACATGATAGTATAATCTGGTTTGGGTGGGCTTAAATAAAATATTTAAACTTAAAATAATGTTGTGTTAATATGTGAACTTTTGAAATTGTCAGTGTTTTTACAAAAAGACCTTAATGTTCTGGAAAAAGTATAAATATGGGGTGCACATTTTTTCCTTTTGCTTGAAGCTGTAATATGATTCGGTGAGGCACTGATTTGGCCCTCCCTGTATTGCCGCGACAGAGCCTGCTTGTTTTAAAATAACTTTCTGTTTTAGAACAGTTTTTTTTTTTTTGAGACCAAGTCTCACTCTGTCGCCCAGGCTGGAGTGCAGTGGCACAATCTCGGCTCACTAGAACCTCTGCCTTCCAGGTTCAAGTGATTCTCCTTCCTCAGCCTCCCAAGTAGCTGGGACCACAGGTGCCTGACACCACACCTGGCTAATTTTTGTACTTTTAGTAGAGTCGGGATTTCACTATGTTGGCCAGGCTAGTCTCCAACTCCTGACCTCAAGTGATCCACCTGCCTTGGCCTCCCAAAGTGCTAGGATTCCACAGGTGTGAGCCACCGCGCCCGGCCTAGAACAGTTCAACTTTCAGAAAAATTGGGAAGATAGTGCTGAGTTCCCACATATCCCACAGCCAGTGTCCCCTGCTATTAACATCTTAAAGGAATGGGATACATTTGTTGCTATGAATGAACCAGTGTTGATACATCAGTAATAACTAACATCCAGACAGGATTCACGTTTCCTTCGTTTCTCCTTCGTATCATTTTCTGTCCCAGGACCCAATCCAGGGCCCCACATTGCGTTTGTCCCTCACGTTGCCTTAGGATCCTCTGGTCTCTGTGGGTTCTCAGACTTTCCTGGCTTTGGATGACCTGGATTGCGTTCCTGAGCACCGGCTAGGAATTTTGCAGGACGCCCCTCTGCTGGGATTTGTCTGTTGTTCTTCTATTGATTAGGCCCTAGTTCCGGGTTTTGGAAGGAAGATCGCAGTGACGAAGGGCTGTTCCCAGCACATTATGTCAACATGACCTGTCCCTGCTGCATGGGTCCTATTCTTTATTCCTTGTTACAGGTAAAGAAACAGGCACAGGAAGTTGTATCAGGCGCCTGCTGGTAGGTGGAGGATGGGCAGGGGGTTGAGGGGACAGGGAGTGGACAGAGCCCCTTTGCTGGTAAAGAGGGGACCCCAGACCTCTCACGTCTCTCCAGGGCCCCTGGTGGTCTCCTGGCTGGCCTCGCTGCTCTGCTTCAGAAATCAGATTTGACGGGGCACTGGGACCCTGATTGGGCCTTGGTGGCTGTAGGTGCTCTCTTATTAGCGACACCACTTGAGGGTGTATTGAACATCTGAAGAGTACCCAACCCTGGATCAATAATTTTTTGCTTTAGGCCAGGCGCAGTGGCTCACGTCTGTAATCCCAGCACTTTGGGAGGCCAAGGTGGGCCGATCACCTGAGGTCAGGAGTTGGAGACCTCAGCCTGGCCGACATGGTAAAACCCCATTTCTGTCAAAAATACAAAAATCAGTCCAGGCGCGGTGGCTCATGCCTGTAATCCTAGCACTTTGGGAGGCCGAGGCAGGCAGATCACCTGAGGTCAGGAGTTTGAGACCAGCCTGGCCAATTTGGCAAAACCCCGTCTCTACTTAAAAAAATACAAAAATTAGCCAGGTGTGGTGGCGGGCATCTGTAATCCCAGCTACTTGGGGGGCTGAGGCAGGAGAATTGCTTGAACCCGGGAGGCAGAGGTTGCAGTGAGCCGAGATCGCGCCACTGCACTCCAGCCTGGGTGACAGAGCAAAACTCCGTCTAAAAAAAAAAAAAAATCAGCTGGGCATGGTGGCGTATGCCTGTAGTCCCAGCTATTCTGGAGGCTGAGGCAGGAGAATTGCTTGAACCTGGGAGGTGGAGGTTGCAGTGAGCTGAGATCACACCACTGCACTCCAGCCTGGGCGACAGAGTGAGACTCTGTCTGAAAAAAGAAAAAATTTTTTTTGCTTTAATTTTTTTCTTTTTAAAAATTGAAGTATCAAATGCATTAAGAAAAGTGCACAATTTCGGTTAGAGGTTGATGGATTTTCACCTAGGTATGCACGCTTGTAATGACCCCCTATACCAAGTGTAAACGCCTCCCCCGCACCCCTCCCTGTCAGTATCCACCCCTGAGGTCCTGCTGCCCCCACCTCTATCCCCATGGATTGGTTTTGCCATTCCCCGGGACGTCACTTATATGGACTCATGCACGTGGTCCCTGTGTGTGATTTACCCTGTCATTGTGTGTCTCAATTGGTCATTCCCTTTTGTCTCTGGGTAGCATTCCATGGTATGAGTGTGTCCCCATTTGTCATGCATTCACTTGCTTGTAGACATTTGTGTTGTTTCCAGTTTTGGGCTGTTATGGGTACGGCTGCTATGAGCATTTGTGGATAATCTTTGTGTGGGTGCATGCTTTCATTTTTCTGGGACAAATACTGGGGGTGGGATTGCTATATTGTAGGGTGAACGTCCAGCTTTGGTAGAAAAAGTATATTCCACAGTGACTGCACTAATGCACTTCCACCAGCAATGTGTGAGCACTCTGGCTGCTCCACATCCTCACCAGCACTTGTTATTGTCAGTCTTTTTCATTGTAGCCATTCTGGTGTATGGCATGGGATCTCACTGTGAGTCCAGTGGACATTTCTCTGATGACTAAGCCACCCAGGGCTGGTGGGTGGCTCCAGGAAGTCACAGGAATCCTTTCTCCTATCTCCTATTCTGCTCCGCCCTTCTTCATGTGTGGCTTTCATTCTTAAGGGTGCCTCATGATCCAAGATGGCTGCTCTAGCTCCATCCATTGTGACTGAATTCCGGGCAGCAGGAAGGGGGACTTATCAACAACTACATAGAAATTTCAGATATTGATAATGTCAGGGAGATAAAACAGGGTGATGAATATAATGTGATGGGGGAAGGGCTGCTTTAGGAAGAATGGTATTTTCATCCATTTTGTTCACTATTGAAGTGCCCAGGCCTAGAGCAGAGCCTGCCATACAGTGGGGCTCAATAGAGATGGTTAAGGGATTGAAAATTGCTCAGGGAAGGTCTCACGGAGAAAGTGACTTTAGACTTGAGAAGTGAGGGGCTCACTTTTGTGGGCATCAGGGGAAAGATTGCCCCTGGAGGAGCAAAGAGTCAGTGCAAAGGCCCTGTGGCAGAAACTTGCCTGGTGGCTCAGGAGCACAGCAAGGCCAGTGTGGCTGGAGCAGAGTGAGCGAGGCAGATAGGAATGGGGGAGGAGACTGGAGTGACTATAGGGAGCTGGGTTGTGCAAGACCTCATAGGTCACTGTCAGGAATTTAGATTCTATTCTGAGATAAATAGGGAGGCATGGGGGAGGTTTGAGCAGAATGACATGCTCTGACTTTAATCTTAAAAGGATAACTTGGATTCTGTGGGGAGAACGGGGCGGGGGGCAAGAGCAGAGGCAGGAAAACAGCGGGGAAACTACGGCACCCATCCATACAAGCCAGGATGGGGGCCAGGATGGTGTTGGAGAGAAGTGGATGGATTTGAGGCATGCTTTAAAGCGAGAGCAGCCCAGCCTTGCTGATGGAGGGTGCTAGGTGGGAGGAAAATGGAGGACTCAGGAATGACTCAACCTCTTCGCTTAAGCAACTTACAAGCGTGGGTTTCTTGTAAAAACCTTTTATTTTAGTCTTCTTACCTTAGTCCTTTAAAAATCAAAAGAAGTTGGAACATGAGCCAAGGGTGTGGTGTTCCCAAGTCCCAGATTGGATTAGCCTGTGTCGTAGTTGTTCCTGCATCTTAAGGCCCCATGGAGCTGGGGATGCCTGGAGCCCTGGGATTGAGAGTGTAGTCAGCCACTGACTGCTGGTCCAGAGTGGGCAGGGCCTGGCCTTGTCCCAGAACTAGGCTTCGTCTGGGCAAATTGGCTTCTTGGCTCATTTGGTCAGAGGTGTGTTTCTTGGAAGCCTGTTTTCTCTTCTCATAGGAGGAGGAATTAGACCTTGCAATTCAGTGGCCAGGTCAAGTTAATGATTCATTTGTGAAGCTCCCGTGCAAGGAGCCCAGCGGGGATGGCCTAGGAGAGAAGCGTGAGGGCACAGGCCTAGACGTGGATACGGAGCCTGGGGCTCTGTCTCTCCCTGCTCCTGTGACCTTGGTCAGGCATTTGGCTTTGGAGCCTCAGTGTCTGCTTCGATGAGATGAGCCATTGAGAATTTAAGAGGTGAAGTAGGTGGAAGTGTTTCGCTACCTGAACAGGGCCGGGCAGATCGTCCAGACGATTCTGCTCCCCTGGTGTCTGAGGGCAGGGGCGTCTCAGGGCAGGGGCCCCATCGTGTTCATCCCTGTGTCTTTAAATTCCTAGCATAGCATCTAGCATGGGGCGGATGATTGTACAGGGCATGAACTGCAATCCCAATGAGGTCAGAGCAGCCTCACTGTAGGCCGAGGTCGTTCCAGTGGGCTTCATGGAGGAGGTGGCACCTGGGCGAGCGGGGTGTTAGGTTTGGAGGTCAGGGGCCTCTCCAGGTGCAGGGGAGAGTGCTGTGGGTGGTAGGAAGAGAATGCTAAAAATTAATGTCTATGAAATCTTCATCTCATCCATCACACATTTACCGAGTTGTTGCCCCGGCCTAAACAGGCGGTACTCTCTGTGTATTTAAAAAAAAAAAAATCCCTTCTTAAGTATGAGCTGTTTAAAACACACAAAGGAGGACTAGCGTTACCACCCGCTAGACATTTCCACGTTGATTATATGGTTTCAGGTCTCACTTTTGCTCATTCACCCAGAAAATATTTACAGAGCTCCTGCAAGGTGCCAAGAGCTGTCCCAGGCCCTGAGGACAGACACATCGCCAAACAAAGCAGCTGAGGATCTTGCCCTTGTGGGTTTATGGCCAGGCAGGTGATACAGATGGACAGCAATAAACCTGATAAGCTAATTATACCGTGTGCTCGAAGGCCACAAGCAGCATGGAAACAACACGGCAGGTCGGGAGGTCAGGAGTTTTAGGGGCAGGTTGGATGAGCCTTCTGAGAAGGGGGCATGTAAGCAGAGATTCGAAGGGGTGAGGGATTTGACCACGTGTTTAGGAGGAAGCAGTGGGTGCAAAGGCCCTGGGGCAGGAGCGTGGCCTCTTGGACAGGATAGCAAGGAGGCTGTGGGGCTGGGCTGAGTAACAGACAGTGGTTGTGGAATGAGACCACCGCTTCTGCTGTTGTCCTTCCCAGCTTCTCCCCAGCCTCCCCTTTTCCCTAGTTTATAAGACAGGAGAAAAGGGAGAAAGCAAAAAGATGGAAAGAAACAGAAGTAAGATAAATAGCTAGACGACCTTGGCGCCACCACCTGGCCCTGGTGGTTAAAATAATAATAATAATAATAATATTAACCCCTGACCAAAACTACTGGTGTTATCTGTAAATTCCAGACGTTGTATGAGAAAGCACTGTAAAACTTTTTGTTCTGTTAGCTGATGTATGTAGCCCCCAGTCACGTTCCTCACACTTACTCGATCTATTATGACCCTTTCACATGGACCCCTTAGAGTTGTAAGCCCTTAAAAGGGCTAGGAATTTCTTTTTCGGGGAGCTCGGCTCTTAAGACGCGAGTCTGCCGATGCTCCCGGCCGAATAAAAACCTCTTCCTTCTTTAATCCGGTGTCTGAGGAGTTTTGTCTGTGACTTGTCCTGCTACAGTTGGATGTGGGGCCAGAGAGAACACAGGGGCCAGACCAGGCAGAGGGGCTTGTAGGCCAATGTTCGGACGGTGGCTCGTATGTTATTTTCAAGAAATAACATGTTCACAATGACAGTTAAAGCTTTCCCCACATCCCCAGCCCCCAGCCCTCTCCTGAGATTGTTTGCAGGTATCATTTCCCTGAATGTTTTTCTACATTTCCACATGGGTTTGTCTTCAGAAAGAATATAGAGTATTATTTCATGTGTTTGGAAAATTCACATCAAGAGGCCCATGTCAATTGTTTCTTTCTTTAGCCTTTTCTTCACTCAAGATTTTTTTTTCTTTAAAAATAAAAATTGAGGCCAGGTGCAGTGGCTGACACCTATAATCCCAGCACTTTGGGAGGCTGAAGCGAGTGGATCTCTTGAGCTCAGGAGTTCAAGACCAGCCTGGGCAACATAGTGAGACCTTGTCTCTACTAAAAGCAAAAAAATAAAAAAATAAAAAAATAGCCGGGCGTGGTGGTATGTGCCTTGTAGTCCCAGCTACTCAGGAGGCTGAGGTGAGAGGATTGCTTGATCTGGGGAGATCGGGAAGTCAAGGCTTTCCAGCCTGGGCAACTGAGCGAGACTCTGTTTCAAAATAAATAAATAATAAAAATTATGTATATTTAAGGCATCCAAATGCTGTTTTGCTATATACACACACATAGTGAAATGATTACTACAGTTAAGCAGATTAACATATGTATCTCCTCATATAGTCACCTCTTTTTTTTTTTTTTTTTTTGAGACAGGGTCTCGCTCTGTCACCCAGGCTAGAGTGCAGTGGGGTGATCACGGTTCACTGCAGCCTTGAACTCTCAGGCTCAAGTGATCCTCCCACTTAAGCCTCCTGAGTAGCTGGGACCATAGGTGCGCGCCACTGTGCCTGGCTAATTTTTGTATTTTTTATAGAGATGGGCTCCCTATGTTGCCCAGGTTGTTCTCAAACTCCTGACCTCAAGCGATCCTCCCACCTCGGCCTCCCAAAGTGCTGGGATTACAGGCATGAGTCCCGGCCACCTCTTTGTTTTTAGTGGTGAGAGCACCTGAAATCTGCTTCCAGTATACAGTACAGTATTAATCACAGTCCTCGTGTTGTGCATGCAACCTCCAGACCACCCATCCCACATGACTGCAGCTTTGCGCCCTGTGACCTGCATCTCCCCACCTCCCCAGCCTCCGCCCCGTAAGCACCATTCAACTCTCTGTGTATTCAATGTCTTCAGATTCCTCACCTCTAAAAGACAAATCTGGAAGTATTTGTCCTGCAGTATTTGTCCTTCTGTCAAGATTCTGCCTTTGAGATATCTGCAAGTCGATGGCGTTTACTCACTGTGCAGCCACCGTGTGCAGAAGCCCAGCTTATCTTTGACTGAGAACCTGGCTGGGCTCTCTGTTGTTTTTCAAGGCAGGGTCTCGCTCTGTCACCCAGGTTGGAGTGCAATGGTGTGATCTCGGCTCACTGCAACCTCCGCCTCCTGGGCTCAAGCGATTCTCCCACCTCAGCCTCCCGAGTAGCTGGGACTACAGGTGCATGTCACCGTGCTTGGGTAATTTTTGTAGTTTTAGTAGAGACGGGGTTGCACCATGTTGGCCCGGCTGGTCTGGAACTCCTGACCTCAAGTGATCCACCCGCCTCGGCCTCCCAAAGTGTTGGGATCACAGGCGTGAGCCCCCGTGCCTGGCCCTCTGTTCTTTTTTTGAGGTCTGACAATTCTTCTGGCGCTTTCTTGCACACTTAGGAGAATCTTTCTAGGGCAGAGTTTTCAAACTGTCAGATGTGATCAGATTGTGGGTTGTGAAATAAGTGGGGTGGGTGGGGATCAGCTTTTTTTTTTTTTTTTTTTTTTTGAGATGGAGTCTCGCTCTGTTGCCCAGGCTGGAGTGCAGTGGCGCAATTTTGGCTCGCTGCAACCTCCGCCTCCTGGATTCAAGCGATTCTCCTGCCTCAGCCACCCGAGTAGCTGGGACTACAGGCATCTGCCACCACGCCTGGCTAATTTTTTTGTATTGTTAGTAGAGACAGGGTTTCACTGTGTTGGCCAGGATGATCTCGATCTCCTGACCTCATGATTTGCCCGCCCCAGCCTCCCAAAGTGCTGGGATTACAGGCGTGAGCCACTGCACCTGGCCTGGGATCAGCATTTTAAAAACAGAATGGAATAGGATAGAATACCAGAGGGGCGAATAATGGAGTCATAACGTAAGTTGCATCATGCTGGGAAGGTGCGTATTCCCTCATGAGGCTTCTGGTGGGTGTGCAGGTCGTGGCCCTAGCCTGGCAGGAGCTGGGAAGCTGGTGCTCTGCACCATGTCTGAACAGGGAACCCACAGACCATGGGGCTTTGCTCACACCTGACCCGATTAGAAACTGTCCCGACTCCCCAGTGGCCTGACCCCCGCTGTGCACAGCGGTCCTGTTTCCAAACATCTTTGCCTGTAGTTGTTTTCTTGGATGTCCTAATTTTTGCTCATCTACTGGGAAATGATATCTCATTTTAATTTGGAGTTAATCTTTCTTTTTGAAATTGTGATTAAGATCCAGTTAACGTAAAATTCACCAAAACCATTTACAAATGTACAGTTTAGTGGCATTTAGTGCGTTCGCAAGGTTGCGCAATCGTTACCACGATCTAGTTCCAAAGCATTCTCATTACCGTGTACCCATTAAGCAGTCACCCACCATTCCTTTCTGCCCCAGCCCCTGGCAACCACCAATCTGCTGTCTCTGGATTTGCCTATTCTGGGCATTTCGTAAGTGTGGTCAGACACTAAGTGTGGCCTTTTGACTGGCTTCTTTCACTCCATGTCAGGTTTTTGAGGTTTGTCCATGTGGTGGCATGTGTCAGTGTTGCATTCCTTTCTTTTTCTTTCTTTCTTTCTCTTTTTTTTTTTTTTTTGAGATGAAATCTCGGTCTGTTACCCAGGCTGGAGTGCAGCGGCGCGATCTCGGCTCTCACTGCAACCTCCGCCTCCCGGGTTCAAGCGATTCTCCTGCCTCAGCCTCCCGAGTAGCTGGGAATACAGTTGGCTGCCACCATGCCCAGCTAATTTTTGTATATATTTTTTTTTTAATAGAGGCGGGGTTTCACCATGTTGGCCAGGCTGGTCTTGAACTCCTGACCTCAGGTGATCCACTTGCCTCAGCCTCCCAAAGTGCTGGGATTACAGATGTGAGCCACCACACCTGGCCGCATTCCTTTCTTTAAAATTATTTTTTTTGGCTCTTTAAATACATTTCTTTTTTACGCAGTAGTAAAGAGCCAACCCATGCATTCCTTTTTCTAAGTGAGTCAGATGCCGCTGTCTGGACAGACCACACTGCGTTCAGCCATTCATCTGTTGACGGACTCTTGGGTCGTTTTCGCCCATTGCGAACAGTGCTGCTGTGCACATTCTTGTACGTGTTGTTTTTTACACCCATTTTCAGTTCTTCTTGGGTCTGTTCTGGGGAGTGGAGTTGCAGGGTCATACGGTAACTTTGCGTTTGATCGTTTGAGGAACGGTCAGACTGGTTTCCACAGTGGCTGTTCCACGTTACACTTCTGCCGGCAATGCATAAAGGTTCCAGTTCCCACACCCTTGCCAACACTTGCTATTTTCCATGAAAAAAAATTCTAGCCATCCTGGTGGGTGAGAAGTGGTGGCCCATTGTGACTTTGATTTGCATTTCCCTGATGATGTCAAGCACCTTTTCATGAGCTTGTTGGCTATTTGTGTATTTTCTTTGGAGCAAGGTCTTTTCAAGTCGTTTGCCCATTTGCAGTTAATCTTTTATTTTTAAAATTTCACATTATAGTTTCAAAAGGGTTTTAGTGAAGTGTAGCACACGTATAGAAAAGCCCACATATAAAGGGAATAACACCATACATTTTTCAGTGAACATAGTCCCGGGTAACCAGCAACCAGATCAGGAAACAGAATTTTCACCCGCTTATCCCCCAACCTCCCAGGTGACCCCTGTTCTGGTTTCTATTGATATGTTAGTCTTGCCTGTTTTAGAACGTCACATAAATGGGATTATATGTGTATGCACATATCTGCCTTTTGATCAACATGATTGCATTATATTTTAAAGGTAGTAATAGTATTCATTTTTAAATTTTTTTTTACTTAAAATATTCTGGAGATTGTTCCATAGCGGTAAATATAGCATGTCATGGGTGGTGGTGTTGCTGTTGTTTTTTTCAGACAGGGTCTTGCTTTGTGGCCCAGACTGGAGTGCAGGCACATGATCACGGCTCACTGCAGCCTTGAACTCCTGGGCTCAAGTGATCCTCCCAGCTCAGTCTCCTGAGTAGCTGGGACCACAGGTGTGCGCCACCATGCCCGGCTAATATTTTTTGTATTTTTAGTAGAGACACGGTTTCACCATGTTGCCCAGGCTGGTCTTGAACTCCTGGCTTCAAGAAATTCTCCTGGCTTGGCCTCCCAAAGTCCTTGGATTACAGGCGTGAGCCACCATGCCTGGCCTAATTTGATGAGTTGCATCAGATGTATACACTTCACCTATATGGCAACCAAAATCAAGATAGCTGGGCCAGTTCACGTTAGTCCCCTCCCTCCATCCCGGTCCCCGGCAGCCACTGGTCTGGCTTCTCTCTCTAGAGTATTCCCTTTCCCCGATGTCGCGGAAATGGTGTTGTGTAGTATGATTCTTCTTTTCTTTTTTTTGCTTGGGGTAGTGCTTCTGAGGCTCACCTGTGTTGTGGTGTTCATCCATGGTTGGTTCTTTTTGATTGCCAGGTAGCATTCCATTGTGTGGATATGTGGCAATTCATTTATCTGTTGATGGATATTTGAGTTGTTTCCAACTATCAAATATGGATATATCATTCCATATTTGTTTTTGGTGAACATTCAGGCAAGTCACGCTCTTAAAGGCTTCCCAGCCTTTGCACAGGCTGTGTCCTCTGCCAGGCACTCCTCCACCATCTTCTTTTCCTAGCAAAGCCCAGCTTATTTTAAAATTCCCAGCTCAGATGTCCCCTCCTCCAGGCAGCCTTCCTGGGCTCAAAGGGTCTATTTCGCCAGATGGGAGGGAGTGGCGTCCAACAAGGGCTCACCTTGGCATTCTATCCCAACTCTGTGTTCCAGGGCCATGGTCTTTGACCTTGGGGGTGGTGGGGACAGAATCATAGAATCAGCCATGTTAGGCAAAAGGCCACAGTGTCCCCACCACTGTTATCTAATCAGCTGCCTGGTCTAGTGTGGTGGAAAAAAGTCATCCTGCTGATCAAAAGCAGGGCAAAGTCCATCCCTTAACCCGGGTGGAGGTGGGGCAGAGGAGGAAGGGTCACTTAATGACTGCAGGGCTGACCCTCTGGTGCCCGGGGTCTTCAGACCTTGTTCTAAGCACTTTACCTCCATGGACTCATTCAAACCTCACAGCAGCCCATGAGGCGACACTCTCCTTACGCCCATTGTATGGTTGAGGAAACTGAGACTCGGAGAAGGTCAGTGACCCATCCCTGATCACCCAGTTGGACAGGGCTGCGCTGGGTCTCTGAAGATTCCCTTTGGGCAGTGCTGAATGAATGGGCTGAAACCCAGGGCCTGAAAGCCTCTTCTTTGGGGAGAGAGAGAGAGAGAGAGAGATTGAGACATGGACACGCGGCCGGATCCCATGACTTCTTGGTTTAGCCCTGATTCATCTTCAGAACCAGGCCAAGCGGCCAGGGGAGGAGGAAAGCATGGTGAGATTCCAAAGGAGAAAGGTATCTCCAGCCCAGCAGCCTCTGCTGAGAAACCAGGTGGGAGAGGGAGGCTGCAAAGGGAAATTGAGGCTGCGTGTGTGTGTGTGCGCGTGTGTGTGCGTGTGTGTGTGTGTGTGTGTGTGAGATGGAGTCTCGTTCTGTTGCCCAGGCTGGAGTGCAGTGGTGTGATCACAGATTGCTGCAACCTCTGCTTCCTGGGCTCAAGTCATCCTCCCACCTCAGCCTCCCAAGCGGCTGGGACTATAGGCACCTGCCACCACGGATGGCTGATTTTTCTATTTTTTGTAGAGATGGAGTCTCCATGCTCAGGCTGGTCTTGAACTCCTGTGCTCAAGTGATCTGCCTGCCTCGGCCCCTCAAAGTGCTGGGATTACAGGTGTGAGCCACCGCACTGGGCCTTGTTTTGCTTTTTTAAAAAAGCAGCTTTATTAAGGTGTGATTGATATAAAACAATGGCACATATTTAATATATGCAGTTTGATGGGCTGGTGTGTGCACACCGGGAAACCCGCCCCTGAGATCCAGGTGCTGAACATACCTGTCACCTCTACGGTTCCCTCCTGCCCCCCACTGTTTTCTGTGGTGAGAACATATAGTTCGTGCTCTACTCCCCGAACACATTTTCCAGGGTTCTGGGTTTTGATGCTGTGTTTTCTATGGGGGGAGCACCAGCAGCTGGATGTGTCCCCCAGGCTGGTGAAGGGGTCTGGCCTGTGGTGAGCAGGGTCCCCAGGGCTGCAGGGTCTGTCCCAGACAGAGGGACCTGCAGTGCATGGGCTTTGAGGCTGGGTGAAGGCCAGGACTGAAGGAAGGGCTGGGCGATCGGGGCCTGAGAGCTGGGAGGGGCTGGAGCTGGTGCCTGTGGGCTGTGGTCGCATGGGGTGGTGGGAGCCGCCATGGGGTGGGGAGGGCGTTACCGAGGGGGCAGGACTGCTCTTTGATCCAGCTCACATACCACCTCCCCCAGGAAGACCTCCCGGACTCCTCAGTGCCCTCCAACTATTGGTTGAATCTCTCTCCAGCCTTAGTTGTGCCTCAGTTTCCTAATCTGTAACATGGGGGTAATAATAGTGGAGGTGGCTGCCTCAAAGAGTAATGGTGCTGTTCAGAGGATGAGAACACAGTGAACAGCATCACCAGGCTCATGGCGCACCCCGGAAATGCTCGCTTCTGTTACCTCATTAATATTCAGTTTATGCGCCTTCGTTTGCACCTATGGGCTGCTCAGACCATAAGGTGATCCTTCTGGTGCTGGCAGCTGGGTAGGAAGACACGTTTATCAATAAACAATTATGGCACTTGAAGGCCAGTCTCTGATCTCCTGATTTTTCCAAGAGAACTCTGAAATCCAGATTTTACATTACATCTTCCAGTTTCTTGACAAAGAATTCAGCTTCTTCATTGACACGCCACGTAGGTCAAACTAGACACAGTTGTAGCTACAGTGTCACTAGCTCCTTCGTACAGATGAGAAACTTGAGGTTCACAGGGGCTGACTTGCCCAAGTGGCCCCGTGGAGTGCGACCCAGGGTCTGGCTGCCTCCAAATCTGCTCCTTCCGGGGGACATGGGGCTGGCCCTGACTGGCCAGCTCAGCTGTCTGCCTCCTGTAGAGCCTCTGCCTGTTGGTTCTGGCTGTCCTTGTCTTAGAAGGCCATGTTCAAAAGAGGGTGGAAGGTGACGCAGCTGCCTGGCTTTGCGACATCAGCTCTAGTCTAATGGGCTGGGTCACTCCTGCCGGGCTCTGACGTGGTGTGGGCACTGAGGGGCCCGAGATATGTCCCGGCTGGGTTGAGGGTGGGGGTCAGGTGGACTAGGGGGGACCTCCCTGTGACACTGGGGCAGCGAATTATAGATCTAGAGGAGGAAAGCTGGCAGAGGAGTCCAAGTGGACCCCAGGCGTGTTTCCTATAGTCCCTTTAAGAAAACCATGTTTTTGCAACATTTTTAAATCAGGAGATTTCATATACATTTCTTTATTTCTGGTTTTCATGGAAAACTTCTGTGTTCTCATCTTCCGACTGGCTCACTCAGCCACACAGGGAGGCTCTCTCCCAGCGTCTCCCTACCACAGGGCCTTTGCACAGGCTGTGGTTGCTGTGGAATGTCCCCTGCGCCTCACCTTCTAGATTTGTGAGCTCCCTTCCTCACTGCCTTCTGTTTTGATTTTGGGTCTAGGTTGTGTTTGTGTGTGTTCTTTTTCTTTCTTTCTTTTCTTTTTTTTTTTTTTATGAGACAGGGTGTTGCTTGGACACCCAGGCTGGAGTACAAATGGCGCCATTACAGCTCACTGCAGCCTCGACCTCCTTGGCTCAAGTGACCCTCCCATCTCAGCCTCCCAAGTAGCTGGGACTACAGGTGTGCAGCACCATGCCCAGCTACTTTTTAAAAAATTATTTTTTATAGGCCAGGCACAGTGGCTCATGCCTGTAATCCTGGCACTTTGGGAGGCCAAGGCAGACGGATCACTTGAGGTCAGGAGACCAGCCTGGCCAACGTGGTGAAACCCCACTTCTACTAAAACAAAAACAAAAACTAAAACAAAAATTAACCAGGTATGGTGGTGGGTGCCTGTAGTCCCAGCTACTCGGGAGGCTGAGGGAGGAGAACTGCTTGAACCCGGAATATGGAGGTTTCGGTGAGCCGAGATCGCGCCACTGCAGTCCAACCTGGGCCACAGAGCAAGACTCCCTCTCAAAAAAATAAAATAAAATAAAAATACAAAAATTAGCCAGGCGTGATGGTGGGGGCCTGTAGTCCCAGCTACTCAGGAGGCTAAGGCAGGAGAATCGCTTGAACACAGAAGCAGAGGTTGCAGTTAGCCAAGATCATGCCACTGCACTCCAGCCTGGGCAACAGAGTGAGACTCCATCTCAAAAAATAAATAAATAAATAAAATTATTCTTTATAGAGACAGGGTCTTGCTATGTTGCCCAGGCTGGTCTCAAACTCTTGGGCTCTGGTGATCCTCCTACCTCGGCCTCCCAAAGTTCTGGGATTACAGGCATGAGCCATGGTGCCTGGCCTATATTTCACTTACGTGATGACTGTCTCAAATCCCAGTCTCTCCCCAATCCCTGCTGTGTTTTCTCTGTGCTCTGTCACGTGGCATGCGTTTTACCTGAGTTGTTTGGTGCCTGCCTTTCCTCCGCTATGGTAAAGCCCCACATAGCTGGGCTTTTGGTCTGTCCTGGTCATTCTCCCATCCCCAGCTCTTAGAACCCGCCTGGCAGGTGGTAGTGCTCAGTGCTTGCTTGTGGAATGAATGAATGATCCCCCTGGCCACACGGAGCCCATGTTCCTGCATGAGGCTATCCCTGCCCTGAGCCCATCCGCTACCCTGAGCTCCGGCGCTCCCTTTAGGTGGTGCATGGGCCCCTGTTTACCACAGTCCCTTGACTGGTGTCACCTGTTGCTGTTAGGACATATTTTAAGATGCATTATGACAGCATGGATAGGTTGCCTGTTTAATTCCATAAGCTCCAGGTGCGACAGCCTCATGTGCGAAGGGCTTTCCCACCACCTCCTATCCCAAGCTCCCGCCGAGGAGCCCCTTCCCTGGCCGGGCTCGGGCAGCTGTTCCGGAGCCTTGTGGTGGGGCGTGGGGCCCTCATCACTCTCCTCACAAGCGTACTTGTCCCTTCCCCTGCAGAACGTGCGCATCGACCCCAGTAGCCTGTCCTTCAACATGTGGAAGGAGATCCCTATCCCCTTCTATCTCTCCGTCTACTTCTTTGACGTCATGAACCCCAGCGAGATCCTGAAGGGCGAGAAGCCGCAGGTGCGGGAGCGCGGGCCCTACGTGTACAGGTGAGGCTGTGTCCAGGTGAGGGTGGAGGGGCCGGCTGAGGCTGGGCAGGGGAGGGGTCTCAGAGTGGACGGGATGGGGAGGCTGCTGACTGAGCCCCAGAGATTGTTCCGGAAGCAGGCAAGTCATAGTCGGGGTAAGTGCTAGTCCCAGAGAAGTTTTTGTTTTAGGGTTTTTTTTTTTTTTTTTTTTTTTTTTAGAGATGGGATCTTGCTATGTTGCCCAGGCTGGTTTTGAAGTCCTGGGCTCAAGCGATCCTCCGCCTCAGCCTCTCAAAGTGCTGGGATTACAGGTGCGAATCACCAGACGTTGCCTAGAGAGGTTCTTTATGGAGCAGGGAGGGACCAATGGTGTGCGTCTGGGTGGAGGGTGCATGTGTGAGTTACACACATACATACACACACATACACATACACATACACACATACATACATACACACGTACATACACATACACACACACATACATACACACACATGTACCTACACATGCATACACACATACACACACACACACACACACACACACACATGCATGACCAGGAGCAGGGACCGACCCCCCAGACCCTATCTGGGCCAGAGGACCGGGTGGGTCAGCACGGGAAGGGGTCAGCTGTTTGTGGAACATGCTGGCCCAAGGACCACAGAGTTGTGCCTTTGCTTTCTGCTTGTCCTGTACCTGGCTGTGGCCTAGGGGAAGTGACTTCATTCCTCTGAGCCTCAGTTTGCCCGTCTGCAGACTGGAGAGACACAAGAGCCCCTTCATGGGGTCACCGGGACACTCAGGATGCACTCGGAGCTCTGAGACGGCTGGCGGATGTGCCTGTTACAACTCCCTTACCTCCTGGCGTTTTCACAGCACCTCCCCTCCTCCACACCCCCACTTCCCAGTTCACAGACAGGGGAGCTGACTTGCCCCCGGCACACGGTGTTCCAGGGATGGGGCGGGCAGAGGGTGTTCCCGCTGTTGGAGACCCACAGTCTGGTTCTGGGAAAGCCAAGATGAAAACCCAGCAAATGTGCCTGAGGTTTGGGAATGGGAAACATGAATCAGCTGCTGCATTCCGTTCACTCATTCACTCATTCGCTCGTTCATTTAACAAATGTTTACTGAGCACCTGCTAGGTGTTGGCTGCCGTTCTAAGTACAGGGGACCCAGCAGTGGACAGAATGGGCAAAAATGCCAAAGCTCTCTATACTCCTTCATTCTGTGAGCACTGACTGAGCACCTCCTGTGTGCTGGGGGCGCAGGCAGACCAAGGCCCTGCCTCACCAAGCTGATGTTCTGATGGGGAGAGAGTAAAGAAGTGGACAAATAAGGGGAAATCAGGCAGCCATCAGTATTGTGCAGACAAAACAGTGTGAAGCCGGAGTGCAGGAGGGAGGGTGGCCTTGGGGCTCGGTCTGACTGGAGGGTCGGGAGCACATCTGCAAAGGGACACTCACTGGACCCGCATGGTGGGAAGAGGCCCTGGGGAGACAGAGTCCCGGGCAGAGCATGTGCAAAGGTCTGAAGGCTGGGACAGAGGCCTGTGCGGCTGGGGTTACGAGGGAGGGAGACAGTGGAGAGACGAGGCCTGAGCCTTGCTGAGGGCCTCAGAGGTCACGTTAGGAGCCTGATTTTAACCTGCATGCAAAGTGGGGTTGTGGTCCAGAGCATGGCACGATCTGATTTCTACTTTTTTTTTTGAGACGGAGTCTCTCTTTCACCCAGGTTGGAGTGCGGTGGCGCGATCTCGGCTCACTGCAACGTCCGCCCCCCAGGTTCAAGCGATTCTCCTGCCTCAGCCTCCCGAGTAGCTGGGATTACAGGCATCTGCCACCATGCCCAGCTAATTTTTGTATTTTTAGTAGAGACGTGGTTTCGCCATGTTGGGCAGGATGGTCTTGAACTCCTGACATCAGGTGATCTGCCCACCTCAGCCTCCCAAAGTGCTGGGTTTACAGGCATGAGCCACTGCTCCCGACCTGATTTCCACTTTTCAAAGATTCTTCTGGATGGTGGAGAGTGGCTTGGAGAGATGAGAGATCATAAGGACAGCAGCAGCAACAGTCACAGCAGCTGATGTTTACCTCGTGCTTTCTCTGCACCCGGCGGCTGTGTTGATTGCTTTCTGGGTATCTGATTGCTTAATCCCCACAGCTGCCCTGTGAAGTAGGGCTTGTGATTACTTCCTTTTGTAGATGGAGAGACGATGGCCGTGTTGGGTGGGGGAGAGCAGAACGAGGCCGGGTGGGCGGCGACACCATGTCCTGCAGTGGGCAGGCGGCGGGAGGGACAGACTTGGCGAAGGGGCCGAGCTCAGCTTTGGCTGTGGGGCCGGAGGTGTGCACAGACGTCCAGGGCCCCTGGTTCCCAGGCAGGCATTGCAGGCGAGTAGAAGGGAAACGTCCCATGCAGCGGGGCGGGGCGTCTGACCCACTGGCTTCCCCCACAGGGAGTTCAGGCACAAAAGCAACATCACCTTCAACAACAACGACACCGTGTCCTTCCTCGAGTACCGCACCTTCCAGTTCCAGCCCTCCAAGTCCCACGGCTCGGAGAGCGACTACATCGTCATGCCCAACATCCTGGTCTTGGTGAGGCTGCCCTGTGGCCCACGCCGCCTCGCACCCTGACCTCGTCCCCTGTCTCTCCTCCCGCCTGCCCCTTGTGCAGAGAGCAGTCCCTGAGGTGGTCGGAGCGTGGGGACTCACGCCTGGTGGGTGGCTTTCGGCCCTGTGCTGTCTCCACCACCCCCAGTGGGTTCTGAGTTTCCCAGGTGGGTCCACCTGTCTTGGTTTGGAAGTCCTGGCCAAAGTACTTTTTTTTCCCTTTTCAATTTACATTTCTGAGATCTCCAAAAGGGGCTGTCTTGTTGAGGGCTGAGCCACAGGCCCGCCTCTGGGACTGGGGCTGGAGTTCACTTAGCCTGAGTCCAGTGGGGTGCAAGGGGGAGAAGGGGTTCTCGGGAGCACATGTGGCCTTGGCACTGGAGGAGCAGAGGGTGGTTCTGGTGTCCCAGATGCCCCACGTGGCCACTCCAGGGGCCTCCTGCACCCCAGCATTTCCCTTCATGGGCTCTTTGCTGTGAGGCCCAGCTGGGGCCAAGGGAGGATGGGCCAGCCACGTCCAGCCTCTGACACTAGTGTCCCTTCGCCTTGCAGGGTGCGGCGGTGATGATGGAGAATAAGCCCATGACCCTGAAGCTCATCATGACCTTGGCATTCACCACCCTCGGCGAACGTGCCTTCATGAACCGCACTGTGGGTGAGATCATGTGGGGCTACAAGGACCCCCTTGTGAATCTCATCAACAAGTACTTTCCAGGCATGTTCCCCTTCAAGGACAAGTTCGGATTATTTGCTGAGGTACGTGTGGCCTGGTGAGAAGCCAAAGATTCAGGCCTGTGTCCTGTCTTCCCCTCACACAGCCTGGACACTGGTCACCAGCTTGCTTTGTAGCTGGCTGGGGATCTAGTGGCTGTGGGTTGTAAGTGACTGAGAACCTGACTCAAACCGGCTTGAGTGAAATGGGGAATGTTGGGGCTCATAGAACTGAAAATGCTAGGGTTGGATTCAGGTACAGCTTGATCCAGGCTCAAATGATGTGACTGGGCCTTAGCTTAGCAAATTGGAGGCTTTGCTGGAGGAAGGGGGCATGGCTGCTGGGGAGTAATATCACAAGCTGACTCTTAATCTTGACTCTTGGCAACCTGGTAGGGTCACTGACTGGGCTTCGGAGCCAACATCTCGTCCATGGAGGGTCTGACCCTGACCTTGGCTCCCTCACCGCAGGTTTCACTGAGTCCTTGGGACTGCTCCAGCCTCAGCCATCTCTTTGGTCTCTGCTGATCAGGGTAGAGTGCTGGGGGGGATATCGTGGTGCTGCGTGTGATAGATACTCAGTACGTTTTTGTCAAGGGTGACGGGCTCCTGTCGTGTGGGTAAATGAGCAAGTTTGGGCTAAGTGGCATGATGCTGTAAAGGCATCTTGTAAATCCTGAAGTGCTTTGCAAATGAAAGTTATTACAAAGTCCCTAGTTTAGTATAATCTACGTTTGACTGCATATAATGAAAACCTCACAAGAAAAGTCTAGCGGTAGGCTGTTCAGTGTTGGTGTGGTGGCTTCATGGTCTTAAGTGATCTGGAAGCCTTCTACTACTGTGCTCTGCCATCCTTGGCATGTGGTTTTCATCCTCAAGATAACCTCATTGTCCAAGTTGGCTGCTAGAGTGTCAGCAATCACATCACATTCCAGGCAGCACAGCAAGAAGGAAAAAATGGTGGGGCTTTGGGGAGCAGATGGAGGAACTGGGGGTAAAACAGCGTGTTCCAGTTTCCTCCCTCTTAGGGAGGAAGAAAACCAATGTCCACTTCCTTTCTATTGGCCAGAACTGAGTCACATGGCCACACCTAGCTCCAGGGGAAGCTGGAAAGGTAGCCTTTTAGCTGGGTGTGCTGATGCTCTGAGTATGGTTTGGGTTTTGTATGAAAGAGTAAGGAGAGATTGGGCTTTGGGTAGTAACTGGCAGTTTCTGATGCTCTCCGTCCATTATAATGATCATTTAAGTATCCTATTGGGTGAGCATTTATTAATAATAACAATAATAATGAAAATAAAGACTATCATTTTGAGCTCTTACTGTGTCCGGTGCACTGTACCTGGCCGTTTTTGCACATGAGTCCCTTTAATGCTCCCCTTTGTAGTGGCTCTGGTTATTCTTGGCTCCACATGGGCACGTGACAGACACACCCGGGATGCTGGGCTGGGGCCTTGTGCTGGGTCCTGCTCTGGAGGTCTGTGATGGGTGCAGTCACTCAGCCGGGCAACCTTGGAGCTCCTCAGTGTGCTCCACCCTGCAAAGCACTTCTAGATATTTCCTTCAGTCACTCATACCACTTTGTGCTTTGCATGTCTTTGGGATTAGAAACCAGCTTCTGGGAAATGCTCTCGGAGCACCAAAGCCTGGGCCCCACTATCAAGAACCTCGATGGGTTAGGACAGGCCAGGTTTTGCTGCTGTGACAAGCAGCCCCGGAATCTCCATGGCTTAGAACAACCAAGACTTATTCCTTTGCTTGCACTCCACGTCCAGTGTGGGTGACTGGGGCACCCGCGCTTGTGGTGGTCACTTGGGGATCCAGGCTGAGGGAGGCTCTGTCTTGACACATACCTCCTTGGCTGCTATAGCAGCGGCAGAGAGCCCGGTGAAAGGCGTGTGCACAGTCCTTAAAGCATCCCCCCAAGTGACATGCCACTTCTCCTTTTTCATTGCTCAGGGAGCTGACCTGGCCATGCTTTATTTTATGCTGGAGTAGGGTGTGGTGGGGGTGATCTGCCATTTACCTGGGAGGAAAGCCAGACTCTCCTGGAGTTAGGAAGGGAGGGTGGAACACTGCAGCCACAGAACCCGGGACCATTCCTCCTAGAAAGCTCCCAAGCCTCCTCTCGGTCCCCAGACACTGGGCATTTGGCAGTGAACCAGATGCTGGGGGCCCTGTCCTTCTGGTGGAGGGGGAGGAGGGCTCAGCCCAGAATGTTCAGACCAGGCCGGCTCAATGGCAGGCCTAAGCCTTACGATGCTGTTCCCTGCTGTGTCTGTAGCTCAACAACTCCGACTCTGGGCTCTTCACGGTGTTCACGGGGGTCCAGAACATCAGCAGGATCCACCTCGTGGACAAGTGGAACGGGCTGAGCAAGGTGAGGGGCGAGAGGCGAGGGCCCCTGTCGCCAGGGAGAGGGGAGGGTGGGCCCGGCCATGGCTGCTCGGGAGTGGCAGGGACCAGAGAGCTCCTTCTTCCTTTGTCGTGAAGAGGGTGCTGGGAGGATGAACACTCTTGAAGTTGGAGGAGGGATTTTACCTCTGGTTAAAGCTTGACCACCCAGAGGGGCAGGTGGGGTTAGTGATTGCTTACTGAGCTTACTGAGCACCTGGCATCTGCTGGGAACTGAGTGCTTTCTTCCTTTCGATTCTTTACTTACAAAAATGTTTTGAAGGCCGGGCGTGGTAGTTCATGCCTGTAATCCCAGCACTTTGGGAGGCCGAGGTGGGGGGGATCACCTGAGGTCAGGAGTTCGAGACCAGCCAGGCCAACATGGCAAAACCCTGTCTCTACTAAAATACAAAAAATTAGCTGGGTGTGGTGTTGCATGCCTGTAATCCCAGCTACTCATGAGCTGAGGCAGGAGAATCGCTTGAACACAGGAGGTGAAGGTTGCAGTGAGCTGAGATCACGCAATTTCACTTCAGCCTGGGTGAGAAGAGTGAAACTCGGTCTCCAAAAAAAAGAGAAGAGATTCACATTACAAAATAAAACAAGAGAGGGAGATAAGTGCCCTTAGTATCACCTCCCACCCCTACCCCTTGCCCCAGAGGAAACCCACAATTATCAGTTTGGGATATATTCTTCCCATCCATTTTTACCCATGTGCACACCTATATGTACGCAGAGAAATACGGAATTGTTTCTTCTTTGAACATCATGAAATCATACTACGTGCATTGTTTTGCAACTGGCTTTTTTCACCTTCGTGACCTTTTCTCAATATGTGTGAAAATGACTGTGTGACTTCCCACTCCCCACTCCCCGTGGTAGTTACTGCAAAGACCCTGAGGGCTAGGGACAAATCGTACCCCAACCGGTGCCCAGAGTGGCAAAAATCACCATCTGCAACTGGCAGTAGCCATTCACGATAGATGGAGTTCACATTCATTGTGGCTTGTATATTCCAATATACTGTACATGTGCACGTGATTTTAAACATCCTCATCATACAGAAGATTGGAAAGTGAGCAGTTGGTTTTGTCGAGTCTGGGTCTCGCTCCCCAGAGTCAGTTAACCTGACAGGTTCTGTTTTGGGGTTGCCCGGTGGTGGCCACCATTATGATTTTAAGTAGTTTGCCTGTGTGCCGATTGTTTTCAGGAGGTGCCTGTTGACTTCCGCTCTGAGGGCTGAGCACAGCCGCGCCCCACCTCTCACCTCACCTGCTCACCACACTTCTTTTCCAGATTCAGGCTGGAAATGTGGGTGATAGGCCTATTTTGCAGATGAAAGAACTGAGTCCCTAGCGAAGTTACACATTCAGGGGTCTGGGAGGGGGAAGCTGTGGTAGGCATTCTCTCTGTGTGTCTACATAGCCTGCCCTCTTCCCACCGTGCCAGTATTGGGAATTGAGTGGCCGTGCGTGCACCAGGGTGAGTTAGGTGTGCAGCACCTGAGAGGGCTTATTAAGGGGCCTTGGCCCTACTGAGGGGTCTAGTCTGGATGCTTCCCCCCAGGTTGACTTCTGGCATTCCGATCAGTGCAACATGATCAATGGAACTTCTGGGCAAATGTGGCCGCCCTTCATGACTCCTGAGTCCTCGCTGGAGTTCTACAGCCCGGAGGCCTGCCGGTAATCACTGGGACTCGGGGCCTCCTGGGTTTCCTGGGTAGCTCATGGCCAAATTCTGTGGTGTTGGCTGTGCACTTGGAAAGCATTTTGACTCATCGTGGATTTGACTCAGTAGCCCTTGGCACCAGCTTGAATTCTCTTTGGTCACACCACCAAAAGCCAAACTCCAGCTGCCAATGCCTCTACACAGCCCAAAGAGAGGCTGCTGGTGGTGGTTTGCAGCCAGGTGGTGCTGGGCTGGGAGGAGGGGGCAGGACATGTCAAGTCACAGGGGGCCATAAAATGGAGGCGAGAGGTGGGCTCCCTCTGGCGTCTGGCTGGTGGCCCCCATGACCATCTGGGTGCTGAGACATCAGCTGGCTCTGCTTGGCCCCTTCAGGCTCAGCTCTGTGTCCCATGGTCCCAGTTGTGGGGTAAGAGTAGACAGTGGGTGGCTCCTACAGCCCTTTTCTGGAGGCCTTGCTGTGTCGTGTTCCATTCTGGTCACTCTGGAAAAGTCCTTTACTTAGGAATTCACTCATGTGGACCTTGACTTATCTGCCCTCCCAGCAAACCCTGTGAAGCCCTACTGTGTGCCAGGTGCCCGGTAGTGAGAGGGTGGGCCAAGTCTCCGTTCCCCAGGAGGCTGTGTCCTATCAGGGCAACTCAGGCAAATGCACAAACACTAGAGTGTCAGAGAGTGACAGTGCTTTTGCTCTGTGTGGCCACTTTTTACTATTTTAAGTTTTTACTTATTTATTTATTTAATTTTTTAGAGATGGGGATCTCGCTATGTTGCCCAGGCTAGTCTTGAACTCCTAGCCTCAAGGGATCTTCCTGCTTCAGCCTCCCAAAGTGCTGGGATTGCAGGTGTGAGCTACTGTACCCAGCTGACTTTAAAAGCTGAATTTTAAACTTAAAGAAAAGTTGCATGAGAAATACAAGTGGCCCCCGTCTCCCCTTCACCCAGGTTCACTAGCCGTGTTAAGCCCCCCACCCCCTCTTCTCGCCGAGTGTCTTTTTCCAGAACCATCGGAGAGTAGGTTGGAGGCTGTATGCCCCCTTACCTCCAAATACTCAGTGGGTGTTTTTCAGAAACGAGGACATTTTCTTACATAACCATAATGCTGTTATCAAAATGAGAAAATTTGGCATTGACATAATACTGTTATCTAAGCTGGCACTTTCCTATAAATCAAAATATGCAAGGCACACATGCAATTTAAAATTTTTTAGTGGCTGCATTAATACAAGTAACAAGAAATTGGTGAAATTATTTTTAATAATGTATTTTATTTGACCTCATATATCAAAAATGGGATCATTTCAAGTGTTATTGATGAGGTTTTTTTTTTGTTTTTTTTGCTAGCAAGTATTAGAAATCTGGAATGTATTTTATACTTGCATCCCAATTTGGACTCACCCCATGTCAAGGGCGGGATGGACAGCCATGCGTGCTGAGTGGCTGCCGTGGACAGAGTGGGTAGCACAGTGCATGTTCAAGTTCAGAAGTGCTTTTGAGAAAGTACAGGAGCATGAATGGATGGAGGGTGGATGGGGTGGGTGTGGGGGACGGTGCTGCCACCCGAGGAAGTGACAGCTGAACTGAGATCTGACTGAAGGGCTGAAGTCTGGTGGATGAAGATGCCAGAGGAGACTGTTCTTAGGCAGAGGGAGCAGTGATGCAAAGGGCCTGGGGCAGGAGTGAGTGTGCTTAGGAACTGCAGGGAGGCCCTGGGCACAGGAAGTTGGGGCAGGGCTGAGCAGAGCTTATGCAGGGGCTAGATAAGGTCAATGAATCCTAATGGTAGGTTAGACTAGAAAGGGTCACAGATTTTCAGCAGGGGCATGATATATTCTGTTCTTTTTTTAATTTCATAACTTTCAAAAACAATTTTATTTTTAGAGACTGGGTCTCACTATGTTCCCCAGGCTGGTCTCACACTCCTGGGCTCAAGTGATCCTCCCACCTCGGCCTCCCAAAGTGCTGGGATTACAGGTGTGAGCCATAATGCCTGGCCTCTGTTCTTTTGTAAAACTCCATCTGGCCACGGCTAATACATTGATGTGGGTGGGGAGGCAGAGTCGGAGCGGAGAGGCCTGTTAGGAGGTCGCTGCAGCTCCGCGGGTGAGAGATGGGGGCGGTTTGGACCCGGGAGGTGGTAGCGCCCGTGGGGAGAAGTGGCTGGATCTGGGCAGCCTTTGGCAGGGCCTGGCTCTGGCCGCCGGGTCTGGGTGTCCCCTCTCATCCTGTCTGTCCCCTGCAGATCCATGAAGCTAATGTACAAGGAGTCAGGGGTGTTTGAAGGCATCCCCACCTATCGCTTCGTGGCTCCCAAAACCCTGTTTGCCAACGGGTCCATCTACCCACCCAACGAAGGCTTCTGCCCGTGCCTGGAGTCTGGAATTCAGAACGTCAGCACCTGCAGGTTCAGTACGTGCCGTCCCCTGTGCTGGGATGGCGGGAGGGTGTGAGGGTGGGGCCAGCTGAGGGTTTATCTGCCCAGTGCTGTCTGCTTAATCTCTGGCCTCTGTACTCTTGATAATCCCATTAGGCGAAGATAATGAGGCCGCAGGAAGATAATCTGAAAAGGAAGAAATGCCAGGTCTATTAGTTGCTGTCACAATATATTGCCATGAACTTCAGGGCTTAGAACAACACACACTGGTTATCTTGCAGTTCTGTAGTCAGAAGTCTGCGTGGGTCTCACCGCGCTCAGAACAAGGCGGCTGTGTTCCTTCTGGAGGCTCTAGGAGAAGCTGCGTCTGCCTTTTCTGGCTTCCAGAGGCCCCTCTGTGTTTCTTGGCTCCCGGGCCCTTCCTCCACCTTTGAGGCCAGCAACATGGCATCCTTCTGATCCACTCTGTCCTCATATCTCTTCCTCTCCTCCCTCTTCTGCCCCCTCTTCCAGTTCTAAGGACCCTTAAGACCACATCGTGCTCTCCTGGATACCCCAGGACAATCTCCCCATCTTGTTTATTATTATTTTTTTTGAGACAGACTCTCACTCTGTTACCCAGGTTGGAGTGCAGTGGCGCCATTTCAGCTCACTGCAACCTCCGCCTCCCAGGTTCAAGTGATCCTCCCACCTCAGCCTCCCGAGTAGTTGGGACCACAGGCGTGCACCACCACACCTGGCTAATTTTTTGTATTTTTGGTAGAGATGGGGGTTTCACCATGTTGCCCAGGCTGGTCTTGAACTCCTGACCTCAAGTGATCTGCCTGCCTCGGCCTCCCAAAGTGCTGGGATTATAGGTGTGAGCCACCGCGCCCAGCCTATTTTTATATTTTGAGACAAGGTATCACTCTGTAGCCTGGAGCTGGAGTATAGTGGTGCGATTATAGCTCACTGCAGCCTCGACCTCATGGGCTCAAGCGATCTTCCTGCCTCAGCCTCCTGAGTAGCTGGGACCGCAGGTGTGGGCCATGATACCTAGCTAATTTTATTTTTGTAAAGTTTTTATAGAGATGTTGTTTCACCATGTTGCCCAGGCTGGTCTCAAACACCTGGCCTCAAGTGATCCACCTGCCTCTGCGTGTTAAAGCAATGGGATTACAGGTGTGAGCCACTGTGCCCGGCCCAATTTCTGGACCTTCAAGGCAGCTGCTGAGCAGGCCCAGCGCCCGTTTACCCTGTGACCTGACATAGTCATGGGTTCTGGGGCTTAGGGCATGTACGTGTCCTAAATGACATGAAATGAGGCTGGCGAGGGTCTGTGTGTTACGTAACATCTTCTCGTTCCGCAGTGTGGGTGGCTAGGCAGATGTGATGACTGCTGTTGGCGTCGGTCCCCTGACATTGTTGGTGTGTCTCAATTGTGTGCCAGTCCCTGAGACACCCCCACCTCAAGTTGCTCAGTTTGGACCCTCGGGCGTCAGTTTGTTTCCCTGTCCTCACCCAGCTCTTCCAGTGCGTCAACAAGCCCAGATGGCTTTACCTCCAGGTTGAGTCCTCACTCCTTCCTCTCTCTTGCTCCCCACCCCAACCCCCGCCTCATTGTCCAGGCCACGGACACGTCCTTCCTGGTGATCCAGCCCTTTCAGTAGCCCATCCCTCAATGCAGTGTTGCCGCCTTACCATCCATCCCCTAGACCATCCAGTGCGGTCACTGCTGGCCTCTTGCGGCTGTTTAAATTGAAATTGATTTAAACGAAATCAAATTAAAAGGCAGTTCCTTGGTTGCACCGGCCGGAAGTTAAATGCTCATAAGCCATGTGTGTCTAGCAGCTACTGTCTTGGATAGCACAGATAGAGAACATTTCCATCATCATAGGAAGTTCTGTAGCACTCCCGACAGCAGCGGAGGGATCTTTTAACAATGCAGGCCGAGTGTGGTGGTTCACGCCTGTAATCACAACCCTGTAGGAGGCCGAGGTGGGAGGATCACTTCAGGCCAAGAGTTCGAGACCAGCCTGGGCAATATAGCAAGACCTCTCTCTGGCCAAAAAAAAAAAAAAAAAAAAAAAATTAGCTAGGCATGGTGGTGCATGCCTGTAGTCCTAGCTACGTGGAAAGCTGGGGTGGAAGGATGGCCTAAGCCCAGAGGTCAAGGCTGCAGTGAGCTGTGATCACCCCACTGCACTCCAGCCTGGGCAACAGAGGAAGACCCATCTCGAAAAATATGCAGATGGCCGCCGTCCTCTTAAAATGTCTGGCAGCTCTGTCTGCATTCATAGTGAAGTCCAAACTCCCACCATGGCCCTGGGCCCTGCAGGATCCAGCCCCTACCGGCCTCTCTGAAGGATCCAGCCCCACCAGCCTCTCTGACTCCATTTCTCCCTACACGTCCCCTGTTCATTATTCTCCAGCCCTGATGCCTTCGCCCTTTTTCTAAAGTATACCAAGGTCAGTGCCTTGCACTGTGGTTTGCATGGGTTGCTTCCCCTGCTTGGAGAGCTCTTTGTCTGGATTTCTGAGTGGATCATCCCTCACCTTCTTTTGGCCTGCATGCAAATGCCACCTCCTCCGGGAGGCCTCCTCTGATTTCCTGTTCTAAAGTTGCCCCCTCTCCCACCTGCTGCTCCCTATGGCTTCCTCTTCTTGTCTTCTTGTCTTGGTCTTCTTGTCTTCCTCTTCTTGTCTTGGTGCTCATTGCTCCCTGAACTCATGGACTGTGGATTTTATTCATTGCCCCTTCCATTCACTGTCATCCCTGTAGGCAGGGCCCCAAGCTCCTCTTGTTGGTTTTATTCTTAGCTTCTAGAACTGTGCCCCGCATGTAATGGGTACTCATACAGTATTTGAATATAGGGATGGTGAGTGCGTTCTGTACTTAGGAAATTGAGGCCTGATGCTGGATGCGACCAAGGTCACAGGGTTGGTAGGACCGGAAGCGGCCCTCTATTTGACTGTGTCTTGCCTTCTGGGAGCCTTTTTGGTTGAAGCCCCGTCCTCCAGCTGGCAATGGCGACTCTAAAGGACTGGTCTGCAACAGGGGTCAGGAGGAGGGGCTGTCAACAGATTGGATGCTTTCCCCTATTTCAGGCAGAATGGAACAACCTGTGAATGAATGGTTTGGAGCTGGGGCCTGGGACGCCCGCTGCTGTCTCCTGGTCCTGTCTGGCCCGTCTGGGCATTGGCCTCTGCTTGCTTCATTCTTTGCTGGTATCGGCGGGGATTTCTGCTCCTAAGGTTGAGGATGTTACACACCCAATAGGTGTGCTACAGCAACTGTCGCAAGTGGCAGATGCTGGACTCCACCTGATTTAGGCCAAAAGGGCACTTCTTGGTTTGCGTAATGAAAAATTCCAGGGCAGATCTCTGCATTAGGCACAAATCCAGAACTTAGATGTTGTCTGGAAGCTGCCTCTGCCAAGTCCCAGCTCAGTTTTCTGCTGGACTGGCTTTGCTGCCAAGCAGGCTCTCCCTCCTGGCTGCCTGTGGAGGCTCCAGGCTCACCTCCGCCCAGCTCCGAGTCCTGCAGAAAGGGGGCCACCTGTGTTTCCTTCACTCCAGCAGAAGTTCCAGGGTTTGCTCTAATTGGTCTGCCTGGCTCCCATGCCCAGCTGTAAACCAATCACAGTAGCCGAGGTGGACTATGCTGATTGGCCAGGCTTGTGTCACATGCTCAGATGGCTCCTGGGTGGGCCGGCCCCACTCCAAGCACAAGGCTGAAAGTAGGGAAGGCTTAAAGTGGGGGTGTAGGTACCAGGAGAAGGGGGAGAAACGACATGCCCATCCCCTCCAAGGGCGTGGGACGAGGTGTGTCCCGCCTTCTCTTAGCACATCTGCCAAAAGAATTTCAAAAGCGCAAAGGAATTTTAAAATCTTTATTTAAATAGAGTTTTTTCTTATATTTATTTATATTTTTGAGACAGGGTTTCTCTGTTGCCCAGGCTCAAGTGCAGTGGTGCAATCACAGCTCACAGCAGCCTTGACCTCCTGGGCACAAATGATTCTCCCACCTCAGCCTCCCAGGTAGCTGGGAGCACAGGTACACACCACCATACCTGGCTAATTTATTTTATCTTATTTCAATTTTTTTTTTTTTTTTTTTTTTTTTTGTAGAGGTGGGGTTGTGCCGTCTTGCCCGGGCTTAGTTTTTGCTTCTAAATAAAATATACATAGATACAAAGAAGTTCCCAGATGACTCATGCAGTTTTTGGGGTTTTTTGCTTTGTTTTTTGAGACAGGGTATCACTGTCGCCCAGGCTGGAGTGCAGTGGTGCCATCATGGCTCACAGCAGTCTGACCTCCATCACTCAATTGATCCTCTTACCCCAGCCTCCTGAGTAGCTGGGACTACAAGCGGTTGCTACCATGCCCAGCTAATTCTTAAATTTTTTTTAAGAGACGGGGTCTCACCATATTGCCCAGGCTAGTCTTGAAGTCCTGGGCTCAAGTGATCCTCCCGCCCAAAGTGCTGGGATTACAGGCATGAACCGCTGCGCCTGGCTGACACCTGCAGTTTGAAACTTCACAAAGTCAACGCACCCCGTGGCCAGCACCCTGACTGAGAAACAGACAGGACAGGCCCTGGATGCCACTCGCGGTCCTCCCACCGCCCTGACATCCAGCCCCGGAGCTCAGCTGGTTTGCATCTTCATGTGAATGGACCCATAATGCTAGACTCCTTTTCCTCCTTTTCTGGTCCGTGCACCCCTTAGCACCCTGGTGCAATTCGTCCGTGACGTTGTGGGTGGTAGCAGCCCCTCCTCTCCGTTGCTGTGTGGTGTTCCATCGTGGGTGCCACCTCCATCTTCTCCTTCCATTGCTCCTAGGCATCCAAGTTCCTGTTTTTCGACCGTGACCGTGGTGCACACGTGTCGTTTGGTGCACCTATGTCTGTGTTTCTGTGGCATGTTATCTAAAGAGTAAAGGTACCATGCCTTTGCCTTTCTGGGCCTTGAAATCTGTTGGACTCAGACAACTCCCTCATCTCAAACCTCCCTGTTGCGTGAGGGCATCCGACTTGCCTCACAGAGCCAACTAATTATCATCGGTGGCAATCCTGGGCAATTATGTCTGGCTAGATATGCCATAAAGCTACAAATTAATTACCACTTACAGCTGGGAAGATCTCTCTCGGCGTGCTTGGTAATAACATTGGAAGAAACACGTGCGTGGGTCCATGCAGGCTCGGCCTCTGAAGCAAGGGCGGGGGCTGGCAAGTTGTTCCATCCCACCTCGGTCTCCACCTGGGGCTGTGGGCAGGCCAGGGCTTGTTTGAGATTCCTCCAGAGTTCGGCTCCGTGGCTGCCTCCTCCACGGAGGAGGCACGAGAGGCAGCGTTTTCCAGATTGTGGAGGACACTGTCCCTGCGGGTGCTTGGGATGGCTTCAGAAGGTCCAAGGAGGTGAGAGTGAGCTTCTGGGTCCATGCTCTTTTCCTCCTTGCCATCACCTGCAGGAGAAGGTCTCTTGGTGTTGAGAGGACTTGAAGAGCCTTCCACACTCATCAGCCTTTTTTGTTTTGTTTTTTCTTTTAACAGAAAAAGAGCAGGGCTCCCAGTTAAAGCCTCATGCAGTAACAGGTTCTAGTTAGAACTTACAACATCATTATTTTCCACGGTATTTTTTAACTATGTCTTTTTTTTTTTTTTTTGAGACACAGTCTTGCTCTGTTGCCAAGGCTGGAGTGCAATGGTGCAATCTTGGCTCACCACAACTTCTGCCTCTTGGGTTCAAGCGATTCTCCTGCCTCAGCCTCCTGAGTAGCTGGGATTACAGGTGTGCACCACCAGGCCCGGCTAATTTTGTATTTTTAGTAGAGACGGGGTTTCTCCATATCGGTCAGGCTGGTCGTGAACTCCCAACCTCAACTGGTCCACCCGCCTCGGCCTCCTAAAGTGCTGGGATTACAGGCGTGAGCCACCGCGCCCGGCCCTTTATTTTATTTTATTTTTTTTGAGACACAGTCTTGCTCTTTTGCCGAGGCTGGAGTGCATTGGTGCAATCTTGGCTTACTGCAACCTCCGAAAACTATTGTCCAGGCTGGAGTGCAGTGATGCGATTTCAGCTCCCTGCAGCCTCCGCAACCTCTGCCGCCCAGGTTCAAGCAATTCTCCTGCCTCAGCCTCCCGAGTAGCTGGGATTACAGGCACATACCATGCTCAGCTAATTTTTGTATTTTTAGTAGAGACGGGGTCTCACCATGTTGCCCAGGCTGGTCTTGAACTTCTGACCTCAAGTGATCCACCCGCCTTGGCCTCCCAAAGAGTTGGGATTACAGGCATGAGCCACCGTGCCTGGCCTCTGATTCAAGTTTTTGTTTTGTTTTGTTTTGTTTTCCTTACTGAGGCAAAATTCTTGTAACATAAAATTAACCATTTTAAAGTGAATGATTCAGTGGCATTTAGCAGGGTCACAAGGTTGTGCAGCCATCACTTGTATCTCGTTCCAGAACATTTCTGTCACCCCAAAAGGAGACCCAGACTCATCAGAAGTCACTCCCCGCCCCCTCCCCCAGCCCCTGGTCACCACCCGTTGGCTCTGTCTGTGGATTAGCACTGTCTGGATCCTTGTGAGCTTTTTAAAAAAAAATTGTTTTTCTTTTGAGACAGGATCTTGCTCTGTTACCCAGGCTGGAGTGCAGTGGCACGGTCACGGCTCACTGTAGCCTCAACCTCTGAGGCTCAAGCGATTTTCCTGCCTCAGCCTCCTGAGTAGCTGGAACTACATGCAGGTGCCACCATGCCCGGCTAATTTTTGTAGAGATAGGATCTTGCCATATTGTCCAGCCTGGTCTCCAATTCCTGGGTGCAAGTCATCTGCCTGCTGAGGCCTCCCAAAGTGTTGGGATTACAGGTGTAAGCCATGGCGCCTGGCCCTCGTGAGCTTTTGAGAGAGGCCCGCTCGCTGTTCCTTGTTAACTTGTCCTTCAGGCCTGTTGTCCATTGTCCCGAGGGTGAGCTGGTGTTTGCCTGGTTTGGTTGGTCAGTGGCGAGGTTGAGCTCACATTTGTAGCAGGTGTGTCTACAGGGACACACTCCTGTGGATGCAGGGAGATCTGGCCACAGGTGCACACACCTGAGCTCCGATCATTGCTGCGTGTCCTGCAGGGGACAGTGTGGGCTGCTTGGCTTGCGCTTGAGACTCCCCTCCCCACACCCAAGTTCAAATCTGGCGTTGCCTTTTCCATCCGTGCCTCCCTAGCACCCTTGTGCACCATGCATTTCCCCCTCCCCACGCTTGCTTCTGCCTTCCCTTCCACCTGGAATGCGCTTCCCGGGCATCCTTCACCTGGCTCCTGTGAAGAGGCCTCTTCCTTCTTTTGGTCTCTCCTGTCAGAATCAGCGGCTCCTGCCTCACCCCTTCTCTGGCGCAGAGCTTGTCCCTCATCACAGGGCCTGGGGCTTTTTACAGAATGGAGGAAGGGATCCTCTCTGTCTGGTTATCTTGTCATCGCCACGGGGGTGCCCTGCAGACCACAGCTCTGTGCAGACCTCCGGCCTGGCAGGACCTGCCAATATACTGTCCTTGTCTGATGTCCCCTCCCTGCCCCTCTTCTAGGTGCCCCCTTGTTTCTCTCCCATCCTCACTTCCTCAACGCTGACCCGGTTCTGGCAGAAGCGGTGACTGGCCTGCACCCTAACCAGGAGGCACACTCCTTGTTCCTGGACATCCACCCGGTGAGCCCCTGCCATCCTCTGTGGGGGGTGGGTGATTCCTGGTTGGAGCACACCTGGCTGCCTCCTCTCTCCCCAGGCAGAGAGCTGCTGTGGGCTGGGGTGGTGGGAAGCCTGGCTTCTAGAATCTCGAGCCACCAAAGTTCCTTACTTCACCCCGACTCCATAGTTCAAGGTAGTTCAAGGGTTTTATGATCCCTGTACTGGTTTCTATAAATGGGCTCTAAGACAGTAAATTAATTAGAACTTATCAGCTGGGATGTCTCCTACATGTGAGCTGGAGGCAGCCCTCTGGATGTGTCAAGATACCATAAAGATCTTTAGGTACCAAGAAGAGCCTGGGGTATTTTGCAGATAAATCACACAGGGAATTTGTCCCGTGTGAAGTTCTGTCTACAAGCAGGGAGCTGGACATGTGGCCCTCCCAAGGACACTCCTTCAGCTTGTGGCCTCTTCTCTTGGCACCTCCGTTCTCTGTAAAATATGCCCAGTTGGTCTTGGTGGCTGCTACCATTGATTCAGAAATCTGTGGTTTTCTGTTTCCTGGGTGGGCACTTGTGGTCTATCCCATGGGCCTTTAACAAAATTATTATTATTTTTGAGACAGGGTCTCACTCGGTTGCCCAGGCTGGGGTGCAGTGGCATGATCATGGCTCACTGCAGCTTCGACCTCCCTGGGTTCAGGTGATCCTCCCACCTCAGCCTCCCTAAGTAGCCAGGACTACAGACATGTACCACCATGCCTGGCTAATTTTTATATTTTTTGTAGAGACGCGGTTTTGCCATGTTGCCCAGTCTGGTCTCGAACTCTTGGGCTCAAGCGATCCTCCTGTCTTGGCCTCCCAAAGTACCGGGATTACAGGCATGAACCGCCGTGCCCAGCCAAAATTAATTCTCTAAATTGAAGAAGAAAAGCTGTCTATTTTTGAGTGTACAACATGATGTTATGATGTATGTATATAACTTGTGGAATACCTAAATCAAGCCAATTAACATATGCATTACCTCACATACTGATGATGTATTGGTGCTGAGAACATTTAAAATCTACTGTCAGCAACTTTCAAGCTTACAATACATTGCTATTCACTCTAGTCACTGTGTTGTATTGTATAGTACAATACAGTGACTGTTGCTCTATTTCCCAGTAGGTCTCCTAAACTTACTCCCCCTGTCTAACTGAAATTTTGTATCCTTTGACGGACTTCCCCATCCCTGCCCCTGGTAGCCAGTATTCTACCCTCTGCTTCCATGAATTCAACTTTTTTTCTTTTTTTTTTCTGAGATGGAGTTTCACTCTGGTTACCCAGGCTGGAGTGCAGTGGCACGATCTCGGCTCACTGCAACCTCCGCCTCCCGGGTTCAAGCAATTCTCCCTGCCTCAGCCTCTCAAGTAGCTGGGATTACAGGCACACACCACCACACCCGGCTAATTTTTGTATTTTTAGTAGACACAGGGTTTTGCCACGTTGGCCATGCTGGTCTCGAACTCGTGACCTCAGGTGATCCACCCGCCTCGGACTCCCAGGTTGCTGGGATTATAGGCGTGAGCCACTACGCCTGGCCTGAATTCAACTCTTTTAGATTCCACATACAGGTGAGGTCATGCAGGGTTTGCTTTCCTGTGCCTGGCCTATTTTACTTCGCATAGTGTCCCCAGGTCCGTCATGTTGTCACAAATAACAGGATTTCCCTGTTTTTATTTATTTATTTTTTGAGACAGAGTCTTGCTGCGTCACCCAGGCTGGAGTGCAGTGGCATGATCGTGGCTCCCTGCAACCTCTGCCTCCTGGGTTCAAGCAATTCTCCTGCCTCGGCCTCCAGAGTAGCTGGGATTAAAGGCACACACCACCACACCTGGCTAATTTTTGTATTTTTAGTGGAGACGGGATTTCACCATCCTGACCAAGCTGGTCTGGAACTCCTGGCCTCAAGTGATCCGTCCACCTCGGCCTCCCAAAGTGCTGGGATTCCAGGCGTGAGCCGCCGCGCCCAGCTGGATTTCCCTCTTTTTAAACGCTGAACAGTATCCCACTGTGTGTGCACCACGTTTCTGCTGCCCATTCATTCACTGACGGACACTTCGCTTGATTCCGTATCTTGGCCACAGCGTACATGGGAGTGCCCCTGTCCCTTTGACACACTGATTTCATTTCCTCTGGGGGGATGCCCGGCAGTGGGATCACTGATCCGATGGTAGTTCTGGTTTTCGTTGTCTGAGGAAGCTCCACACGTTTGCCACAATGCTGTGCACCTTAGGCCCTTCCCGAAGCTCCATGGCGGATGCTGTTCTGCACCATTTTTCTTTGTCCTCCCAGGCCTCCTTAGCCGCTGACTAGGCCCTCTCGGCCCCGGCCCCAGCCCTGGTCTCTGCCTTCCCTCTTTTAGTTAATTCCTCCTCCAGCCTCTCTTGCTCTGCTGGCTTCCGGAGAATTCCACCATGAACACAGTCTCCTGTGCGCTCTCAGTGATCGCTTTCCTTTCAGGGCACGGATTTTCTTTCTTCCCCTCACATCAAGAAAGAAGGGGTTAAGTTTGGGAGCCCAGAGAGAGGCAAACAGCTGTTTTGCCGCAGCCACTTTAGCTGCTGCGTCCAATTCTACCTCCAGATGAGCTTGAGGCCGACGGGGAGAGGAAGTGGCCTTTATTTCTTTGTTTTTTGAGCTGGGCACGTTGGGGAGGGGGATCAGGAGATCAGCTTGCTGCCTGTTGGCCTTTAGCCTTGAAAAACGAACGTGTGTTGGAAGCTGCTTCCGTGTGGCCACTTTTCTGCTCCTGAAACTGGGGGAGGGCATGGGGACGGGGGACTCAACAGGACGCTGCTTATGGTGGTATCACAGCTAAGACTTATTGTAATGACAGAATTCAAAGCAAAATTAGCAAAGGGAAAAAGCACCTTGGGTGAAGTCGGGGGAGGCCAGGCTGGAGCTTCCAGAGTCCTCTTCCAGGGGGTTCCTACAGGATGCACTTAATGTCTTTAGCAATGAGTTGTGACAACATGTAGGAGATGTTGTCTAGCAGGGAAGCTCATTAGAAATTCAGTGCCCATGGTGTTTTGCTAGGGGCCAGTCATGTGGGCACCTCTGCCTGGCAGGTACCAAAATTCTAGGCTCTGGGAAGGAAAGCAGGTGCTGAGCAAGAACCATATTGTTTGTACAAATAATTTCGGCCCAGTGAACTACTCTCATCAGTTAGGGGATGGTGGGGACCCTCCTGAAATCTGGGTTCCCAGATGCCAGCAGAATTCCTAAGGAGAGCAGCTTCAGGCCTGTGGCGTGAACTCTGTTCTACTCACGGGTGATCTCATGCCCATCCCACCAGGCTCTCGAGGGCAAGCACTCCCCAGTCGTGGGCGTAAGTGAGGCCTTTAATGAGCTCTTCTTTGCCACAGGGGCCTGGAAGGTCCTCAGCATGCTGGGCCATAATGAAGAAAACATCCTTTCCCTATAGTGTACGTGATAATAACCTAGGCATTTATGGCCCTGCGTGTGGCTATCTTGCATACCTTACTTTTGCTCTTGCAAAAATTCTGTCAGGTCGGGAGAGTTCTCTCTGTTTTACAGATGAGGACGCGACTCTCAGTTAAGAAGAACCAACTGCAGTTCTCTGACCTCAAATCTAGTTTTATTTCCACTATCATTTCCTGACTTCATTCTGGAACCACCTTCCTGTTGTTTTTGATGACACATGTGTGTCACTTCGGTTATTTACTTAAAAAAAAAAGTCTCGTTAAAAAGAGCTGGGTATAGTGGCTCATGGCTGTAATTCCACTGCTTTGGGAGGCTGAGGCAGGAAGATCACTTGAGGCTAGGAGTTTGACGCCAGCCTGGGCAACATAGTGAAACTCTGTCTCTACAAAAATAATAATGATAAATAGGCTGGGTGTGGTGGCTCACGCCTGTAATCCCACTTTGGGAGGCCAAGGTGGGCAGTTCGCTTGCTGCCAGGAGTTTGAGACCAGCCTGGTCAACATGGTGAAACCCTGTCTTTACTAAAAATACAAAAATTAGCCGAGTGTGCTGGCGCACACCTGTAGTCCCAGCTACTGGGGAGGCTGAGGCAGGACAATCGCTTGAACTCAGGAGGCAGAGGTTGCCTGCACTCCAGCCTAGATGACTGAGTAAGACTCTGTCTCAAAAAGAAATAAAAATAAATTTCTGCACAAAGGAAGCTTTTTCTTACTACCTCAAATAGGAAATTACAAAATTCTCCAAAAAAAGAAGACAACCATAAAAATGAACAAGGAAAAAAATATTAGGCTCTATGTAAAATATTGTTGTCTGTCAGCAGGAGTGAACCTGGGGCCAGCTGTCAGCACCATTGTTAGAAGTGGAGATTTTGTGTAGGTGTATTAGAGGGGTATTAAAGACCATGCAAACACCTGGCTGAGACCTACTCTTCAAAATGATCAGGAGGAGTTGGGAGTGAATTGAGAAGGGACTTTTGTCTGTTTTATTGAATGTGGAGGTTGAGAGGGAGCATGGACAAATTGCCATTCTGCACTTTGGGAAACGCTGTCTTAGGAGGACAGGTGAAAGTGATTAGGTATTTTCCACCCTGAGACAGCCTTGCTTTATAGAAGGAACCTCTTTGAGGCTGTGAACATAACTGTGTGGGAAGCACTTGTTTCCCTATAAGGGGTTAGAATCAGGAGAGGAGATCCCAGTGCACCTGCCCAGCATTTCTAGAACTGTTGACCCCCCCCAGCCTGTGGCTTGTTTTAGGTAAGATACAAGCAAGCTCCACTGGGCAGTTAGCTGGGACGCCCACCCTCTTGACTGGGACCAGGGAGAGGAGGGTTGACGGTGTCCCTGGAGCTTGGGGGTGGCCAGTCTCCTCACTGTGTTTGTTGCCGCAGGTCACGGGAATCCCCATGAACTGCTCTGTGAAACTGCAGCTGAGCCTCTACATGAAATCTGTCGCAGGCATTGGGTGAGTGGGGACTGGGAGCTGGGGCTGCATTGCTCATTGAGAGATTAGGTGCTCAGTGCTCCAGTGGTCCCAGACTCCAGTGACATACCCCAGGAACCAGGGCATGGGGAGGGGAGAGGGTCCTATTGGGGGTGGAATCCAGTCCCTGCTGATCTTCTCCCTGAGGGGTCTTGGTTTTGAGCCAGGTCCTGACCTGCATCCTGATATTCCTTCCCCAGAACACCACTTTTCTTTCTCTTTTTTGTTTTGTTTTGTTTTGTTTTTGAGATGGAGTCTCGCTCTTGTTGCCCAGGCTGGAGTGCAAGGGCGGGATATTGGCTCACCACAACCTCCGCCTCCCAGGTTCAAGCGATTCTCCTGACTCAGCCTCCTGAGTAGCTGGGATTACAGGCATGTGCCACCACGCCCGGCTAATTTGGTATTTTTAGTAGAGATGGGGTTTCACCATGTTGGTCAGGCTGGTCTCAAACTCCTGGCCTCAAGTGATCCACCCACCTGGGCCTCCCAGCATGCTGGGATTGCAGGCGTGAGCCACCGTGCCCGGCCTTCACTTTTCTTTTTTAACATTCACCCCCTCCCTGCCAATTAGCCAGAGCTTCAATCCAAGCTGTTTCCTACACGACAGAGTGGCAGAAATGAAAGCCTGGCAAAACCAAATGTTTGAAAATGGAAACGCTGAGGCAGGAGAATGGCGTGAACCCGGGAGGCGGAGCTTGCAGTGAGCCGAGATCGCGCCACTGCACTCCAGCCTGGGCGACAGAGCAAGACTCCGTCTCAAAAAAAAAAAAAAAAAAGAATTTTTCAAGCACTGATTTCCTCTTTTTGATTTTTAAAATAAAACAGCTTTATGCAAATATAATGCATGTACCATAAAACTCACCCCTTTAAAATGCACAATTCAAAATAAAAAAAATAACCCCCCTAATAAAATGCACAATTCAGTGATTTGCAGTATATTCACAGAATTGTGTATCTATCACCACAATCAATTTTGGAACATTTTCATCATCCCCAAAAGAAACCCCACACTCATTAACACTCACTTCCCTGTCCCCTCAGCCCCAGGCAACCGTTCATCCACTTCCTGTCTCTGCGGACTTACCTATTCTGGGCATTTCATATAAATGGAATCATACACTATGTGGTCTTTTGCGACTGGCTTCTTTCATTTAGGATCACGTTTTCAAGGTTCATCCATGTCGTAGCATGGATCAGTATATTTTATGGCTGGATAATATTCCATTGTCTGGATAGACCACATTTATTTATCGGTTGATGGACGTTTGAGTTGTTTCCACGCCTGGGCCGTTATGCATAATGCAGCTGTAAATGTTCTTGTGTCAGTCCCAGTGTGGACATCTGTTCTCGTTTTCCTTAGGTATGTACCGAGGGGTGGAATCGCTGGGTCCTATGTTAACTCTTTGTTTAACCGTTTGAGGAACAGTCAGACTTGCACAGCCTCTGCCCCCCATCCCCATTCTTTTTTTTTTTTTTTTTTTTTTGAGACGGAGTCTCGCTCTGTCGCCCAGGCTGGAGTGCAGTGGCGCGATCTCGGCTCACTGCAAGCTCCGCCTCCTGGGTTCACGCCATTCTCCTGCCTCAGCCTCCCAAGTAGCTGGGACTACAGGCGCCCGCCACCGTGCCCGGCTAATTTTTTGTATTTTTAGTAGATACAGGGTTTCACCATGTTAGCCAGGTTGGTCTCGATCTCCTGACCTCGTGATCCGCCCGCCTCGGGCTCCCAAAGTGCTGGGATTACAGGCGTGAGCACCGCGCCCGGCCCCATCCCCATTCTTAGCAGCAGTGCAGCAGGGTTCCAGTTCCTCCCCACGCGCACCAGCACTTGCTATAACATTACACGTTGCTAGAACTTGGTGAGGGATTATACTGATTTGTTGCTATGTCAGTGTCTGTACTTCTTAGCATATCTGAAATAGTTTCGTTAAAAAAAATTCTCTTAGAAAAATCCCTGGGTTGCAGGAATGTGAGCATCTATTCAGCTTTGTCAAATGCCTCTCGGCTGGAAAGAATAACACTTTGTCAGAGCACGGCAGCGAGTAATAACTGTGAGCTCTCTTCCTTCATCCCGCCCTTGCATTTTATTTTTATATTTTGAGGCCACTTAGGGAATTTGTTCTTGATGGATTTGTGGGTGGGGAAACAGCCCCAGGCATGGAAGAGGCGTTTGCAGCCCAAGTCCTCCCTCTGGTTCCACCGCGTGGCACCTGGGCTGCTAACTGGGATGCAACTGGGGCCAAGTGGGTGACCAGATAGAAGAGGCGACCTGGGGCCGAGGATACAGCCCCTTCCCAGCACCAGCTGACTGTAGCCCCATGGAAATGCGGGCTCAGTGTGGCCACATCCTCTGCATTTTTCAAAAGGACTTCCAAATCTGAATTTTAACAGGAGCTCTGTCAATTTTTACTTATTGGGAGGTAATTCACATTCTTTTTTTTTTTTTTTTTTTTTTTTTGAGACGAAGTCTTGCCGTGTCACCCAGGCCAGAGTGCAGTGGCATGATCTCAGCTCACTGCAACCTCTGCCTCCCGGGTTCCAGCGATTCTCCTGCCTCAGCCTCTCAAGTAGCTGGGATTACAGGCGCTCGCTAGTACACCCAGCTAATTTTTGTATTTTTAGTGGAGACAGGATTTCACCATGTTGGCCAGGCTGTTCTCGAACTTGTGACCTCAGGTGATCCGCCTCCCAGAGTGCTGGGATTATAGGCATGAGCCCTGCGCTGGGCCTAATTCACATTCTTAACAAACAGTTCACGCGGGCAGCTGGATTGTGCCTGCCAGTGACCTGTGGACCGGTCACCCAACCTCTCTGGGCCGCACAGCTGCTGACCTCCCTGTGGACTGGGAACAAGGCACTCCAGGAAAGTGGTCTCAACAGCAGATGTGGAGGGCCACGAGGGATGGCCGTGGGAAAAGTCTAGAGACACAGCTGCCGGGAAGCAGAGCTGTCTCGTGACCTGTCGGGGAAGCTTCTGTGCTCCTTGCTCGCTAGGTAAAGGCAGTGGGGTTGCATGTTACTTGAATACAATTCCCATTGGTTCTTACAAAGTCTTTCAGAGAAAAGCAGCCAAAGTAAATGGTACCGTCTGTTGTCTCCCCATCGTGTTTCGTCCTCTGTAGGGTGATAGTGTGAGCCCATTTCACTGTGCAATACCCTACTTAACAAGGGGCCTGAGAGACCTCCAATAATTGTGATTGGGGGATTTCAGCCTTTTTTTTTTTTTAAGATGGATCTTGCTCTTGTCGCCCAGGCTGGAGTACAATGGCGCGATTTCGGCTCACTGCAACCTCCGCCTCGGGTTCAAGCGATTCTCCTGCCTCAGCCTCCCGCGTAGCTGGGATTACAGGTGCCCGCCACCACGCCCAGCAAATTTTTGTATTTTTAGTAGAGACGGGGTTTCACTGTGTTGGCCAGGCTGGTCTCAAACTCCTGACCTCAGGTGATCACCTGCCTCAGCCTCCCAAAGTGCTGGGATTACAGGCGTGAGCCACTGCGCCCGGTCTCTGATTGTGGTATTTGAGCCTTTTGTGCTGACTTTCGTCACCGCCCCTCAGTGACTTCCATCTCCCCTCCCTACTGCTGTGCATGGCAAAGTGACAGAATATTTGTGTGTCCATTTCTTTGCTGGGATTTAACAATTATAACAACAACAATAATAAATGTGCCAAGCACTTTTATATGCCGGGTAATTTTCGAAGCACTTTACATGTATTACTGCATTGAATCCTCCCTAGAGTCCTAGGAAGAGTTACGTTATAATATCTCGCTTATACAGAAGGGACACAGGCTCAGTAGCACGCCCAAGGTCACAGAGCTCGTAAGTGGCTGTGTCAGGGGTCCCAAGGCCACCGCAGGCTCGACGATTTGCTGGGAAGCCTCAGGACGAAGCATATGGTTGTACACGTGGCTATGATTTATTACGGTAAAAGGATTCAAAGCAAATCAGCAAAGGGAAAAGCCACACGGGGCCAAGTCCAGAGGAAAGCAGGTGCCAGTTTCCAGAGCCCTCTCCCAGGGGAGTCACCCAATTCTTGCTGCAAGGAGTTGTGACAACCCACGTGACATGTCATCTGGCAGGGAAGCCCGCTAGAGAGACTGAGTGCCCAGGGTTTTTACTAGGGGCTGGTCATGTGGCCACCCTCTGCCTGGCAGGTACTGAAATTCCAGACCCTTAGAAGGCAAGCTGGTGGTCAGTATAAACCACATTACTTGTACAGATTGCTCAGGCACAGTGAGCCATCCTTGTCAGTTAGGGAGCAATGGGAGGCCTCCCGAATCCAGGCTCCCAGACGCCAGCTCCGGGCCAGCATTGCCAGCAGCCTGTGTGGGGTGGAAGGGCTCGGGCCTGCCACGTGAGCACGTGCCTGCACAGCGGCCCAGGTGGGATTCAAATCCAGGCAGCGACGCTTGAGTGTGCACTATTAACCACCTCGCCACACTGCCTTTTCTGCTAGACACCTGTTGTGGGGGGGTCTGTGTGGGGCAAGTGGTGAGCCAGCCCACCCTGCTGCTCCATACTGAGTGTGAGTTGCTGTATTCATTTCCTTTTGCTGCTGTCACAATTTTGCCACAAATGTCATGGCTCACTTTTAAAAACTATCTTGCAGTGTTGGGAGTCTGAAGTCTGAAAGGAACACAACAAGGCTAAGATCAAGGTATCTGCAGGCCTTGTTCCTTCCAGAGGCTCCAGGGGAGAACCTGTGCCTTGCCGTTTACAGCTTCTAGAAGCTGCCTACTTTCCTTAGCTCATGACCTTAATCCTAGCCCTCCCTGTTTTGTTGTTGTTGTTGTTGTTGTTGAGACACAGTCTCGCTCTGCTATCTAGACTGGAGTACAGTGGCATGATCTATAGTTCACTGCAGCCTTGGCCTCCTGGGCTTAGGCGATCCTCCCACCTGAGCCTCCTGAGTAGCTGGGACTACAGGCATGTGCCACCATACCCTGCTAATTTTTGTGTTTTTTTTGTAGAGACAGGGGTCTCACTATGTTGCCCAGGCTGGTCTTGAACTCCAGGGTGCAAGTGATCCTCCCACCTCAGCCTCCCAAAGTGCTGGGATTACAGGCGTGAACCACTGCACTTGGCCTCTCCCTCTTTAAAGCCAGCAGTGTAGCACTGTCCAATTTCTCTCTGCCTCTAACCTCCTGCTTCCCTCTTTTTTTTTTTTTTGAGACGGAGTCTCACTCTGTCGCCAGGCTGGAGTGCAATGGCATGATCTCCGCTCACTGCAACCTCTGACTCCCTGGTTCAAGTGATTCTCCTGCCTCAGCCTCCCGAGTAGCTGGGATTACAGGCATGTGCCACCACGTCCGGCCAATTTTTATATTTTTAGTAGAGATGGGGTTTCACCATGTTGCCCAGGATGGTCTCAATCTCCTGACCTTGTGATCCACCTGCCTCGGCCTCCCAAAGTGCTGGGATTACAGGCGTGAGCCACCACGCCCCAGCCCCTCTTTTTAAAAATTAATTTTTCTTTTTTTAGGGTTTTAAAATTTGTTTTTGTTTTTTCGTTTTTCTTTCTCTTGCCTGATTGCTCTGGCTAGGACTTCCCGCTTCTCTCTTTAAGGACTTTTGTGATTCTCTGGGGCCTACCTAGGTATTCCAGGATACTCTTCCCATCTCAGAACCTTGATGTAACCATATCTGCATGGACCCACCTAGATATTCCAGGACGCTCTCCCCATCTGAGAGCCTTGATGCAGTCATGTCTGCACGGTCCCCTTCGTCGTGGCAGGTCACAGTTTCCCAGGTGTCGCATTGGTCTTCCGGTCTCCTTAGGCACCTTTTGGCTGTGACAGTCTCTCATCTCTCCTTCATTTTGATGACAGTGACACTTTTGAGAAGCACTGGTCAGGTATTTTGTAGGATGACCCTCTACTGGGATTGGTCTGGTGCTTTTCTCATGATTAGACTGGGGTGATGGGTTTTGGGAGGAGGACCGCAGAGAGAAAGTTCCAGTTTCAGAGCATCTTGGGTACATTCCGTCAACATACTGTATCACTGTTGATGTCGACCTTGATAGCCTGGATGAGGTCATGCCTGTGACGTTTCTGCAGTATCAAGTTTACTTTTATTCTCCCTTTGGATTTTATTATCTTTTTAACTTGACGTGTAAGTTTTAACTTCACAGGTAATAAGAACATATCTTCCTGAGGGGAAGAATATGGTTTCCTGTGACTCCCCGCCATCCCCAGCCGTACCCACCATCATCAATTTGCTGTGCTTCCTTCCAGGCCTTTTCCTACTTATTTACATTCATATATATGTGGCCATAGAGAAGATACATATTGTCGTTTGTCTGTTTGTCTTTGCTAGTCCAAGCAACACTGAACATCTTTGTGCCTCTGTGTGCATGTGTGAGCATCTCTAGGGCAGTTTCTGAAGAGCGTAATTGCTGGGTCGTGAGGTATATTGGTGGAATTAGGTTTGGCAGTATAGATCAGTAAACTCAACAGTTGTGGCTCAAATGGGACAAAGGTATATTGTTATTTTAAAAATCTTCTTTTAGAGGATGTCTGGAGGCAGACAGTCCAAGTATGGCAAGAGACATTCATAGTCCAAGTTCCACTCATCTTTCTGTTCCATTTTCCCAACACATGGCTTCCATCCTCAAGGTCACCTCTGGTCCCAGTGTCTGCAGAGCTCCAGCCCTTGCATCTGCGTTTCAGGCATCTGAAAGGGAGGAGGGAAAAAAGGTTCACCTCCCAGCTGTGAAAGCTTCTTTTTAAGCAGCCCTCCCGGCCATCCCACGTAACGCTTCTGCGAACATCTCATTAACCAGAACTTGGTCACAGAGCCTCACTTGCCACAAGAGAGGCTGAAGTGGAGTCTTTAACTGGGTGCATTGCCATCCTGAGTAAAATTTGGGTCCTGTTTCTAAAAGGGACCAATGGATTTTGGCTGGGTCACTGGTGGTCTCTGCCCTGTAGGAGATGTGAGTTTTTAGTTTAAAAAGATTATTTTCAAGTTGTCAAGCTCTTTGCCAGGGGAGATTCCTTCTGGCAGCACATCGAAACACTGGTTCCCTCAGCCCATGCCAATCAAGTACCATGGACCCCTTATCCCTGGGGGTATATTCCAAGACCCCCAGTGGATGCCTGAAGCTGGGGATAGTACTGAACCCTGTATAGCATATACTATGCTTCTTCCTATACACACACATCTATGATAAAGTTAATTTATAAATTAGGCATAGCCACAATTAACAATAACTAAGAATAGGGTAATTATAACAAATACTATAATAAAAGTTATGTGAACATGGTCTCTCCCTCAAAATATCTTATTGTACTGTACTGAGGGTAAGAAATGGCAGAAATCAAAACCATGGATAAGGAGGGATGACTGAGATTGCAGAATCAAATCCCTCCTGGCCTCAGAGCTTATGATCACAGGTTCAAAGCTGTGTGATGTCAAACAGCCCTGTGGGAAAACATCTCACCTTGTCAACTAAAGAAAAAAAAAAACAAAACGCCTTTTAAAGATTTAAAGTTAGTCTTATTTACAAGTATTATTGAGGGCTGTAGACTGAGACCTTCAGCCTGGGGACAGTTTTGTCATATGGCTCCTAAAGTGTTTCAGCTCATTGTTTATATTTGGTGGTGAGGGTTTAGTGTGTGCAAAATTATACTAAACCTGTTTAGATGTTGTATTCAAGCAGAATTAGATCAAGTTTGGGTGTAAGACTTTGTTTCACACAGCTATGTCTTGCTTATTTCCAGACAAACTGGGAAGATTGAGCCTGTGGTCCTGCCGCTGCTCTGGTTTGCAGAGGTAAGGGTGCGTTGGGCACAGCGTCGGGGGCTTTTGTTAAGAGCCAATGTGGGCATTTGAGGCAGGAGGCGGGGGGAGCAGCTTGTAGAAAGGGAGAGGGCTGAGCCAGGGTAACCGGACTGTGACATGGACCAGCGTATCAGAAACTTCACCCTGTCCAAGCACCCTATGTCAGTTATCCCACCAAGGTGAAAGGGATCCCTAGAGATGGGGAAGACAGAAGCTGCATGAAGAGGTAAAGTCCCTGGCCCTGGGTGTAAAATAATTTTGTTGGGGCATATGACCTCTTCTCCTGAAAGTGGGGAAGTTGGTTTCCAAGGTGTCAGCTTTTCTCTTAAACTTACTTCTCTCGCAGCTTTTCAGAATTCCTTCTGGCCTAGCTTGTTTTATTTTATTATTTTATTTTATTTTATTTACTGTATTTATTGTTTCTTGCCCACCTCGTTTTAAATCAGGGCTAGCTAATGGCCAGGACAAACAAGCCTCCGAATGTCAAGTTTACTTCCTACTCACAGCCGAATCTGAAGTGGGTTGATGGGGAGGCAGAGCTCTGCTCCCTGCAGTCATTTAGGGTTCCAGGGCCCCGGTGGCCCCGCCATCCTGGAGAGCCTCCATTCAGTGGCAGGGAACGAGATGGAGAGTCACGTGAGGCCAGGTCCACCTCCCATTGGTCAGGACACGATCATATGGCCCTGCCCAACTGCAAGGGAGTCGGGGAATTGTAGTCTCACCTTGTGTCCTGGAGGGAGGAGGTCCCTGGCAGGCTCCAACACATGCTTTAGCCGGGAAGCTTGAGGTGGGGAAAAGCTGAGGCGGGCACAGAGGAAGGTGTTGGGTGGCATCTGCGCTGTAGCCCGCAGCCTGCGGCCCCAGCTCATGTGTTTGTCATTCTGTCTCCTCAGAGCGGGGCCATGGAGGGGGAGACTCTTCACACATTCTACACTCAGCTGGTGTTGATGCCCAAGGTGATGCACTATGCCCAGTACGTCCTCCTGGCGCTGGGCTGCGTCCTGCTGCTGGTCCCTGTCATCTGCCAAATCCGGAGCCAAGTAGGTGCTGGCCAGAGGGCAGCCCGGGCTGACAGCCATTCGCTTGCCTGCTGGGGGAAAGGGGCCTCAGATCGGACCCTCTGGCCAACCGCAGCCTGGAGCCCACCTCCAGCAGCAGTCCTGCGTCTCTGCCGGAGTGGGAGCGGTCACTGCTGGGGGCTGCGCAGCACGCTTGCGTCTTTTGCATGCCGCGTTGCCACTACTCTGCCTGTTCTGGAAGGCCTGGGACCCTCCCTTGGAGGGGGCACAGGTGGGCTTTGAGTAATGAGACCTGGTACTTGCATCATCCATTCATCAAGTCAGCACCCGGGGATGCCAGGTTCTGTTAGGGGCGAGGGGACGTACAGCAGTAGAGGAGACAGCTGAGATCCCTGCTCAGGGGGATTGAGGGGGGCTGGCATCCCAGCCGGGGAGACAGATGAAAACCAAGTAAATCAGCAGAAAAGATAATTTCACTCATGATAGGAGCTGTGAGGGGTTAGAGCCAAATAGAAATACAGCGTGAGCCACGTGTGAGGTTTTCAGTTTAAATTTTCTAATAGCCACTTAACAGTCAAAGGAAACAGGTGGAATTAATTTTAATCTTATTTAACCCAAATATATGCAAAGTATTATCACTTCAACATGTAATCAGTATAAACGGCATCAATATTTTTGCAGTGTTTTTGCATGAAGTCTTTGAAATCCTGTGTGTACGATACATGTGCAGCAGGTCTCATTTTGGACTGGCCCCGTTTCAAGGGCTCACCAACTGAATGCAGCTTCCAGACTGGAGAGTGCATGTCTGGAGCAAGTGGGGACAAGGACAGATGGAGCTTCAGGAAGGCCTCTCTGAAGAGGTAGATAGTGAGCTTTGACATGGAGGCCAGGGAGGCACTCAGCACACAGCCACATGAGGAATGCTGCCTGGAGCGGCCACTGCAAAGGCCCTGTGGCAGGGACAGGCAAGGCACATTGGACGGTCAGGTAGGGCCAGGGTGGCTGGAGGGGAGTGAGGGCAGGGACAGAGGTAGGAGGTGGTGTCTGAGAGTGGACAGGGCGGGCCACCCAGGGCCTCGTGGTGCACAGTGAGCAGTTTGGAACTGATTCTGGGAGTGACAGAGGCATTGGAGGCTTTTAAAGAGGGGAATCACTAGGTCAGCTGCTGGCTGGGGAATGGGCCCCGGGCTGGGAGGGGTGGAAGCCTGGGCCCAGCGGGGAGGCCCCAGTGCGTGAGGAAGTCGATGGCTTGAACAGGATGGGGCAGCTGCTATCAGGAGGGAACGGAAGTGGGGAAGAGCTCCAGCCCTGGGCTTCAGACCTCCAGAAGCAGCAGGAAGAGGGGTGATAACAGTGTCCCTCCTTGCTTCGGGGTCATTTATTTATTCATTCATGCATTCACTGCAAGGCCCTTTGCACAGGTCAGGGGATGCAGATGACCAGAACATAAGATCTGCAGCAAAGATGGGCAAGGCAGGCCTTTAGGCAAGTTACTACAGTCACACGAAGGACAGGAGAGCTGTGATCACAGAGCTCAAGGGGCAGTGGAGATGGGCGAGTGGCTGCCATGGCAGGGGAAGGGATGCTGCCCACTGGCAGGTCATCAGGAAAGGCTGTTTTTGGATGCATGGACCAGAAAGCCACTCTCTGAGGTGGCCCCCACCTGCATCATCCTAGGGCCACAGGCCGAGGCCTTCTGAGGGGCCTTGGGGCTGCCCCGCTGCTCTGCTGGTCTTGGCTCCTCTGCAGCACCTGCTTCCTTTAGCACTGGTGAATGATTCTTCCTCTTCCCCTGTCTCAGGGAAGGCTTGCCTGCTTCCATGCTTGCATGCTGGGTGACAATAAAGCATTCCTGGTTCTTCACCTTGGCTTTCAGACCTGAAACCCGACTTCCTTTCAAAATTCCTGTCCTCGGGGGGAAAAGGTTTCCACAATGTGAGATGGTAGCCTGGACACCAGCTGTCATCATGTTGCTGCTCTAGCGTTTGAGCTCCCGATGAACAATGACCATTGGGTCCAACCAGCCCTTTTGGGAGCCCCCTTCTCTGTTACTGCCCCAGGGGGAGCCAGAACCCAGCAGGGCTGTGACTCCAGCGAGCAAAATGGAACTCCCTCCAGTTTCTAGACTGAATTATGTAGGGAGGACAGAAGGACTCAGAACCCACACTCCCAGACCATGAATACCTTCCCGTGGCAGAGCATCACCATAGGTGTCCACAAGTGACGACGCACAGCCACATGAGGGGGTCCCTGGGGACTGGCTGAGGGACTGGGCCAGAGGAGGCCATGACAGCCTCATCCCTCTGTCTCCTTCTGTCTGTCTCCAAATTGTCCACCAGAATGGGGACAGGGAAGGAGGGTCAGGAAGCACAGAAGGTCTAGGCTGTGGCTAGGGTCCCTTTCCCTGCCGCAGCCCCCAAATCAGCATCCCACCCTCAAATCCAGTAAGAATGCTACGATCGGCAGTGTGGCTCCCTCCCTGCAGGTTTCACTGGAGGCCACGTAAGTGAAATTTATCCCATTATGTGTGTTTTGATGTAGCAGGACCTTACCAGTTTTTTTTGTTTTTTTATTTTTATTTTTTTTGGTTTCTTTTTTGAGATGGAGTCTTGCTGTGTTGCCCAGGCTGGAGTGCAGTGGCACAATCTTGGCTCACTGCAACCTCCACCTCCCGGGTTCAAGTGGGAGCCTCAGCCTCAGCCTCAGCCTCAGCCTCCCGAGCAGTTGGGATTACAGGCACCTGCCACCATGCCTGGCTAATTTTTGTATATTGAGTAGAGGCGGGGTTTCACCATGTTGGCCAGGCTGGTCTTGAACTCCTGACCTCATGATCTGCCGCCTTGGCCTCCCAAAGTTCTGGGATTACAGGTGTGAGCCACTGTGCCTGGCCGGCCTTATCAGTTTTTATGTAATTTGTCCTGATTTAAAAAAAAAAAATCACATGCGGGTAAACTCAACATATTTTAATTTCTCTTTAGAGAAATTTTCCACTTGAGCCAGGTATGGTGGCTCTTGCCTGTAATCTGAGCTACTCGGGAGGTTGAGGTGGGAGGATCACTTGAGCCCAGGAGTTGGAGGCTGCAGTGAGCCATGATCGCACCATTGCACTCCAGCCTGGACAACAGAGTGAGATCCTGTCTCAAAAATTAAAAAAAGCAGTAATTTTTTCTTCTCAAGTCATTCTTTTAAAATAAATCAAAAGTATTTTAACAGAACAATCTGTTCCTCGTTGATTTTAAACAGCCCCCCAGCTAAGTCCACTGGTTGTCGGTCTCCATGGCCCATCTCCCCACCTTGCTTCCTCGCTGGCTTAAATTTTCAAGTGGACGAGCCCTTTTCAGCTTGGCTTGTCCACCTCCCAGGTGTGTTTCCTGAAGATGCTTGTACTTATGTCTAAGAGCGGCAGCTCCCCACATCTCAGCCACCTGCAATCGTTGAGGGTTGTTGGACTCTAAACTTATGTGCCTTTCCTGTTTCCTCTTTGCCTTTTGCAAATTGAAGAACCGTGTAAAACCATTTTTATGTGGCTTCAACGTCAACTATAAATTAGCTTGGTTATCTTCTAGGAGAAATGCTATTTATTTTGGAGTAGTAGTAAAAAGGGCTCAAAGGATAAGGAGGCCATTCAGGCCTATTCTGAATCCCTGATGACATCAGCTCCCAAGGGCTCTGTGCTGCAGGAAGCAAAACTGTAGGTGGGTACCAGGTAATGCCGTGCGCCTCCCCGCCCCCTCCCATATCAAGTAGAATGCTGGCGGCTTAAAACATTTGGGGTCCTGCTCATTCCTTCAGCCTCAACTTCACCTGGAGTGTCTACAGACTGAAGATGCATATTTGTGTATTTTGCTTTTGGAGAAACTGCCCTTCCTATGTTCTGAGTGAATAGCAGTTTTTTTGATCCCAGAGGGCAACTTGTATTCTGTGGGCTGGTGCCTATTTGCAAGGTCACATTAGAAAGACAGGAGCAAGGCTTAGGCCTGCTGCTTCTGGAATCTCTTGTGCAATAGACTCCCCTGGGGAAGTCTGCTAGAAATGCAGATCCCTGGGCAGCCTTCTAGCCTTCTGGAATAGGATCATGGTGGGACCCTGGAATCTGTATTTTAATGGACCCTAATGAGATTCTGATGTAGAAACATGTTTGAGAGGCATTGATCTAAATCTGGGATGACTGGCCAGGTGCGGTGGCTCACACCTGTAATCCAGCACTTTGGGAGGCCGAAGCAGGTGGATCATTTGAGGTCAGGAGTTCAAGACCAGCCTGGCCAACATGGTGAAAACCTGTCTCTACTAAAAATACAAAAAAAATTAGCTGGGTGTGGTGGCACACGCTTGTAATCCCAGCTACTCAGGAGGCTGAGGCAGGAGAATCGCTTGAACCCGGGAGATGGAGGTTGCAGTGAGCCAAGATCGTGCCACTGCACTCCAGCCTGGGTGACAGAGTGAGACTCCGTCTCAAAAAAATAAAACTAAAATAAATAAATAAATAAATACATCTGGGATGACTGACCAAGAACAAAGAATGTAGGCATCAACTGAACACCAACTGTATACCTGGGACTGGATCTGAGGGTAGGATTGCCAGATTGAGCACAAACAAACAAACGAAACACAAGAAACAACAGAAGGGTGCCTGTTAAATATGAATTTCTGGTAAGCAATAAGTAATTTTTATTGTGTTCCTGTGCAATGATAGGACGCACGTATCCTGAAAACCTGTCTGTAGTTCACCTGAAATTCACATTTAACTAGGCGTTCTGATTTTATGTGGCCGCCCTATCTGCTGGGAACATAGGCTGATGCCCCTGGGGGTTCTGCGTTTCCTTGGCCAGGTTCCTGTAGGGCTGAGGTCATGGGGGAGCCGTGGCCAGGGATGGTGTCCTTGCCAGGGGAGGTGACGGGCAGAGCTGCAGGCCCTACAACTTGGGGTTGGGCAGGGATGAGTCGCTCTACCGTGGTGCCTCTGATAATAGCTGTTATTTTAGTTTCTGAAAAATGTGCTGCCCTCAAGAGCTTCTGAGGCTAGGCCTACTTGGGTGAAAATAGCTTTCCAGGGAGCCACATTGTGGGGACGTGAGGCAGCAGCCCCACTCTTTGGGGCCACTTGGCTGTCTCTAACTCATCTCACTTGCCAGGGCTGGACAAGGAGATGAAAAAGAAAATGCCAAGGGGTGGGCAGGCAGGAGCCTGTTGGCGTTGGCAGGCGCTGCCAGCCCTGTGTCCCAGTCAAGCTCTGGGGCGCCCTTCCTGTCCATCTGGGAGTAGGGGGTGGAGTCTGACCATGTTGGGGTGGAGTGTTAATATTAGGAGAGGATCCTCCCTGGGACAGGGTCCCCAGGCTTGGGGGCAAGGCCTTCTGCCTGGACCCCCTTCCTTTCCTCTCTCCCAGGATTCCTCCAGGACACCGTAGTGCTGTGCACGGTTTGGCCCCATCGGTGTGCCTGCTCCTTCCAGCCACTGCTCCCTTCTGCAGAAACTTGCCTGGGATTCCCAGGGTGCAGGGGTGGGGGCTGGTCAGGGGCTGGTCAGGGCCTGGTCAGTGTAGAGCAGGGAGCTTTTCACTTTTAGCATAGATAGAGTGGCCAGGGCCCCATGGCTGCACCTCCCTGGACATAACCAGGATGTCCTGTCATCTGCCCCCCAAACAAAACTGGGGTCTCCCCTTTATTTTGCCAACAGAATCCAATTTTTAGGTGATGAGACAAGTGTTTGACTTGAAAAGACCCTCCTGCCCTGCCTCCTGGAAGGTCTGGAGCCCAGCCCAGCGCCCCGGATCCCCTAGGCATGTGAAACGGGGAATGCAGTGTCCTCCAGTGGCTGGCTGCAGCTTGGGGTGGGCACCTGGGTGGTGGCTGGTGGTCCCCCTGCAGGCCACTGCTGCCCCCTCTTGGGTCCTGTTCTGAGTCTCAGGCCTGAGTCCCTGGGGAAGGCCCCACACCTTTGCCCTGTACCTGGGTATGGGGATGGCCCTGAGGGGCTGCCTTGCTTGGGAGAAGGGGGGAAAACAGATATTTTTATATAAATAAGAAAAAGACAGCCCCTCTGGGCAGATGAGGCCTGCTGTAGGGCAGGGGGCTTGGTAAACTGTGTGTCCACTGGTCTGTAACCCTTCAGCTGGGTCCTTTTGTGCAGTGAACAGCCTGGACAACTGTCCAGGTGGCCCTTCAGGGATATGTTCCTGGACCTTTCTTAGCTTCTCACCGATCTTTCTTCCACGCCAAGTCCATGTTCCTCAGTCAAACAAGTGGCAAAGAGGAGGAGGAGGAGGGGAAGGAGGAGGAACCTGCTTCACCCTCTGGCACCTGCGGGTTTTGTTCCACGTGTCTTCCTTGGGAAAGACAAGGGGTTCTTTTACAGCCTAGGGGTGGTTTCCCCTTTCTACTTCTGAGTGAGACCTTCTCAAGTCACGGCTCTTTGGGCCCACATGGCTAAGGTCTAGCCACCTGTGGGTGTCCTGTGCTGCCTCAGTGGGTGGTGTGGGGGCGGGGCTGACCTCCCCCGCGCCTGGCTCAGTGCAGCAGACCCTGGCCCCTGTGCCCGCTCTCTGCCCTGAGCAGGAGTTTGATTTTCCTACCCCGTGGTGAAGCAAGCACAGGTGGGCGGAGGTGGGCAGCGGTTTCCAGCCCCAGCCACCGGGGCAGGGAGGCCTCTGTTGCTCAGGGCAAGGGAGGCAGGGGGCTTAGTGGGACGAAGGCTCACCCCACACTCTTATCATTAGCATTATCTGTATTTTTAATTTTTAAGTTGAGAAATTTTCTACAACTGTCAAACTAGACAAATGACAGTATCCAGTTCCCCTCACCCAGACGCAGCCATTGCTGACAGCTGTCAGTGTTGAAGATGGCCAGCATCTCATGCCCTTGGTTTCACTCGTTCCCTGGGTGGCCCTCGTCCCCCTCCCCACGTCCTGCGCCCCGCATACCCTGAGCAGCCATGGCCAGGAACTTGGCACGTGGGTTTGTTTTTTCTGAATCTGCATGTGCGCAGCCATGAGCATGAGGTCACTTTTTGAATGTGACCGAAGCTGCATCCTGCTGCGTGTATTGCTGTGTGGCTGGCTTTCCTCCCTGTCTTCTGTTCAGGAATACTGTTCAGGCTGAATACCGTCCTGTGACATGGGTTTAAAAACACAGGCCAGGCATGGTGTCTCACGCCTGGAATCCCAGCGCTTTGGGAGGCTGAGGTGAGAGGATCGCCTGAGCCCAGGAGTTCGAGACCAGCCTGGGCAACATAGACCTGATCTCTACAAAAAATTAAAAAATGAGCCGGGCGTGGTGGTGGCACGTGTCATTGTCCCGGCCACTTGGGAGGCCGAGGTGGGAGGATCACTTGAGCCCAGGAGTTCAAGGCCGTGGTGAGCCATGATGGCACCACCGTACTCCAGCCTGGGCGACAGAGAGAGACCGTCTCTAAAAAATAAAAAATAAATCAACACATAAACATACGTTCTCCTCCTGAGGGACAGAGCTTGCCCCGGTTGTTCCATGTTGACTGTGCTGCACACAGGCCGCCCCCCTTGCTCTGCCCCTCACTGTATTAAGTCTCTTTGGGCCTCAGTTTCTCCATCTCTAAAGGAGGTCGGGGAGGCCAGGCGGGTGTTGAGTGAGATGAAGAGGCCCTTGGAGTCATTCCAGGAGTCTATAGGTGACTCCAGTCTCTTCTCACTTCTGACAGCCTGGTGGCGGGGGTGGAGTCTCTGCTGGGGATGTGGGTACAGGGCTGTGGTGGGCGGGGATGAGGGTGGGGTTTGGTGACAGGGCGTGGGTGGTCACCCAGCTTTGCCTTTCTCCACAGGGTCCTGAGGACACCGTGAGCCAGCCAGGCCTGGCCGCTGGGCCTGACCGGCCCCCCAGCCCCTACACCCCGCTTCTCCCGGACTCTCCCAGCGGACAGCCCCCCAGCCCCACAGCCTGAGCCTCCCAGCTGCCATGTGCCTGTTGCACACCTGCACACACGCCCTGGCACACATACACACATGCGTGCAGGCTTGTGCAGACACTCAGGGATGGAGCTGCTGCTGAAGGGACTTGTAGGGAGAGGCTCGTCAACAAGCACTGTTCTGGAACCTTCTCTCCACGTGGCCCACAGGCCTGACCACAGGGGCTGTGGGTCCTGCGTCCCCTTCCTCGGGTGAGCCTGGCCTGTCCCGTTCAGCCGTTGGGCCCAGGCTTCCTCCCCTCCAAGGTGAAACACTGCAGTCCCGGTGTGGTGGCTCCCCATGCAGGACGGGCCAGGCTGGGAGTGCCGCCTTCCTGTGCCAAATTCAGTGGGGACTCAGTGCCCAGGCCCTGGCCACGAGCTTTGGCCTTGGTCTACCTGCCAGGCCAGGCAAAGCGCCTTTACACAGGCCTCGGAAAACAATGGAGTGAGCACAAGATGCCCTGTGCAGCTGCCCGAGGGTCTCCGCCCACCCCGGCCGGACTTTGATCCCCCCGAAGTCTTCACAGGCACTGCATCGGGTTGTCTGGCGCCCTTTTCCTCCAGCCTAAACTGACATCATCCTATGGACTGAGCCGGCCACTCTCTGGCCGAAGTGGCCGCAGGCTGTGCCCCCGAGCTGCCCCCACCCCCTCACAGGGTCCCTCAGATTATAGGTGCCCAGGCTGAGGTGAAGAGGCCTGGGGGCCCTGCCTTCCGGGCGCTCCTGGACCCTGGGGCAAACCTGTGACCCTTTTCTACTGGAATAGAAATGAGTTTTATCATCTTTGAAAAATAATTCACTCTTGAAGTAATAAACGTTTAAAAAAATGGGATGCCTGCCTCTGTGACAGCCTTGTTTGCTGAGGTCGTGGGGGTGGGGGCCTCTGGGAAGTTCCGGGCTCCTCTTCTCTTGGTCAATAGCTCCTTTCTGGTGGCTGCCAAGAGCGTCTCTCCCAGGGCCGGGCTGCTGGCTTACCTTCCTGTTGTTTTCAAATTTCAACCTTGTGCAATGTTGAGTTTCATAGAAATACTGCATGAGTACGCCCTTGTTTAGAAGCAGCAGGGTCTGAGTCCCATCCCACAGCCCCCAGTGCAGACGCTTTTGCCACTTTTGCATGGGGCCCCCTGGATGTGTTTCTGTGCATTTATCTACAAATCCTGGTGCCCATAGGACATGCCCCGTGTTGTTCTAGGCCTTTGCTTTCTGCTCGTTACATAAATGGTGAAGAAGAGAAGCGGGTAAGAGAACAGATTGGAGCCATCTAAAAGTTCTCATCTTAAGTGTAGATCATTGCAAAGGATGGAATTTTCTCCGATTGTCATCATCGTTGATGTTTGAATATGAGACCATTTCATCAGTATTTAAGTGTGCCCGCTGGGATCTAACTAGGAGAGGAGAGGGTATTCACTGCCGAACATTTCAAAGAATATACGAACAAGCTCTTTTATGGTCAGAAATGTTAGCCCTTTTCCCCTTAAACTTGTATTTCCTTTCTTCTTCCCTCCTAAAATTTTATCTAAATGATATTTATATTTGATGCTTTTAAGCCTTTTATTAATCACTCCTATACTTGCCTGCAACATAAATATATAAGTTGAAGCAAACTTTTTTTTTTTATTTCTTGTGACCATCAAGGGTAAATTTTTTTAGGTCTGGGGCTGCCATAACAAAATACCATCAAGGCCGGGCGTGGTGGCACACGCCTGTAATCCCAGCCCTGTGGGAGGCCAAGACCGGAGGATTGCTTGATGCCAGGAGTTCAAGACTAGTCTGGGTAATATGGTGAGACCCTCATCAATACAAAAAAAATACAAAAATTAGCCAGGCGTGGTGGTGGGCGCCTGTGGTCCCAACTACTCAGGAGGCTGAGGTAGGATTGCTGGAAGCCAAGAGGTTGAGGCTGCAGTGAGCTGTGATCATGCCACTGCACTCCAGCCTGCGAGACAGAGTGAGACACTGTCTCAAAAAGAAAAAATACCATCAATAGGTGGCTTAAACCATTTATTTCTCACAGCTCTGGAGGCTGGAAGTCTGAGACCAGGGTTCCAGCAGGGTTGGGTTCTGGTGAGGCGTCTCTTCCTGGCTTCAGACGGCCGCCTTCTCTGTGTCCTCACATGGCCTTTCCTCGGTGTGAAAGGGGGAAGAGAGAGGGAGAGCGAGAGCTCTGTGGTGTCTCTTATAAGGACACTGATGCTATCAGATCAGGGCCTCATTTAATTATTTTCTTAGAGGCCCCATCTCCAGACACAGCCACACTGGAGGTTAGGGCTTCAACAGGAATTTTGGGTCAACACAAACATTTAGCCTATACCATCTGGATTGCCTTTCAAGTCTCAGGACACAATTGGTCAAAACTATATTACTATGTTTTATGTGACATATCAAAGTAGCAAAATTTTATTGGAATGCATGTCCTTTTGGTATGCATTTTATATATCTTTTTCATTTACAGATTAGAGTTGTGTGTGAGTGTGTGTACAATTCCATGAATTTTGACATGTTTATAGAGTTGAGTCATTACCCCTACAATCAAGACAAAACAATTTCATCATCCCCCAAGATTTCCTCATGTCTTCCCTTTGTTTTTGTTTGTTTTACAGTGGGCTCCCATAATTTTTTTTTTTTTTTTTTTGAGACAGAGTCTCGCTCTGTTGCCCAGGCTAGAGTGCAGTGGTTCAATCTTGACTCACTGCAGCCTTCACCTCCCAGGCTCAGGAGAGCCTCCTGACTTAGCCTTCCGAGTAGCTGGGACCACAGATGTGTGCCACCACACCTGGCTAATTTTTTTTTTGTAGAGATGGGGGTCTGGCTCTGTTGCCCAGGCTGGTCTCAAACTTTTGGCTTCAAGCATTAGTCCCACCTCAACCTACCAAAGTGCTGGGATTAGAGGCGTGAGCCACTGCACCCAGCCTGCGACCTGTGCTGCCTTCCTCCCACTTTGTAGGGAAGTCCCTCATCCCCATGCTTAGCCCTTGGCCACTAGCTATTTTTACCTTTTCCAGAATGTTCTAAATGGGATCTACAGCCTGTAACCCTCTGAGCCTGGCTTCCTTCACTCAGCACTGTCTCTAGATGCATGCCTGTTGTTGTGTGTAGCAATAGTTCCTTTCTTTTCACTGCTGAGCAGAACTCCATGGGGTGCACACACCAGTGCTTTTCAGCCGTTCACTTATTGAGGGACACGTAGAGTGGTTGCAGCCTTTGGCAATTGCATTAGTTGGTTTTCACGCCACTGATAAAGACATACCCAAGACTGGGTAACTTTTAAAGAAAAAAGGTTTCATGAACTCACAGTTCATATGGCTGGGGAGGCCTCACAATCATGGTGGAAGGCAAAGGAGAAGCAAAGTCATGTCTTACATGGGACCAGAGAAGAGAGAATGAGAGCCAAGTGAAAGGGGAAACCCCCGATCAAACCATCAGATCTTGTGAGACTTACTCACCACCAGGAGAACAGTATGGGGTTAACCGCCCGTATGATTCAATGATCTCCCACTGGCTCCCTCCCACAACATGGGAATTATGGGAACTACAATTCGAGATGAGATTTGGGCAGGGACGCAGCCAAACCACATCAGCAACTATGAACAAAGCTGCTGTGAACGTTCATGTACAGATTTGTGTGTGAAGGCGTACGTTCATTTCCCTGGGGTGTATACCTCGGAGTGGAGCTGCTGAGTCAAACTGGAGCTCTGCGTTTCACTTTTGGGGGACTGCCAGTTTCACAGTCGCTGTACCAGGCTGCATTCCCATCAGCTCTGCGTCCTCACCAGCATCTTGGTGTTTTCAGTTTTAAAAAACTTCAGCCCTTCGTAGTGGTTTCTCATTGTGGCTTTTATTTGCTTAGAAATACTTCTTGTCCTGAGATGAGTGGGACTTCCTCTCCACCCCCAATTAATTCATGTATCCGTGAATGACTGTCACGTATTGCTAGAATGAAACCAATTTTTACCATCAATTCTTTGTCCCTGCAAGTGCAGAGAAGCCTTGTTTTCATAAGGAAGTCACTGGGAGTGGAATTCTTATACTCCTTCTGGGTAGTATGCGAATGTCACACGGCGATCTGTCATTGGAAGCGATTCTCACTGATCTCCCAGCAGACAGGTCCGTTTGACCTTTCTTCAAATTTGTAGAAAGCAGCAAAGTGGAAACCACCGGCTTGCAAAAGCATTTCTTACCCAATCTTTAGATGGGTTCTCGAAACCTGTGTCCGGGAAGTTCCCTCTGATTGGGGCTGGAGGTCAGGGAGGCTTTGCCCGTTGGCTGTAGAGTGGAGGGGTGGGGGGTCTTGTGACCTGCCCGGGGAAATGGCAGGCGAGTGACAAGCTCAGGAGAGAGTCCAGGCCCCGAGGATGGTTCCCTTCAAACTCCCCATGTCTGATCCTCTGGGAAGCTGAGGCCAGCTTTGGTTATTTGATAGCCACGGTGAGGATTTTGACTTAATCTGTGTATGCAACACATCACAGACAGTTTTAACTCTTGCATTCAAGTCTACCTGCTCATAAAACAGAAAAAAAGACAGGCCCCAGAAGGCATTCGGTTTTTTTTTTTTTTTTTTTTTTTTTTTGGAGACAGGGTCTCACTTTGTCACCTAGGCTGGCACAATCACTGCTCACTGCAGCCTCAACCTCCCAGGCTCAGGCGATCCTCTCACCTCAGCCAGCCTCCCAAGTAGGTGGGATTATAGGCCTGTGCCACTACACCCGGCTAATTTTTTGTATATTTTTGTAAAGATGGGGTTTCGCCGTGTCGCCCAGGCTGATCTCCAACTCCCAGGCTCAAGCGATCCGCCCGCCTCGGCCTCCCAAAGTGCTGGGATAACAGGCATGAGCCACTGCCCTGGCCCTTAAGTCATTCTTGTGTTTGTGTGTGTGTGGGGTGTGTGTGTGTGTGTGTGTGTGTGTGTGTGTGTGTGTGTTCCCGAGGGACTTAGCCTCCCGTGTGTCTCATTGGGTGAACATCTTGCTTCTGAGTGAGGTTTGATTTTTTTGTAGGGTGTGCGTTTGGACACATCCTTGGTCTTAAGCCCAGCCAACGACCTTAGCCAGGGCTCAGGGAGGGAAGCACCGCCTGCCCCACAGCTGGAGGGCTGGGGTTCGGGACACCCGGTCGAGCTTCAGTGTCTCTGATTCTGAGCATCTTTGACTCTGCGAGACTTTCTTCTCATGCCTTCACTTCAGGCGCCAGCCCCTGCCAACGATGGGACTCCACTACTTACCATGTTGATTTAATTTGGCTTACTTTTTTTCTTAAAGAATTTTATTTTAAAAGGAAGGCAGTCATATCTGTGAAATTATGGGTCCTTTGGGCAAGTAATAGTTTTCCAGTCGCCATTAAAATAAATACCTAACTATTAAGGACGTTCCTCCCAGTACCTCGAAGCAGCCTGCTACCTGCAATCTCTGCACCATCCCATGATTGTGTCCCATGCACCCTTCTTCCTGCTCGGCCTGCATCGCCCCTGCGTGGCCTTTTCCCCCCTCTCTGCCTCTCTCAGTCTTCGCCATCATCAAAGGCGCAATTCCAGCCATGCCCTCTCCTCCAGGAAGCACCCCTCCCCCATCACTCCTGCTTGCTGTTCTTCCCTGTCTCAGGACTCCTGGGGCACTTTGTATCTCAGTTGATACTAGAATGTTCTAGAATACCAGAAGTCCTGACACCAGTTGCTGTAACCCCAAACTCCAAGGACCTGCAGCATAAACCCCGGTACATGCCCTTGTGCTGGAAACGAATATTTTTGGCCGGGGCGGTTACTCACATTCCTTAGTACTCCTTGGCTCACGCGGACACCCATTCTTTCAACACATACTTATCCAGTGCTCACTACGCGCTAGGCACAGGGGGTGCAATTGTGGACCAGACAGAGGCGGCCCTTCCTCTCAAACAACTTTACAGTTCTGCCACTTACTAGCTGTGGGACCCTGGACAAGTCACACAGCCTCTCTGGAGACCTACTGTTCTCTCCTTTAAAGCAGGTGACTCAGATCTGCTTTGCAGGGACGTCTCCTGCTTTGCAGCGATGTCACCCAGGAGAGATGGGTGAAGTGGATAGTGAATGGAGTGGGCCAGGGCGGTGGTCCTCGGCTGAAAACAATGCCTCTCGGGGTCAGCGTGGGGCTCAAGAGGTGGCGGCCCCGTGGGTGGGTCCAGGGCCAGGGACCCTGTGTCCGAGCCCCTGCCCTGGAGCCATCCTGTCTCACCTGAAGGCTCTGCCAGTCTGGTCCACTGGCCTCCCGGCTCCCACGCGTGTCCCGAGCCGTCCATTCTCCAGGTAGCGGCCCTGAAATGTTAATCTGTCACAAGGGTCATCTTTGCTTGAATTGTGGGTGACTTTTCCCCATCCTGGGGGTAAAGTCCCCCCGACTTGTCTCTCCATCCGCGATCCCCTGCAATCTGGCTGCAGCACGCGAGACTTCAGGACGATTCCGAGCTCGGCCACTGGGGGGCGAGCTGTGCACACAGGTGGTCCAGAGGCTGCTGCCTGGGAGGGGCTGCGGATCACCCGGTTCCTGGAGCGGAGTGGATTGATTTTAAACTGGGGAAGCTGTGGTCCACAGCCTGGCTTCGGAAACCCGTGACCCCTAGAAATTGTATTTTACGTGTGTGTCTGGGCGTTTTATTCTGGGAAGCATTTCCTCAAGTCTTCAGATTTTCAAAGGGGTCTTAACCCTTTCTCTCTGGGGCCTTGGGAACAAGAGTGACAACCCTATAACAGGGCGACCAGGGTCACACGATGTCTGCTCCTCCTTAGCGTGCTACTCCCAGTACCTGCGTGCTACTCCCAGTACCTGCGTGCTACTCCCAGTACCTGCGTGCTACTCCCTGCTCTGCTCAAGTTGCTGGGTGGCCTTGGAGCAATTCATAACCTCTCTGAGACTGCCGTGAGGTGGGAGTGAAGATTGCTGTGTACGAATCTTTGAGAACCCCTGTAAGGGTGGAATCGAAATGGACGTGTGAGGGCTGGGCGCGGGGGCTCACGCCTATAATCCCAGCACTGTGGGAGGCCAGGGGTTCGAGACCAGCCTGGGCAGTATGGTGAAACACCGTCTCTACTGAAAATACAAAAATTAGCTGGGTGTAGTGGCGGGCACCTGTAATCCCAGCTAGACGGGAGGATGAGGCACGAGAATCGTTTGAACCCAGGAGGTGGAGGTTGTAGTGAGCCGAGATCATCCCACTGCACTCCAGCCTGGGTGACAGAGTGAGACTCCATCTCAAAGAAAAGAAAAGAAAAGAAAAGAAAAGAAAAGAAAAGAAAAGAAAAGAAATGGATGTGTGAGCATTCTGTACACAGCCTGGGACGATTATGAAAGCTCTCAAATGCTGAGCCTCCAGCAAACATTTATCACACACCTACTGTGTGCAGAGCACTTGCTGGGCTCTGAGAGGGAGTCAAGCTCTGAGAAGTCTGTGTCGATTTGTTCATTCCTTCATTCAGCAAATGCTGTTTGGGTGCTCACTGTGTGTCACACACCCTCATATTTATTGCGAATCGGCTTGGGTTAGGTTCCCCAGAAGCAGACACTGAGACCAAGATTCCTGGCCAGGGAGTGTCCCAGGAGGGCAAAGGGGACTCTAGCAGCCCAGGGTCACGGACAGCTCTCAAAGGCAGACCAACAGGTCTTGGGTTTTGGATACAAAAATGCTCCAAAATCAGGGGTGTGCAAATACAGTAAAAAGAGGATTCATTTGGATCTGCTTAGAACACCAAGGGTATCCGCTTCAGAAATACAGAGGTGACCGGGTGCAGTGGCTCACCCTTGGGAGGCCGAGGTGGGCGGATTGCTTGAGGTCAGGAGTTTGAGACCAGCCTGGGCAACATAGTGAAACCCCATCTCTACTAAAAATACAAAAATTAGCCAGGTGTGGTGGCACACGCCTGTAATCCCAGCTGTGGGAGGCTGAGCCACAAGAATCGGTTGAACCTGGAAGCAGAGGTTGCAGTGAGCCGAGATCTCACCACTGCACTCTAGCCTGGGCGACAGAGTGAGACTCCATCTCAAAAAAAAAAAAAAAAAAAAGAAGAGAAAAGAAAAGAAAAACAACAACAACAAAGCTGGACGAAGCTAGAAAGCTCCCTGCCCTCACAAACTTGCCTTCTAGTGGGAGAGACAGCTGGCGAGTAAATGCATGAGTAAGGTCACGTATGAGTAAGGTCACTCATAAGTAAGGTCACACATGAGTAAGGTCACTCTGGGAAGCAACGATGCCAGGATAGAAAGAAGAGCAGGGGGTGCACCGGAGAAGAGGTGCTGGGCAGGGGGGCTGCTTAGATGAGAGCACATTTCCGGAAGTTTCCTCTGAGAAGTGCCAACTCCTGAAGGCTTCATGGGAATCTGGAGAAGAGCACTCCAGGAACCGGGAAGTACATGTGCAAAGGGCCTGGGGTAGCAACACGCAGAACAGAAACGGTGCGCTGTGGCTGGAGCCCAGAGAGTGGGACTGAGTGGGAGAAACGCAAACTGCTTTTCCTCCTCTGTTCACCCCACAACAATCAACACAGAAGACTTCTGTGACCAAATATGGGGGGCTCCCCCCACAGCAGATCAAATGAACACCTAATTCTGCAGCGGATGCCAGCTGGGGGCCCTCTGATTCAACTCAATTCTGCCGCTGTCTACCTGGAGGCAGTGTCAGACCCCACAGGTCGAGGGTTCAGACCCCAGGGCGGCCCCTTACTCCCGATGCCCCTCTCAAGCCCTGGGATGTGTCACCTGTGCTTCTCACAGACCAGCTGTGAATTGGGGTTCCCACGACCCTGTCTTTGGGTTCAATTAATTTGTTAGAACGGCTCACAGGGCTCAGGGAAGCACTGAGCTTATTTATTATAAAGGATGTTAGAAGGATACAGATGAAGAGATGCTAGGGAGAGGCATGGGGGAGGGGCACGGGGAAAGGGCATGGGGAAGGGGCATGGAGCTGCCATGCTCTCCAGGACACCACCCTCCAGGAGCCTTCCCATGCTCAAAAACTCTGTCCTCTTGAGTTTTTATGGAGGCTTCATTAGGTGGGCGTAATTTTTAAAATTATATCATTTTAAATTTTTAAATGTTTAATTTTTGTAGGTTCATAGTAAGTGTATACAGTTGTGGGGTGCATGAGATGTGTTGACACAGGCATGCAATGTGACGTAATCACATCATGGGAAGGGCGTATCCACCCCTTCAAGCATTTAGCCTTTGTGTTACAAACAATCCAGTTACACTCCTTCAGTTATTTAAAAATATACAATCAAGTTATTCTTGACTATAGTCACCCTGTTGTGGGATCAAATAGTAGGTCTTATTCATTCTTTCTCTATATGTATATGGTTTTTGTATACATGGGCATGATTGATTAAACCACAGGCCATTGGTGATCAGTTTGACCTTCAGCCTCTCTCCCCTCACTGCTGGAGGTTGGGGACTGGGCTGAAAGTCCCAGTCCTGTAGCGCTGACTTGGTTTTTCCTGAGACCAGTCCCCATCCTGAAGCTGCCTAGGGGCTGCTGGCCACCAGTGAGTCATTGGCAAACTAAACACTTTGGAGATTCCAAGGATTTTAAGGCAGAAGACCAAATAAATATTTTACACGATCACAGTGGGAGGGGGTTGGAGGGAGATGGAGGTGGAGAGCTGGGGGGCCTCGCAGTTAGGATTTTAAGTACAGTGGGAAACCACTGGAGATTTTTCCATCAGGGAGGGCTGCGTTTGCTGTTTCTGCTGTGGGAGAGGCTGCGGGGGCAGGCGTGGATGCTGGAGGTCTGGCTGGAGGCAGTGGCCCTCCTCCTGGTGACAGATGGTGGTGGTGGTGGTGGTGGTGGCCTGGGCCAGGGCGGAGCAGTGGATGAAGAAGGGACAGATGCGGGGTGTATTTTTAGGGGCTGGAGCTCATAGAACATGGTGCTAAACTGGATGTGGGAAGGGAGGGGTGAGGACGCGTCCAGTGAGACTCTCAAGTGTCTGAGCCTGACGGCCAGGGGGAGGGAGGGGCTGCTTTTTGTTTGTTAGTTTTCATTTGTTTTTGTTTGCTTGTTTGTTGTTTGTTTTCTTTTTTGAGACAGAGTCTCGCTCTGTCGCCCAGGCTGGAGTGCAGTGGTGCAATCTCTACTTACTGCAACTTCCACCTCCTGGGTTCAAGCGATTCTCCTGTCTCAGCCTCACAAGTAGCTGGGATCACAGGCGCCCGCCATCATGCATGGCTGATTTTTGTATTTTTAGTAGAGACGGGATTTCACCATGTTGGCCAGGCTGGTCTCGAACTCCTGACCTTGTGATCTGCCTGCCTCGGCCTCTCAAAGTGTTGGGATTACAGGCATGAGCCACCGCGCCAGGCCATTTTCATTTGTTTTTGAGACAGGGTCTCTGTCACCCAGGCTTGAGTGCAGTCGTGCGATCATAGCTCACTGCAGCCTCGACCTCCTGGGCTCAAGTAATCCTCCTGCCTCAGCCTCCCGAGTAGCTGGGTCTACAGGCACATGCCAGGACACCTGGCTAATTTTTAAATTATTATTATTATTATTATTATTATTATTATTATTATTTTAGAAAGAGAGTCACACTATGTTGCCCAGGGTGGTCTCGAACTCCTGGCCTCAAGCGATCGGCCCACCTCTGCCTCCCAAAGTGCTGAGATTACAAGTGTGAGCCAGAGGGAGGTGCCACTAACTGAGGAGGGAGGCAGGAAGGTGGGGCTGGGAGCAAGTAGGGCCCCGATCCCCCAGTGCAGACCCGGGCTTAGCTCAGCATGGATTGAATGGCTGTGAACTCCCTGTGGGGGCTGCAGAGGGAGGAGTCAGGACACTGAGGTTGTTGTGTCACCCACACCGGATTCATCCCCTATCCCGGTCCACCCACCCCCAGGGCATCTGGAATGTGAGAGGCCAGAGAGAGAAAGCACCACCAGGAATCCCAACGTAGCAACAGCACAAATAACAGCAGCCCCTTTTGATGCTCAGGGGAGCACATGTTTCATGGAGCTATCCAGTGACCTGTACAGCAGGGAGACTTGAGGGGACCATTTCACAGATGGGAAGACGGAGGCTGAGGGGTGAGGCTATATTTGCAAGGTGGATCTTTTTTGTGTGTGTGAGCAATTGGTCGCGCTGTCTCCCTCTTTAGACTTTACGCTGCTGAAGGCAGGCACCGAGTTCTGTGGGGTTCGTGGTCCATGGGCATGCATGCAAATCAGTCTTTGCTGAGTTAATGAATAAATGATCTGGGGTGTAGCGAGGCTGGGGATGTGGTTGCGGGAGGGGAGTTCTGCAGACCTGCCCAGGGCCTGCCAGAGGCTGCACGTGCGGATTGTGGCCGCCAGGGGGCGCTGTGGGTCCAGCCTTCAGGGCGGCCCCAGATTCAGGGAGGCCCCAGCAGCCCGGGTCTCTCTGGCGGTCCCAGGGGCTGGGAAACGTCTGTTGTTTGAGGCTCTGGACATAGCAAAGATAAAAAATGAAAAACTGATGAACTAAGGCTGCAAGAACTATGTTCTCTTGTATGTTTACATGTAAAAATTTAACAGCTTCCATACATGAAATAGTCATGCAATATATTTTTGTGAAGTTACAAGGCTTGCAAAATTCTTAATGAACCATGTCCAGAGAGGGCAGGATTTAGAAAGGGGAAATTATCACAGTTCTTTTAATCTTGGTGGTGTGGGGCTCTAGGACAGTACATTCAAGATCTTCTCCAAAATCTGATTTGTGGTGTTTTTGTGAACTCAGAGTCCAGGCCAAATGGCTGGCTGTGGTCTCCCAGGGATGGGCAATCCTGATCCAAACCTCAGATGCCCAGAAGATATAAAATCTCAACACTGGGCCAGGCGCGGTGGCTCACACCCCTAATCCCGGCACTTTGGGAGGCCGGGGTGGGCAGATCACCTGAGGCCAGGGGTTCAAGACCAGCCTGGCCAACATGGTGAAACCTTGTCTCTACTAAAAATACAAAAATTAGCTGGGCATGGTGGTGAGCACCTGTAATCCCAGATACTGGGTAGGCTGAGGCAGGAGAATCACTGGAACCCGGGAGGTGGAGGTTGCAGTGAGCTGAGATTGTGCCACTGCACTCCAGCCTGTGCGACAGAGTGAGACTCTGTCTCAAAAAAAAGAAAAGAAAAGAAAAAAAAAGAAAATCTCAATGCCGGCCACTCCCAGCCCAGTCAGGCAAGCTCAGCTCTGGCATCCTGGCTTGCTCTCCTGGAACAGACTGTTGCTAGCATTCATTGAATCTTTCTGAGTGCCGTGCACTATTTTAAACCCTTGGCATATGCTCACTTAGTTTTCATCATAACCCAGGCGAGTGCTGTTATCATCATCATCTTCATTTTACAGATGAGGAAACTGAGGCACAGAGAGGCGAGGTCATTGTCCAAGGTCTTATGGCTGGAAAGGATCGGAGTCTGGATATGAATATTGGCCACTGGTTGGGGGGCATACATGCTTATCAGCTACTCTGCATACCTCCTCATTGACTGGGAACCAGAGCTTGCTGTGGGTGCTGGCTGAGGCATCCCACTTTATCTTATCCCTTATCCCAAGTGAAACTCAACTTGGGAACCCAGCTTCAAGAAACATAATTTCCAGGCAAAGGCAATGAATGCACACAGGTCCTGGCTCTAGAGCTTCTGAGGAGCCTGGGAGAGGAAAGGAGGTTGCAAGGCTCATTTCCCCCAAATCCAGTCCCAGCTCCATCTAGAAAGAGGCCCCCCGCATACCAAGCATGTGTCCAATCACTCCAGAAAAGCCCCTGGCAGGGGAGCATCCAGGCTCATTCCAGAGAGGTCAAGAATGGGAGGGGAAGAAGAGGAGTAAGAATAAACATGTCTAAAAATAGTGCTTGGATCTCCGAAACCCACAACAAAACAGGAAAGAGAGGGCAGGAGAACTGGGAGGGAGAAGCCTGGAGGTTTGGCTGAGGGAAGAATAAGGTGCACTGCCCTGGTGGGGGCTGTTTCTCTGACTTTCCTCTCTGAAGTCTTGGGAGCTAGGCTGGATGGAGGGTCTGAGCATAAAGGCCAAATATCTCTGGAGTCATGAGTGTTTCCAGATTTCACAACACGTTTGCCATGAAGCCTTAGCCCTAGCAAACTTCATAGCATTTAGAAGTCCTCGACTGAGGCAGAGGGAGGCTTTTAAGAGGGAGCTTTTTTTTTTCTTCCCCCTTTCAGGAACAGATGTTTGAGCAACATTGGCCATGATGCACATGTTTCTGCAAACCAGATCTCACTTACCTCCTCAGCTTCCATTGCAAAATGGGACTTCCACTCCCCTGGGAAAACATCTCTGCAGATGGACTGGAACAACTTGGCATGGAAGGTATTAAGCCTGAGGCTTGTGGTTGGGCCTGCAGTGGTTTCTCAGAACTGTGCAACACCCTTCTGGTCTCTGGGATTTTCCCTCTGCTTCTATGACCAGCCTCATCTGTTCTTTTCTGGGCCACAGGAATTTCTTCCATTTCAGGGAACAGGGACTCTGAGATTAAACACTGGCATCTCTGGTCATGCACTGTGGTGTGCTTGGCCCTGTGGTCTCTCTGTCTGTGGCAGTAACAGCTGTTTGAGGGAAGGACATAGTTTCCTTCATGATGTCAGCCTTGGAGATTAGGCAGATGGCAGGGTTTGGAAGCTAGAGCTGTGTGCTGAAGAAGATTGGATTCACTGTGTCCCTCAGGCAAGTCACTTTGACCCCTCTGTGCCTGTGTCCACTTCTGTCCAACAGGAATTCTAATTCCTGCCCCATCAATTTCAGATTCTCATGAGGATCATTAAGAAAAACATTTTATGCACTTTCAGTTGAAAATAGTTTGGGAAGATTTTCAAATGTGTCATAAAGCACTCTTGGAACAAACCCTAACATCCACGACCCAGTTTAGCTAAGTATTTACAAGGTCTAGTGGAGCTGAGCTGTAATACCACACATCACCAGCAGGTGCCACTGTCAAACACATCATGAGCGTTCTTGCACATGGGAGTAGTGTGGTTATCGTACATTGTGTAAAACTAGTTTTTTTAAATGGAGGGATGCATGTGGATCAGTGGAGGCAAGTTCAAATGCTTACAGAACTGGGCAGGCAGTGTAAATAGGCCCAACAGGCCAGGTGCTTGTTCATTGAGTGGTAGGGTAGTTTGTGCGACTGGCTATAGGGTAAAGGCATGCCCTACCCACAAGCATGGCTAGAGATCAAGGGGGTGGGTGTGGGAACAGCTGATGCCTTACCTCCCCAAAGTGGCACCTGTTCATCACTTTTAAAGGTACACTGTTGGCACCATTATTATTATTATTATTTTGAGAAAGAGTCTCATTCTGTCACCCAGGCTGGAGTGCAGTGTCATGATCTCAGCTCACTGCAACCTCTGCCTCCCAGGTTCAAGCTATTCTTCTTGTGTCTCAGCCTCCCGAGTAGCTAGGATTACTGGTGTGCACCACCACACCTGGCTAATTTTTTGTATTTTTAGTAGAGATGGGATTTCACCATGTTGGCCAGGCTGGTCTCGAACTCCTGGCCTCAATTAATCCACCCACCTTGGCCTCCCAAAGTGTTGGGATTACAGATGTGAGACACCGTGCCCGGCCAACACCATTATTGTTAAGACCATGATGAAAACATGTTAAAGTGTGAAAGTGAGGCGTTAGACCTGTGGTTAAAGACAGTGGCATTCTGTGTGTTGGATTCTGGGGTAATGACACCCCCTCCCTCTGCACTCCGGCCCAGGCTGCCTTCCTGTGATTGCAGAACTGATTACTGCCTCAAGGGAATGCAGACCAATGTTGCCAGATCGTCTATTTTTTTTTAAGAAGAGAATGTGGTTTTTTAAAATGTGAAATCTCCTGAGTTTTAATTATTGGCAACAAATTCCAATTATAATACTATATGGGCCAGCCAAGTGCAGTGGCTCATGCTTGTAATCCCAACACTTTGGGAGGCTGAGGCAGGTGAATTGCTTGAGCCCAGGAGTTCGAGACTGGCCTGGGCAACATGGTGAAACCCTGTCTCTATAAAAAATACAAAAATTAGCAGGGCGTGGTGGTACACACGTGTGGTCCCAGCTACTTGGGAGGCTGAGGCGGGAGGTTGGCTTGAGTCCAGGAGGTCGAGGCTGCAGTGAGCTGAGATTGCGCCAGTGCACTCCAGCCTGGGCAACAAAGCAAGACTATGTCTCAAGAAAAAAAAATACCATGTGGGCCAAATGAAACATGTCTTGGCCAGGACTCAGTCTGTCAGTTTTGAGGTGGTATTTGCCTCTGCCTTTTAGGTGTGTAACTTGAGTCTAAGCGTCTGTGGCTATCCACCTCTTTCTGGAGGTGTGTGGGTGGCTATACCTCATCAGCCTGATTCACTGAATGTGGTGTTTTTTGCATGAGCGGGGCTAAACAGATCCTACTGAAGGGCTTCGAATGATAACAGCTAAGACGCTAGCTTCTAGAGTCATAGAGAACTGGGTTGGAATCCTGGGTTTATGATTCACTAGCTGTGTGACTTTGAGAAAGTCACTTAACCTCTCTGAGCCTCAACTTCCTCATCAGTAAAGATGAGGATAATAAAAACACCACTGTGGTGGCCGTGAGTTCTAACTTTTACCTTCTGGGCACACAGGGGGATAGCACTTCCTGGCCTGCCTGTGGATGGGGGGTTGCGTTTGTGACTCGTTTTGGCTGATGAGCTGACAGCAAAGAATCACTCAGCTCACTTCTTGGGCTGCAGCATTTAGTTGCTGGTTCAGAGTTCTTTCCTTCCACCATGGTGACAGGCAATGTCTGAGACATTGGTGGATGTATTGCCTTGAGTCCCAGAATGAGGACTACATGGAGCAGAGCCCAAGCTGGCTTCTGCAGCGTGAGCAAGAGGCGGACTTTTGTTATTTCAAGCTATGGAGATCTAGGGGATTATTTGTTACTGCAGCATGACCTAGACCTCCCTGACTGACACACCTTCTGCACGGGCAGGGAGGAGTCGATGAAACGATGCATTGAACGGGCTTAGCACAGTGCCTGGCTCATAGCAAGTACTCGGTAAATGGCAGCTTCCTCTTCATTCATTCAGCAGATGGTTATGGAACACATGTTCCTGGCCAGGCTCGGTTCTAGGCACTGGGGAGAGAGGATTGAACAAAACAGACCCAAATCTCTGCTGTCATAGAAATCCCTTCCAGTGACAGAGTAGCTATTCTCTGCCCTCAGCTGCATGCCCAAGGAAAAAGGAGCCGTTCCCTTTGCTCTGGGGCCACAGTGCCTTGAAAGTCAGATCTGCAGATCCCACTGGTGGCAGACAAACCAGGGTGTGGGGAGCCCCTCCCTTTGGAGAAGGCAGCAGACAGACTGTGAGGACTACGGGGTTTCAGGCCAGGTCAACCCAGGCTGCCCACAGTGATGTCAGTGATGGCACCAGGCCAGCACGGACTGCCTGGGGAGTGGGTTGAAAAGAGTTGGTACAAGACACACATGCACGAAGCTGGGGGAGGAAGTCACCACACATCTCTGAACACCTAAAGGTGTAACATTTTCCAGCCAAGCTCTCCACTCTTTGATGCAACAGCCAGGGCTGTGGTTAAAATAGACATTGGGAATTTCTAAAAGGGCGCTCACATTTTCCAAGTGCCTTTTATGTGCTTAGTGCTTGCCTTCTGTTGCGTCTTTCCCTCCATACACAAATTCTTCAAGGAGAAGTTCTCCCCTTGTTACAGATGAGGACACCAAGGCTCAGAGAGGCTGAATGAGCTGTTGAAAGCTGCACAGTGAGGTCATGAGGCCGCTGGGATCCCAACCCAGGTCTCCCCCAGAGCTTGTGAGTGTCCCCTTGGCTGAGCTCTCATGGCATTCTTGAGAACAAGGGGAAAATACACACAAAATACTGGAGGCGTCCTGAGCCCCCTTCCCTTCCAGAGACCATCCCCCAACCCCCACTGGGGCCATCTTTTATTCTTCTTTCTGGTTTGAATGATTTTTTTTTTTTTTTTTGAGATGGAGTCTTGCTGTGTCACCCAGGCTGGAGTGCAGTGGTGCGATCTTGGCTCACTGCAACCACTGCCTCCCAGGTTCAAGTGATTCTCCTGCCTCAGCCTCCCAAGAAGCTGGTATTATAGGCACGCGCCACCACACCCAGCTAATTTTTGTATTTTTAATAGACACAGAGTTTCACCATGTTGGCCAGGATGGTCTTGAACTCCTGATCTCAAGTGAAGGTTTGGATGATTTTTGCCTAGTTGAGGACCTACTGTGTGCTGGGCCCTGCTATACATTCTACCTGCCTTCCCTCGCTTCACGCTCGCAGTGGCCCACAGAGGTGATTGCCAGCCTTACCCCATTATATGGATCAGGCAGCTGATGCACAGAGAGGATCAGCCACTTGCATGGGTCACACAGCCAGGAGGGCTCGATGTGGACTTGAACCTGGGGAGCTGGGCTTCGGTCTGTGCTCCATTGCTCCTGCTGCTTCTTGCAACCATAGGCTGGTGCCCTTCCCCTTCCTGGTGCCTGTGCGGCGCTTGTCCTGCTGCTGGTTATTCTCCCAGAGGCCCCTGCGGTGCCCGCTCCACACTCTCTATGGGGAAGGGGACCCTGTGGACTCCATACGCCTCTGGCGTCAGGCTGGGTAGGAAGCAGAGAGGCTGGAGTATTCAGCCCCTAGAGCCCTCCCTGCTTCTGGGGGTCTGGCTGTGGCTGGTGCCCAGTGACCATGACCGTGGGGCCAGCTCTGTCCCCTTCCCACATCTCAGCCCCTGCTGGGAGGCCCTTCCATGGCTCCCTCTCTCCCCTGCCTGCAGGTGAAATTCCTTTCCGCTGTGGGGGCAGCAGCTCCCTACCGTTCTGGCCCCTGAGCCCCAGCACCTCCCTGACCTTCCTGCCTGTGTGGTCGGTAGTTCCCCTCATGATAGCCTCGAACCATCGGACTTGCGTTGTCTCCCTGCTGGAGGAGCTGTGTGAGCCCAGCCCATCCCTGCAGCAGCCTCCACGGTGGGCATATCAGCCTCAATTACAGGTGAGGAAGCAAAGGCCCAGAGAAGTCAGGTCGTTCACCCAAGGTGACCAGCCTGTGAGCCCAGGCTGCCGTCTGACTCCAAGGCTGAACCCCTCGGTTGCCCTCACCACCATGGCGCCTGGGCACGTGGTCTTCCCGGAGCCTTGGTTTCCTCATCTGTGAAATGAAGAAGAAGGAGAACCTCCTCAAAGCGCTGATGGGAAGATGTTTCCCCTTCTTGGCGTTTAACGGAGCTGGGGCTGGCCTCCTCACTTCCTCCCCTCCCCTGCCAGTCTGGAAAGCATAGTCTTCCATCCCTTTAGCAGAGATCCTCAGATGTTAAAGCCTCATATTTAATATTTACACATCTTCTTCCAAAGCTGACAGCTATCTGGTATGTCTAGACTTTTCTCAACCACGTCAAGGCACCTAACATTCTCCAAATACCCATCAACCACTTCCCTGTGTGGCTGTTTGGACCGGGGCCACTCAGCCTCTGCTCTGCTGGCGCTGGGGCTGTGGGGCCGCCCTGTGTCCTCTAGGGTGTTTACCAGCATCCCTGGCCCGCGAGGTGCCAGGGCCACCCCAACTCCCAGTTATGACAACTCAAAGTGTCTACAGACACTGCCACCTGTGCCATGGGGGGCAGAATTGCCCAGGGTTGAGAAACCCTGGCCTGGAGCTTTTGTTTTTACTGGTCTGTGTTTGGAGCCATGATGATTTTTAAAGCATAAATTCACTTGCCCCTTCTTGTCCCCAGAAGTGTCAGGTTCCCATAAATGTTAGTGCTGACTTTTGGTTGTACTGTGGGTCTCTCTCTTGCTTTCTCTCTTTCTCTCTTTCTTTAAATCGAGATGATACAGTCTTGCTATGTTGCCCAGGCTGGTCTCAAACTCCTGGCCTCAAGAGATCCTCCCACCTTGGCCTTTCAAAGTGTTGGGATTATAGATGTGAGCCACCGCACCTGTCCTCTCTCTGCTGAGTCTCTAAAAGCCACGTCTGCTGTTCCACACGGGATGTCCTTGTTCCTTTCTTGAGCCATCCCAAAGCCTCTGTTTGCCTCGTCCCTGCAGACCCTCTCCTAGAAGCCCGTTCTCTCTGAACTTTGGGGACTGTTTCATCCGCCCTCAAGAACCCAAATGAGTTGCCAAATGGGATTTCCTCCAGGTGGCCCTTCCCTCAACCTCCGTGCCTCTTAACGCAATTAATTTCCTGATTAAAAAAAAATCAATGCCTGTCCCTCTGCACTAAATATTAAACTGTTTTTGCAGGACTGGAGTTGGCAGGCTGTTGATTGGTGGTGGGAGTGAAGTGCCCTCTGATTTGGGGGATGGGGAAGGGCACCCTGGAGACTGGTGGAAGCCCAGCAGATGCCCTGAAATCCTCACCTCCTTGCCACCTCTCTGCCACCCTGCAAGCTTTGTCATTGAGGAGGCAGGACACACAAGGTCCCCAGATATCCATTTGTCTCCCCTCATTTGCAAGTGCTGAATGAAATCGTTCAGCGTCCCCTGACAGGGCAGAATGCAGCAACTCCAAATGAGCTATTTATGGGCCATTTTTTTCAGCATTACTTGCATATTATAATTAAGAGATAATGTCAGTGGAATAGAACATTGTCACCGGGTAATGGTCTCCTGCTGCTTCTGAAATGTCAAGGCAAAGTCACAGCATTTATCAAAAATAAATGTTGGCGGGAAGACGCGACGTTTGTTTTCACAGCAGGGACATCAATCCTGGTTCAACGATATGGCAATGTCTTTATTTCTCTTCTCCGGAGTGATGGATGCCAAGGGATGATCCTGCTTGATGGATGAGGGGTCTCGCCGGTGCGGGGAGGCCAGCTGGGGCAGGGGCGCCGGCTGCCTGACCAGGTGGCGACATGCTGATGGGGTTGGCAGGAGGATTTTGGCTGCCTTCGGCCAGGGCTGGGATCAGCAAATTTGTTTTCCACTGATGCGTTGAAGGTGGCCCCAGGGGCGTCATGGCTCCGGTTGGGCAGGGCATCTTCTGCAGCTGGCGGCCCCGCTGATTGGGTAGGGAGTGGGCTGACAGTTGGCAGAAGTCCTCCTTCCTGCCACTGCGTGAGTCCCTGGGGAGCCGGGCTAATGATGGAGTGGCGTACCCTTGGTCAACCTCCGTTTCTGCATCGCTGCCCAAGAGGGAGCCAGCTTTGGAAAGGGCAGCGGAGACAGCCGGTCGCCTGCTGGCGACTCCTGGTGACGGGGGCATCTGCACTGCAGTGTGGAGGAGGGACCTCGCCTCTCACTGCCCTGCTTAATTGCATGCTCGGCTGACATCTCTTCTGCACTGCTGCCTCAGTGATCTTTCTCAAGTGCAAATCTGCTCATGTAGCTCCCGGCTAAAATCCCCCAGGCCCTCAGAATAAGGTCCCAGCTCTGAAATGGGGGGCACAGGGCCCTGCATGATCCGGCTCCAGCACAAATTTCCCAAAGGCCTTGCAATTCTTCCAAGCAGCCAGGCTGTGACATCCACGCACTCCCCGCCACCCAGCCACGGCATTTATCCTTGTTTTTTCCACCCGGAACTTCTTCTGTTCCTGCCTGGATGCAACCCCCAATCTGTCTTCTCCCCCTTCTTCTTCGGGCCTCTATTTTGATCACTCCTCCTCCGGGAAGACTTCCTTGATCTCTCAAGCCTTGGCTGTGTGCTCTTGCCATAGGCTATGCCTGGGCTCTTCACTTAATCACGTGTAGTGAGCACTTGGGTCTTAATCTTTCTCTCTCTTCTGAGCTGTGGGCTTCACGAAGGCTTTGCTGAAGCTCTATCCCTGGTTACAGAGTGGGTGTTTCACAAGGTTGTGTTGGAACACCTGAATATGCGAGTAAACAGATGGGGCCTTTTATATGAGTTTGTATCAGTTATCTATTGACAAAATAATGCTGCATAACAAATCACCTCAAATATCAGTGACCTCAAACAATAATCATTTATTAGGCTCATGCATCTGCAGGTCAGTGATTGAGGCTGGGCTTGGCTGGGCGGTTCTTCTGTCTCGGCTGGGTGGTTCTTCTGTTTCAGCTGGGCTCGCTTGCATGTCTGGGGGTGGCTGGCTATTGGTTGCTCCAGGGTGGCCTTAGCTGGGATTGCTGGGAGAGCTCTGCTTTGCTCTGCACATCTCTCCTCCAGCTGGCTAGCCTGGGTAGGATCTGAGATGATGGCAGAGGTGGAAGAGTACAAGCAGTTGCTCCAGGCTTTTCAAGGCCCACCTTGGCACTAGCACATTGTTACTTTTATCAGCTGACACCAGTCACAAGGCCATTTCAGATTCAAGGGGTGGGGGAGTAACTTTACCTCTTTGGTGAGAGGAATTGCAAAGCCACACAGCAAAGGGCATGCATACAGGGTGAGGTATAAACTTGGGGCCATCAACACAATCTATCAGGGAGGTTAAGTCAAGTCCTTACAACAGTGCAGTGGGTGTCCAAAAGGTGCCGTCCAAGCATGGCAACTCTTCTGATGGTGACAACAATGATGGTGTTCCGCTTTTTAAAATTGTGGCAAAATACATCTAACATAACATTTACCATCTTAACCATTTTCGAGTGTACAGTTCAGGGGCATTGAGTACATTCACACTGTTGTGCAACAGATCTCCAGAACTTTTTCATCTTGCAGAACTGAAACTCTGTCCCCATTAAACAAGCACTCCCATTTCTCTCTCCCTAGCCCCTGGCAATTGCCATTCTACTTTCTGTCTCTATGAATTTGATGACTCTAGCTACCTCCTCTAAGTGGAATCAAACAGTATTTGTCCTTTTGTGACTGGCTTATTTCACTTAGCATAATGTCCTCAAGGTTCATCCATTGGGTTAGCACATGACAGGGTTTTCTTCCTTTTCCTGGCTGGATAATATTCCATTGTATGGATGGACCACAGTTTGTTTATCCATCCATCTGTCCGTCCGTCCGTCCATCCATCCATCCATCTATCCATCCATCCACAAACCCTTATGTTGCCTCCACCTTTGAGCTCTTGTGAATCAACACATCAGGCTGCTATAAACTTCAGTGTGCATATATTTCTTTGAGATTCTCTTTTCTGTTCTTTCGGATATAAACCGAGAAGTGGAAGCTGAGCATGGTGACTCAGCCTGTAACCCCAGTACTTTGGGAGACAGATGTAGAAGGACTGCTTGAGCCCAGCAGTTTGAGACCAGTCTGGGCAACATCTCGAGACCTTGTCTCCAATAAAAATTTAAAAACTAGCTGGGCGTGGTGGCACATGCCTGTGGTCCCAGCTACTTGGGAGGCAGAAGTGGGAGAATCACTTGAACCCAGGAGGTCGAGGCTGCAGTGAGCCATGATCACGCTGTTGCACTCCAGCCTGGGTGACAGAGTGTGATCCTGTCTCAAATAAATAAATAAATAAATAAAACCCAGAAGTGGGTTTGCTGGATCTTAGATGGTGTGGCTTTTCGGCTTGCAGGAAAGGCCTGTGGAACACAAATGCCGATCCATGGGTTAACAGAGCAGCTGTTTACGGGGCAGATCTGAGGTCAGGTTGCCTGGTTTGGACCCCAGATCCTCTGCTTCCTGATTATGCTTCCTCCGTGAAGCCACCCACTCTGAGCCTCAGTTTCCTCCTCTGTGCAATGGGCGTGATACTAAGACCTATCCGTAGAGTGTGAGGACTAAACGGGTAAGGTGCTTACAACAGTGCCTGATGCATAGCCAGCTCTCAACACACAATACCCACATGTTGTTTTCCGGTGATCAGTGCCTTTGACACCGCCTTAGCCCCCCTGGAATGAAAGCACTGTAGTTGATGGCCGGCTGGCAGCAGTGTTCTTCTTCACTGTGGGAATACACCCAGAGTTTATCTCCTCCGGGCAAACCACAGGGACGACTGGGTTCATATTTGGTTACAGGTGCTGACACCACATCCCCTCTGCTGGGGTGTCTGGCCGGGGCCTTCGAGGGGTTGGAGCTGGTGCTAAGTTGGCGTTTAGCAGGGTGGGAGGGATGCTCCTTCTGCCGCTGTTCAGCTCTCTCTTTCCTAGGCCTGCTCTTCCCCCTCCACCCCTCCGCACAGATTGCAATTTCGGCCGCGGCAGGAAGAGAGGAATGAGCTTGCATAATAGAGGAACATTTGGTTCTTTCAGGCTGGGCCTGGAGAGGGGGAAGGCTTTTGTGCTGAAGTGTGCACCACGGGGGCAGACTCGAGAGGTTTCCTGTGTGCTGGGGCTGGGAGGAGCTTTGTGCATGGGAGGGATGGCCGCACTGAGGTCCAGATGGACGTGGGGGTGGGGACCGCTCCCCCAGGGAAGGGCAGATGGGGAGGGTGACTTTGCTGCTTCTCAGAGATGGGAAGCAGGGCAAGAGGAAAACCGCATAGGGCAGGGATGGGAGGCCCAGGCAGGGCTGGGCCTCGGGCGCCCTGGGCCATGCACATGGCCCCAGCAGACTGTTCTCTCCCCAGGGCCTTTTGGGCCACTTCCTGCACACCCCAGAGAGGTCTGTGGCCTCAGCATGGAGTTAAACCTGTGCCTTCCTGATCCAAGGGGATGGTTTTGAGCTGTGAGGGGGCCTCTCCAGGACCACTGAGTCAGAGGAGAGAGAGATGGGTGTGCAAACACGGCCAGTGCCAGCAGGTCTCTCCCCAGATGTGACAACCCTCACCCGAACCGGACCCCTGGCACTGCTGATCATCAGGGTCAGAGATGGGACATTCATTCCCACTGGATATTTAAAAGCCAGAGCAGGGGTCTGCACCGTGAGTCTTTGAGGGGCTTCCATAACTTCCAATGCCATGTCTGGGTCTCTGACCTGGCTCAATCCTCACAGCAGAGGGAGGCCAGGGGCAGCTAGCCAGGCTTTCCACAAGGATTTGCTGTGCATTGACTCTGTCCTGGGCCCCGTTCTAGATGCTGGGATACAGCCGTGAACAAAGCAGACAGAGATCCAGGTGCTCCGAGGTTTATTCTAGTGGAGAAGGAGGTGGACACGGATCAAGTCAACATCAAGGCACAGACAATGGCATTGTGGGGGTACACAGCCAGCCTCAATTCCTCACCACCCCCCACATCTGTGCCCTTTACCGGGTGGCAAAGAAGTAGAGTGCATTTCCCCACCTCTTGACTTTAGGTCTGGCCATGTGACTTGCTTTGGCCATAAGAAGGCAATGGAAATGAGGCTGTGCTAGTATTGGCCCTATCCCTTCAGGGACCTTGTATTATGCTGTGCCTCTGTCACTGGGTGAGACAAACAGGCCCTGGGTTAACTTGCTGATCCAAAGAGGAAGAGAGACAGGTGGGCAGCCCAGCCCAGCCTGGATCAGGTGACTCCCAGCCAACTGGCAGACACGGAAATGATAATGAGTGATTGCAGGTGGGAATCTTTTGTTACGCAGCATGTCGGCAGCAATAGCTAACTGATATAATCAGCTACTGCTAAGTGCTGTTATTAATGCCTTTTTATAGGCAAGAAAACTGAGACCTGCAGAGGTGAAGAAGCTGTCTTGAAGTTAGAGATGGCTGCGCCCAGACAAGAAGCCAGCTGTGCTAACTCCAGGTGGATTGTTCATTCATCCAGCCCATTTTTACCAAGCACCTACCATGTGCCTGTAATTGTGCTAGAAACTGAGGTAATTCAACGGAAAAGTTCCTTCTGTGAGCAACCTGTTAGAAGAGAGAACTCCTTTTTTCCTAGAGTTTCAGCAGAAGTCTGAGGTTTGGGTCCCATCAGCCTGGTGTGGGTCACCTGCCTGCTCTGAGCTAGTCATGGCTGCAAAAGAATGTGAAGCTCTGATTGACCAGGGTAGGTCACGTGTTCATGCTCCTCCCTGTAACTGGGAGAAGGGATGACCCCATCGGAACCAGACAGACTGAGAGCGGAGGAGAGATGGTTTTCCCAGAGAAAAAGGGGTGCTATTAAACCCCAAGAAGGGGAAATAGGTGCTGGGCCGATAAAAAAGAACAATGTATACTCCAGAGCTCCGGGGCCCTAATAAAGACCCCTGCAGCTCTCTGCTCCTTAGTGAATCCCCCCAAGGTCCAGGGCTGCTCCAACCCCCAAGGTCCAGGGCTGTGCCAACCTCCCCTGCCTCCGACACTCCTCGTGGGCGCTCTGCCTGGCTCTCGGAAGATCAGATGTGATTTATTCCTGGCATCTGTGCCGCCGCTTGCCGTGAGGTGCTTTGCAGCAGAACAATAAGTTACAGGGCCATTTATCTTGTTGGCGGCTTCGGATAAAATGAGCAGTCTGTGCAGACAGGGCCTTTAACGAACATGATCAGGGCTGTTCATTTAGAAACCAGGAGGCCTTGACATTGGCTTTAATTGAAGTGGTTAGCAGTAAGGGGCTTGGCTGGGTTTGTTCAGAATGGAGGGTTGCAGCAAAGGGCAGACCTGTCTTTGAGTCTTGTCTGTGCCTCTACTCTGTGTTTGACTTTGGGTAACCTTGGTGATCTCTTCCACACTTTGTTTCCTCACCTGTGAAACGGAGATGTATCAGTCAGTATCGGCTCAGTTGTGTTGCAGTAACAAACAACTCCAAAATCTCATGGTTTTCTAACAACCAACGTTTGTCTCTCACCCGTGCTATGTGTCTGCTGTGTGTTGGCAATGGGCTCTGTGCCATGTCTTCTCACTCTGGGATGCAGAGGGGGCCTCTGCCATGTGGAGCATCATCGGGCTTGAGGCAGGCTGTGCACTGCTTCTTAGAGCTTCTTCTTAGATGCAACTTACATCACTTCTGCTGACATCTCATTGGCCCAGGCAAGCCACACGGCCATGCCTGACTTCTGGTGGGGGACGGGCATAGAGATGAGAAATCCTGCCTGTGACTGTTAGCAGGAAAGCTGGAGAATTATTATTTATTAGAGAGAGCAGTTCTGCTGAGCCATCGTAGAGTCAGGGTTTTTTTTTTTTTTTCCTTGTCCCTCCTGGGGCTGCTAATCATCTGAGCCGAATCCATTCTGTTTTTCGCTGCCAGATTAATCATTTTCCTTGTGCCTCTGCCACATCACTCCATCTGCTGTGAACTTGAGTGCCTGCTGCAGGGCATTGAAGCTGGTCAGCCTGGCACTCAAAGAACCCCTGGGCTGGCACCTCTCAAGATAGTCAAAGCTGAGTCAGAGAGGGCAGAGACTAGGTATTTCTCACTCCCCACTTCGTCTCCAGCTTCCAGAACTGGCATACAGTAGGTGCTCAGTAATTATTTGGTGCCTGGCATACAGTAGGTGCTCAGTAATTATTTGGTGCCTGGCATACAGTAGGTGCTCGGTAATTATTTGTGGCAACTATGAAATGACTTGCCCAAGCCCACATGCCAGGTTGTAAGCCAGACAGGGCTCACGGCAAAGTGCTCACTATTGACAAGGCTCAGTGCAGCCGCCCCGCGGCCACGGTGTTTTCTGGCAGTCGGCGCTCGCTGTGCCCCAGGCCTCAGGAGCCGGCTGTCTTGTATGCATCAGTCCCTGGGGGTCCTTCAAACCACCCCCCAAGGAAGGCACTGTGGTAAGCAGGTTCTTTACTGAGATAGTCATCTGTGTTTATTCACCCTGTGATTTCCCTCCCTCAATTCCAAGGCAACATCCAGCCCTTTCCTCGATATTTGTTTTTCTGGGCAGAGATGAGAAGCCTCTGGAAGATAGTCCATCTATACTGGCCTTTTGTGAAAACTCGATGTATTAGTCAGGGTATAGATTCAGCTGCTGTAACAAAGAAACTCCAGGCTGGGCACGGTGGCTCATGTCTGTAATCTCAGTGCTTTGGGAGGTTGAGGTAGGAGGATCACTAGAGGCCAGGAGTTTGAAACCAGCCTGGGCAACATAGTGAGACCCTGTCTCTACAAAAAATACAAAAAAAATTTAGCTGGACGTGGGCATGGTGGCACACACCAGCAGTCCCAGCTACTTGGGAGGCTGAGGCAGGAGGTCAAGGTGGCAGTGAGCTATGATAGAGCCATTGAACTCCAGCCTGGGCGACAGAGCAAGACCTTGTCTCAAAAACAAACAAAACAAAACAAAAAGAGAGAGAGAAAGAAGAGAAACTCCAATGCAACATTGGCTAAAGCAAGAGAGAAGCTTGTTTCTCTCTACTGTAAGAGGGCTGACGGAGGCGGGCCGTCAGGACGGCCAGGAGCTTTGCCTTACAGTAATTGGGGCCCAGCCCCTTCCATCCTGTCGTCCATCCCGCCTGGATATGGTCCTCATGGCGTGGTTGAAGCAGTGTTAAAACCAGACCCACATTCCAGCTCTCAGAAAGGGGGAGAGGGAGAAGCCCGTGAAGCAGGTGTGGACACTTCCATTCACATTCCAGCAGAAGCAAGGGAAGGGGGAGCGAGGTCTCCGGGTCTCAGGCTTTGTGGCCGTGTGCCCAGCCAGTTTTACTCCCACAGAACAGGAGAACTACACGTTGGTCACACCTGAGCTTGCGAGGAAAGCTGTTGCTGGTTCTGGAGGGAAATGGAGAGAGGGAGCGAGATTTTCGTGTGCTGGGAGCAGGTAGTGAGGCAGGCCTGGTGACCTGGTTCTGCCGCAATGCTCTGGAGGTGAGGGGTCTAGAATTTGTGTCCTGCACCAGGAAGAGGGCGCCCTAAGCCAAGAGTTCCAGGACAGACAAGGCCCGCCCCCTTCACCCCAGAAAGGACCACTTCACAGTCCCCATTCCCCATCCCAGGTCTCTCCAGGGTGCCCAGGGGAACCAGTGACTGGAGGGACCTCATGGACATTTGGTCTTTGATCCGACCCAGCATGGAGGAGCCCCAATCCTGAGACTGAATCTTCCTTCATCCTGGGAGGATGGGGTTTGGAATCAGCCCCCAGTCAATTGGAAAGAAATAAAAATCAGTTATATCTTGCAGATCGGGGTTTGCGGCCTGACATGTATGCATGTTGCCTTGATATCCCTCTTATATTAAGTGAGGAGACTGGAGCTCAGAGAGGTCAGGTCACTGCCCTGTGGTCACAGAGCAAGTTCACAGTAAAACTGGCATCGGGAACCAGGTTGGCGGTTTGTAGACCCGCATACACTGTGGCTATGCTATTCCTCTCTGCTGGGAACCAGGTTGGCGGTTTGCAGACCCGCATACGCTGTGGCTGTGCTATTCCTCTCTGCTGGGAACCAGGTTGGTGGTTTGCAGACCCCGCATGCACTGTGGCTGTGCTTTTCCTCTCTGCTGGGAACCAGGTTGGCGGCTTGCAGACCTGCATGCGCTGTAGCTGTGCTTTTCCTCTCTGTGTGGGTGTGCAGGCACTTTTTGAAGTTTGGACACAGGGCAGGCAGGAGGCATTGGGGTGGTGGACGGTTCTGTGTACCTGAGGGCATAGGTGGCTGGGATTTGTTATGTAGGCTTGCCAGGGGTTCCAGAAATTTCAGCAGGCCACATTCTGGGAAACCTGTTGGAGGCTCTTGGTTACTTTCTAAACAAGTGTTTACCACTGGGCTGGGCTGGAAGCGGCTGGTGAATTATTCAAAGGCCATTGCCGGGGGGGATGTCCGTGGCTTCTGCCAAGCCCCCTCCCCGCCCCGCTGCCTGCAGTGTGCCTGTTTGGGGAACCGTCTCTCAGGCTCCAAGGGGAGTGACGGGAGTGAGCTGTAGGATGAGTGGCCAAGAGCTTAAGGCTGTTCTGCCACTTTTGGGCCAGGCCAGTTAATCCCCCTCTCTGAGTCTCAGTTTCCTCATCTCTAAAATGGACCCAAGAATACTAGTGCAGGGACAATTACATGAGAAAATAGGTCGCTATCTAGCCCAGTGCCGGGTGCAAGTAGCAAGTACTCAACATAATGCCAACATTTTCCAGTAAAGTGGAGCTTTCCTGTTCTTGAAGACTCAGTAATTTTTCTCTTTGGTGTGCGCCAAGGCAGAATTCTTGAACGTGCGTCCCAGGCGACATGACTAAGAATGTGTGCAGCAGCAGCATCTTCAAGCCTCAAAAGGAAACCCAGGCAGGCGCGGTGGCTCACGCCTGTGATCCCAGCATTTCAGGAGGCTTAGGTGGGAGGATCACTTGAGCTTAGGAGTACAACATCACCCTGGGCAACATGTCGAGACCCCATCTATACAAAAATTACACAAGTTAGCTGGGCATGGTGGTGTGTGCCTGTGGTCTCAGCTACACAGGAGCCTGAGGCAACAGGATCACCTGAGCCCAGGAGGCAGAGGCTGCAGTGAGCTGAGATCATACCACTGCTCTCCAGCCTGGGTGATGGGAGTGAAATCCTGTCCAAAAAAAAAAAAAAAAAAAAAAAGGGCCGGGAGCAGTGGTGCACACCTGCAATCCCAGCACTTAGAAGAGGCTGAGGTGGGTGGATCACCTGAGGTCAGGAGTTTGAGACCAGCCTGACTAACATGGTGAAACCCCCATCTCTACTAAAAAAAAAAAAAAAAAAAAAAAATTTAGTTGAGCGTGGTGGTGCATGCCTGTAATCCCAGCTACTTGGGGGCTGAGGCGGGAGAATCGCTTGAATCTGGGAGGCCGAGGTTGCAGTGAGCTGAGATCACACCATTGCACCCCAACCTGGGCAACAAGAGTGAAACACCATCTCAAAAAAAAAAAGCACAAACGAAACCCTGTTCCATGCGCAGTCACCCCCTGTTCCTTTCTCCCCCGGCCCCTGGCAAACACCAACCTACTGTACAGCTCTACGGGTCCGCCTGGTCTGGGCTTTCCATAGAAATGGGACCGGACACTGTGTGGCCTTCGGTGTCTGGCGTCTTTCACTCTGCATCATGTTTCGAGGTTTGTCCACTTTGTAGCGTGTCAGTGCTGAATCTGTTTTGTGGCTGGTCATATTCCATTGCATGGACAGACCATGTGTGGTTTATGGAGTCGTCAGCGGGTGGACTTTCGGGCTGTTTTCACTTCTTGGCTCCTGTGAATAACGCTGCTATGCACATTTGTGTACAAGTTCTTGCGCGGACGTGCGTCTTCGCGTCTCTTGGGACTACGGACATTGGAGGCCAGTGCACCCCTCGTGATGGGGCCCGTCCTGTGGGTTGTGGGACGTTTCGCAGCATACCTGGAGCCACAGCACCCTCTCCACCAGTTGTGACAGCCAAAAATGTCTCCAGACACTACCAAAGTGCCCGGAGTCAATCTCACTTCAGGTAAAATCAAGACTCATCTGTGGAGAGTTAAAAAACAAAACCTAAAACCTAGTCACAGAAGACCACATACACCATGACCCTTGTGTTAGGAGGTTTAAAAACAACTATGACTCGATAATCAATTCTTTTTTTTTTTGTTTGAAAGTCTCACTCTGTCACCCAGGCTGGAGTGCAGTGGCGTCATCTCGGCTCACTGCAATCTCTGCCTCCCGGGTTCAAGCAATTCTCCTGCCTCAACCTCCTGAGTAGCTGGGATTACAGGCGTGCATCACCACACCCAGCTAATTTTTGTATTTTTAGTAGAGACGGGATTTCACCATGTTGGTCAGGCTGGTCTCAAACTCCTGACCTCAAGTGATCCTCCCGCCTTGGCCTCCCACAGAGTTGGGATTACAGGTGTGAGCCACCTCGCCCGGCCTGATAATACATTCTTTAGGGTGAGCTTCTCGAAGTGTGTGGTCCCAGAGCTGCAGCAGCAAAAGCTCCTGGAAACGTGTTGGCAATGCACATTCTCGGGCTCTCCTCCAGACTTGTTGAGTTGGATGCTCTGGGCTGGGCCACAGTCTCCCAAGTGACTGAGCACACTGTCGTGTGAGAAGCACCGGTTTAGGCACAAACATGCTCATGCCCAAAGCCCACAGTGAGGACAAAATACGTGTTTATTTAAATCGAGGAGTGGGGCTTACTTCTGGGGAGAGTCTGGGGGCAGATGTGTCCCTGCCTATGTTCTGTTCTTGCATTGGGGGTAGCTTCATGAGTGTCCATTATATTGTGAAACAAATTCAAAACCACAAAAAGAAATGAAGAAATAAACCCATAAAACAAAACAGGTCAGGCTTCACCAACCATGGGAGTGAGTCACAAGACAATGATTAATCCGATTTTATGCACCTGAGGTCATGAAAGAACTCATGTGGACCATTACTACCATGTGCAGGTTTATTCATCAAGAGGGGAGTGAGGGCCCCGCTGCTGTCCACAAATAAGCTGTGGCCTCTGCTGTCTGTTGCCTCCGCTTTTCTCAGACGCCTCTGCCTCTGGGAATTAGGGGTAGTTGCTAAGATCTATTGAACAGTTGCTGTGTGCCAAGTCTGTTAGCTTAAGCTCTCACGCTGGTGCCTCTGAAGTCCCCTTTTACAGATGTGGAGACTGAGTCTGGGAGGTTCAGTGATTGCCCAAGGTGTGGAGGGGCTTGGGGTTGGAGCCCCAGGTGCACATCTGTCCACACAGGCCCTTTGCGGGGCTGAAGCAGGATTACTCTGAACATCCAAGTCAAGGCCACCCCGGGATTTCATCCAACAACGAAAGCCAAGTTCAAGGTGTCTTGGTTTCTTCTGAAATTGCCCTAACCTTACCTGTTAAAGGCCTGGCTGACTTGTGCTGTTCTTTTTCTTGAAGAAGTCCCCAAAAGATGAAATCACAAAGTCCAGAGCGGTGAAGACATTGCCCAAGACCCACAGCAGAGGCAGGATTCAAACCTGGCTCCCCTCCTCCAGGAAGTCCTCCAAGCCTGCTGCAGTTCCCCAACTCCCACAGAACTCAGGGGCTTAGGGACATGTCAGCAGAGCCTGTTTGCTTTCTAACCCAACACTACGGGTCGCCAGCCCCTCATAGGCAGAGCTCAGACCTTTGACTTTTCTGTATGTTCCTCCTCTCACCTCTCTGATCCTCTCCTGTCAGGTCAGTGTGAGCTGGGCGCACATGAGGCATCCAACAGGCCCTTTGCGTGTGAGTGGGCAGTGCAGTGAGGCAGCCTGCGGCTCAGGCATGGGGCCCCCTGAGCATTTACCCTTGTCTCCCCCACTTCAAATTGTTCGGGAACAGAGACACCCAACTCTGCGAATTACACTGAAACCAGGAAGGTCCCACTCACTCCCTAAAAGAATAAATCAAATGACAGCTAACAGCGACCAAACCCTTTCTATGTGCTCTGCACTCTGCCTGGAGGAGTATGTTTAACACGCAAGAGGGCCTCTCTATCATTACTATCCTCCCCATTTTAGAGAAGGAAACAGGCACAGAGAGGCTGAGTGACTGGCTCAAGGTCACACAGCTAAAAAGAGAGGGAGCCAGGATGTGAGTCCTCCTTGGGGTGGAAAGCCTCCAGCGAGGGCTGTGGTTTTGGCTTCCCATGGGGGAGGCTGGGGAACGAGGCCAGGAGGCCCCTGAGGCTGATTCTGGGTCTCTGTCACGTGGTTTCTCTTGGGTCAGCCAGCGGGGGTGGGCAGCTCTGAATGCAGGCTCAGCCCAGGCCAAGGAATGTCGCAGCGGCTGTGGCTCAGCGGGCCAGCCAGAGCGGAGGCTGGGGGAGGGAGTGGCGTCTTGGCAGCCGTGACAAATAGAAAACAGATTGTGTTTCCCTTTGCTTCCACCCCCAGCCGGGGGAGGGGATGTGCCGGAACCCAATTACCCACTTACAATGGATGCTCTATTGTGGAACGGGAGGCAAGGTCGGGGCAGGGGGAGCAGGCCCTGCCCGGGGCGCGGTGTCCCTGGCACGGCCCCGTTGCTCGCCCGCCCTGGCTGACCTCCCTTCCTCCTGACTCTGCTGCCAGCCCCGCCGCCCCCTCTCCTAGCTCACAAAGACCCAGCGCCCTTTCCAAAACTGGGTCTTCCTTCCAGGCAGCCTTGATTCTCGCTGTGGAGCCGCAAGGACTGTGGATCCTTGTCTGAGCACTAAAGTCCAGCAAAGGTTTCTGTCATTCCTTCCTTCCTTCATTCATTCTTTCACTCATTCATTCCTCCCCCACCAGCCCCCTAATCTCTCTCCTCTCTCTATCTTGTTAATGATCTGGAAATATTTGAGCATCCAGGCAGCTTGGTTCCCATCGAGATCCACTCATTGATTCACTAAATATTTACTAAGCACCCACTATGTGCAGGCACTAAGAATCTGTTCATTTACCACTGTTTGTGGAGTACCTACTGTGCGTGAGGCCCTAGACAGACTTGCATTCACTTAGCAGGTATTTGTGGAGCATCCACAGAGATACATGTTTGTCCAGTATTTGTGGAGCGCGTACTATACGCCAGGGAGTCATTCATTCATTTACCAAGCGTTGGGGGGGGCACCTACTACGCTCTGGGTGTTGGGGTGCCACAGTGAACAGGACAGACATGGTCTCTGCCCTCAGGCATCTTATGGTCCAGTGGGCAGGGGCAGACTCTTAACAACAATTTGATGTGCTGTGCATTTATTGCACACCAACTGTGTGCAGGCTTCTTGGAGGGCAGGATTAGAGATGCACGCTGGTCAATGTGAACAGCCTGAGCATGAATCAGACCTAGATTGGGACTGGGGTGCCGACTGCATCACCAAAGAAGGAGACTGACTTCACCTCCAAGACCTCAGTTTACTCAGCTGTAAAATGGGTGGTGGTGAGACTTAGCCAAGGGGCCTGGGAAATAGGAGTTTGCTTCTGTTGGGGACAGCTGTTGCTTTTACCAACTCAGCATCTGTTCCTCCTGGTAATGGCGCCCCGGATCTCGTTGAGGAAAACAGCTTTCTTCTTTTCTCTCATCATCTGTAGTTCAGGTGGGGCTGACCCCGCCTCCCTGGCTCCTGGAGGAGCACATGACCAAGGCTTGGCCAATCAGGTCATCCCATCCTCTGACAGCAGTCATTGGTCCAAAGGAGGGTCACATGATGTAGTCGGGTATCAGTGAGATTCTTACCTTAGGACGGGAGAGCCTGCCTGAGAATAAAACCAACCCAGAGGGCCAGGCGTGGTGTCTCATGCTTGTAATCTCAGCACTTTGGGAGGCCAAGGTGGGCAGATCACCTGAGGTCAGGAGTTCGAGACCCTGTCTCTACCAAAAAATACAAGGGAGGCTGAGGCAGGAGAATTGCTTGAACCCGGAAGGCAGAGGTTGCAGTGAGCCAAGACTATGCCAATGCACTCTAGCCTGGGCAACAAAAGCGAGACTCCATCTAAAAAAACCCAAAACAACAACAACAACAACACCCAGAGGAATGGAGAGAATGAGTCCTGGTGGTGCCATTGTGAGCCCCTGGATCCAGCTGTGCCTGAAACTCACCCAACCCCTGGACTTTTCAGTAACATGAGCCGATAAACTCTCTCCGTCGCTTCAGCCACTTTGAATTGGGAATTTTGTCACTTGAAGCCAGGAGCCCTGACTGACAAATAGGCCTTTTCTCTCCCCTTATTTCATAAAACACCACGCGTGGAACAAGCAAAATTAATGCCCCTGCTTCCTAAACAGCCGATGAGCAATGGCTAATGGTAGAGGCTGGGCAATGACTCCTTTCTCTTTGGTGCATGAGGACATCCATTCTCTGGCCGGCCCCTGACCTCGCCTCACTGAGCTGGAGCAGAAATCACTTAACCTTCCAGGCCTCGGCGTTTAGAGGTTTGTGATGGATGGTGCTTGGCCTCGTGGGCAGAAATGGAAAATTCTCGGCCGTCTGATCTGTCCCTTCTTTCTGCTTTTCACGGCTGGCCCAGGCAGGAGTCAGTGGCGGGATTCGGAGATGGCAAGCGTGCTCTGTCAAGGGCCAGATAGTCAATATTCTAGGCTTTGTGCGTCATGAGGCCTCTGTTGTGCATTCTTTGTTATTTTTTGTTTTGTTTGTAAAAACTCCTTAAAAATGTAAAGAATGACCAGGTGCGGTGGCTCATGCCTGTCATCCCATTGCTTTGGGAGGCCTATGCAGGAGGATCACTTGAGGCCAGGAGTTTGAGACCATCCTGGGCAACGTAGTGAGACCCAGTGTTTAAAAAAAAATTAGCCGGGTGTGGTGGCATGCACTTGTAGACCCAGCTACTCGGGAGGCTGAGGTGGGAGGATTGCTTGAGCCCAGGAGTTCAAGGCTGCAGTGAGCTGTGATTGGGCCACTGCACTCCAGCCTGGGCAACAGAGCAAGACCCTGTCTCAAATAAATGAATAAATATATAAAAATTTTAAAAATGTAAAAATTATTCCTAGTGTGCAGGCTGCGAACTCTTCTCCTTTGCTACTGGCTGGATTTGTCTCATGGCTGCGTTGTAATGGCCCCTGGATGAGGCCATGGTTCTGGGGAATCAGTGGCCCTTTTCTCTTTCCTGACTTCTCTCCCTCCCTTTCTTCTCCCCTCTCTTTCTTTCCTTTTCTTTTCCCTCCCTCTTTCCTTTCTTTGTTCTCTCTTTCGTGGGATAAAAACCCTTGTTCTCACAAACCCAGGAAATATCCTGGAACTATTTTGGTGTCAAAACTCATCCTTAAAAGTAGCCCATCTCCTTTGCTTGCCATTTCTCCCCATGGCACGTAGTACAATTTGTAATTATAGATTTATTTCTTTAATTGTTTTGGGGGTATCTGTTTCCTTGTTCTGAAATAGAAACTCCATGAAGAAGGAAAGCTGGGGAGGGGGTGCGGGGTCTGGGTTTCCAGGCAATTTGGGGCTGATTTCAGCGAATGGGGGGTGGGACATGACTGTGGTGAACTTGACAAAGGGCAGGATGCTGGCCTTGCAGCTGTGTGGGCAGAGCTGGGCGGGGCTGGGGGCTGCTGGAGTCGCCTCTACACAGGCAGGCTCTGGCCACGACCCTGAGCCATGAACGGAGGAGGGAGTGGGCTCTCGTCCCTGGCCTCCCAGAGACCACAGCTTGCTAGGGCCAGCTGGCAGGTGTGATTCTGCTCCTAAAGCTGGATCTTTCCTCTGCCGGTGGAAATCCATCGCTCTCCGGCTGCTCGAGAACTCCTGGCTACAATTTGGCAAGATTCGGATCTGGCTTCTTTAGGATTAAGGAGCTGCCGGGAGTCACAAGCAGAGACACTCATGTGGGTTCCGAAGGTCCGCTCTCTGGGCACCCCAGGCTCGGAGTATTCTAAAATCCTGAGCCATCCACAGGTTCCCTAACAGGACCCTTCTGGCCACTCCAACAGACCCACTGCCCGCGTCGGGGAGGCCCACGTTTCAGGCACTGTAGACCAGCGGGGAGGAAGCGCCTGGTGGGTCTTGAGCTGAGGACATCTGGCCTGGGTGGGGAGTCCAGGCTCTGCAGCCCCACTGCATTTTCTGTGGGCTCCACCGCCCCTCGGGAGTCTGCAAAGGGTCCCAGCGACTCACCCATCTGGACGCCCTTCCTGCGGCTGCCTGTTCACCTTGGCTTATGCGTGGTGGCAGGTGGCGTCTGCGGGAGCTCCAGAGCACTGGGCCTGGTGGAGCTGCACCCCCAGCGGGTGCCCAGGGGTCAGACACACCGATCCACATAAGGACACTGTGCCCGGTGTTTACATCCAGGTTTCATTCCATTGGATGGGAGCCCAGACCATCAAGTTATTAAATATTTATATAACGTCACTCATGCCTGGGCCTCTGTGGAGCAGTGTGACTGAAATCACTGGTGTATTTTGAGATCCCCCCATCTCTCATTCAAATTCCTTATCAGGAAATTCCTTCTCATTCAAATTCCTTGTCAGGACTCCCCTTTTGTCAGAGTCGATACCATTATTGTCCCTATTCCACAGAGGGGAAACTGAGGCACAGGACTGTTAAGTGCCCAAGGTCACAAGGCTTGGTTGCAATTCATTCATTTATTTATTGATGTACCATTCAGTGAGGGTGCTGGGGGTCACAGGTGAACGAAGCAGCCCCTGCCCCTGCTCACGGGGTCTGGTAGGCAGTTGGGGGTGGGGGCACAGCAGGGGGACTTGGCTAAAGTCCAGGAGTCCAGGAAATCTGTCGAGCATGGTGTGGCCCAAGGGTTGAGCGCCCAGTCCCTGGGGGCAGCTCTGTCTGGGTCCAAATTCTGGGTCTGTCACTTACTACCCGTGCCTCAATTTCCCCACCTCTTAGCCTTTTGGTGAAGACTAAATAAGTTGTTATGTGTATCTGTAATAGATGAAACAGAGTCTGGCACATTGTAAGTGCTGTATCCGTATCACCAATGATCATGATAAATGCCAGTTGAGTACATGAACAAAAAGCAATGTTTCAGTTCAGTCTTTGAGCATCCCTGGGTGACAGTAGCTAAAGTTTAGACCATGTGGGGAACAGTGTGCCAGCTAGAGGGAACAGCATATGCAAAGGCCCGCCCCACTGCTGTACCAGGGCTCAGCGTGGATCTGTCAAGGGATGAGGCCTTTCCCTGGGGGCCCACAGAGGATAAATCAGAAAAGAACAGGCAGGTATGTCTGGGGAGGGGGGCGCAGAAGAGAGGGAGGGAGCCTGCCTTGGACCATGTGTCTCAGACGCACGTGGGAACAAGAATGGCAGTGACCTAGTCATCGGGTAAAATGATAGCTCAGTTCTGGGGACCAAGACCAGGACATGCGGGTCCTCCTGGGAGGCTTCTCTTCTGACTCCTCTCCTGGCCCCATAAAACCCTCCTTGCAGGGCCATGGCCGCCGAGCTCTTCGGCTGTGGAAAATGAGGAGGCTGCTGCCTCCTCCAGGTGTGTGGAGGGAGCCGCTGTGACTTTCATCTGACAGCGAGCTGCTTCCTGACCAGAAATGACTCAGAAAGATTTGTCGGCAGAGTGCTGCAGCTGCTGTCCCGGGATCAACTGGGAAGCGCTGGATCTGGGTGGCAGGGCCACTCACTGCCCATGGAACTCAGGCTTTCTCCAGGACTTCTGTCTGGGTCGCCTCTCTCTGAGGAAGCCGCCACCCCCAGAGGGAAATGACTGGCCTGCCATTCACCCCTGGGAAATCCTGCCAAGGCTTCTCTCTGCCCTCTTGTTCTCGTGATGGCCACTGAGGGAGGGCATGTAGGAGGGTGTTTATTCCATCAGCAAATTGTTATTCAATCAACACACATTTTCTCAGTGCCTCCTTTGCTAGGTGCTGATGAGACAAAGTTATAGGAGGTGTTGTCTTTACTCTCAAGATTTCAGCCTCATGTGAGAGACACATGCAAGCTGGTAATTTCTCACGGTGAAATCTTTATGGGTTGGGAGTTAATTCAGCCAGGCTCTCTGTTTGCAAAAGGTAAAACAAAACAAAGCAAAACAAAAGCCTCCAACTAGCTTAGGGGAAAAAAGGAAATTTAATCATCATGATATAACTGAAAAGTTAAGTACATACCTTCAGGTACAGCTTGATCCGGGGGCTCAAAATATTCACCAGGATTTACTTCCTCTCCATCTTGGCACCCTGCCTGCTATGGTTCTGATTGCTATGGTGGGCAAAATAACCACCCCCAAAGATGTCCATGTCCTAATCCCAGGAAACATGTGAATATGTTAGCTGACATGGCAAAAGGGACCTTGCAGATCTAATGACGTTACACGTCTTGAGATGGGGGGATTCTCCTGGATTATCATAAGGGTGATGTAATCACAAGGTTCCTTATCAGTGAAAGAGGAGCATGAGTCAGAGAGAGGAGTTGTGACTGCAGAGGCAGAGGCAGAGGCAGGAGTGATGGCTTTGCTGGAAGGGGCCATGAGCCTAGGAGTGCGGGCAGCCTCTAGAAGCTGGAAAAGGCAGAGAATGGATGCTCCCCTGCAATTTCCAGAAGGAACACAGCCTTGCCAACATCTTGCTTTTAGTCCAGTGAGGCCCGCTGTGGCCTTCTGACCTCTAGAACTGTAAAATAATACACTTGTGTTGTGTTAACTCACATCTCCCTTGGTTCCAGTCTAGGGGGAGATGGAATATTTCCTCCCTGGTAACTCTGGCACAATTACCTAGCCCTCCCTCTGATGGGACCAGCTCGGGTCGCATGCCCGTCTCTGAGCCAGTCACCTGGCTAGCAGTGCTCTGACTGGCCAGGCCTGGGGCACAGGCTCTGCCCTTTCAGGGGGTGGAGGCCACCTGACTGTCCTGGACTGCGTGGAGGAAATTCAGAGTGATGCCCCCATTGAAAAGGGGAATGAGGCTGCATGCAGTGGCGCACGCCTGTGATCTCAGCACTTTAGCAGGCCAGTGTGGGAGGATTGCTTGAGCCCAAGAGTTCCAGGCTGAGGTGAGCTATGATTGCATGACCGCACTCCAGCCTGGGCAACAGAGCGGGACCCTGTCTCTTAAAAAAGAGAAATGAATGCGGTGTACCCCAAAACAGTACCTGCTCTCTACAGCAGGGGAGGGAGAACTCTCACCTGGCCCTGAGGAAGGAGGGAAGAGCACTGGGGGGCATGAGGAGACCTGAATTTTATTCGCCATTTCCGGTCTCATTCATGGGCTGTGTGACCTTGCGTAGGTGGTGCAACCTCTCTGGCCCTCCATTTCCGCACCCGTAAAATGGGGCTGATAGTCACGGCCTTGCATCTTCCTGGGCTGGGATCATTCTTGAGCGACAGGCTGGCTTGGAACGAGCCCCGTTGCCGTGCAGCTAGCCCGGGGCTCCCGGAGGGTGGGCGTTTTCATGCCTGGGCAGCCTCTCGTTTGTTTTCTCAGTGGTTTTGCTTTATCGGGGCGTTAAATGGAATCTTCGTCCTGTGACTCAGACTTCAAAAGAGACGCGTGACCTCCTGGGTTAAGCTGCCTGGGGCTGCTGGTGCCGGGTGAGAAGGCAACGCGGCGCCTTCCGTGTGTGGTCCCGGGGCCCCCAACCCAGGCCGCCTGCTTCTCTTGCTGACCCTGGCCACCGCCATCTCCATTTGTCGGGGTTTCTGTCGGAGTAGGAGCACTGGAGCTTTGACCCGTTTGTTGAGAAGGAAGGGGCTTCTCGGCCAGCTCGCCTTCCAGTTTGGTTCAGAGCAGGTGCCCAGGGTCACATGACACATTAATCAGGACTGACTGGCTGCAAATGGCAGAAAGTCAAATCAGGTGGGTGCGAAGCCCAGCTCCACTACCTATTAGCTGTGTGACCCTGGGCAAGTTACTTAACCTCTCTGAGCCTTGGTTTCTTAATCTGTAAAATGGCGATGATAATAGTATTTACTGCACAGGGTTGTTCTGAGGATGAAATAAGTTGATAGAAAGTGCTAGAACACATCTGGCACGTAGCAATGCTCCAGAAACGTCAGATCTTATTACTCATTGGCCTCTCCTCATAGTGAGGTGGGAGCAGGTACGCGGGGTGTCTGATTACACTTTGGATAGAAAAGGCCTTCCTGTCATCTCGCCTGTCTCGTCTTCCCACAGCAGCGGGAAACAGCCGGGGCCTGGCCAGCATGTGGTCCTGAGCAGGGGCCTGGGGACGGCCTCGGACCCTTGGGAGGTACAGGGGAAGGCCACCTTGCTGTTGGGTGGCAGCCAGGGAAGGGTTAGTGACAGCTCATGTCCTGGAACTTTCTGTGGAAGCTGGATCTAGAGTAGAGAGTTTGTGAGATGACCCTGGCCGCACACTGGTTACCAGACAACTTCATTCCCACACATCCCGGGAGTGGGGTGTCATCCTCCCAACCACCCTCATGCTAACTTCCTGCCCATGGGAAATGGGCCTCCGAGTGGCTAGCTGGCTCCCTTCATTGCCTCCATTTAGCCTTCACCATGATCTTTGAGGTGTTACTGTTCCCATTGTACAGATGGGGAAACTGAGGCCCAGAGAAGTGAAGTCACTTGCCCAAGGGCACACAGCTAGGAAATGGCAAGGCTGAGGCCTGCTTGGCTTCTTGGCCTTAGCTGGGAATTCTGATGCAGTTTGGCTTCCTGTGCTATCACTATTGACCTTGAGGTTGGCTAGGAATCCACCTAGTCACTGCGCAGATGCAGAGCCAGGCTCTCTGCAGCCCAGGGCTCTGACTTGGACGAGGGCACCAGAAAAATGGGATTTTCCTTCTGCATGGCCCATGTTAGAGGTTAGGGTTAGGGATTTATCCCCAGCTCTCCTGGCAAATTAAACCGCATCTATGCTCAGTGTGCTGCTGGGGACTGCGGTGAGTTCAAGGGCATCTGGATGGGCGCTGGTCAGGGAAGGGGCGTTTGAGCAAAGCTTTGGGAGGTGGGTAAGAAGTGGCTTTGAAGAACTGACCGGATTGGTTAGCATGCCTCAGCTATAGGTAACAGAAAACCCAGCACACTATGGCGTAGATGACAAGGCCATTTAACTTAAGAAGTCCGGAGGTATGAGTTCCCCGGTGTGGCTCAGCCCCTCAGTGATGCTATCGAAGACCAGGCCATTCAGTGCGTATCACGCTGCCATCTCTCTTGTCTCAGGGTTCCAATATGGCTGCAGCTGCTCCAGACATCAGTTATTTACACTGCAACCTCTCAAACTGGAAGAAAGGGGCTGGGTGGGGAGAGAGGAGGTCTTCTCTGTGTGTTTCTCTTATATCAGGAAGCAAAATCTTTCCCTGAGTTCCCAGCAGACTTCCTTTGATGCCTCCTTGGTCAGAAGTGAGTCACATGACCACACCGAGGCCCGTCGCTGGCACAGCAGTGCAGAACGATCATCCAGCTGTCTCACCGCAGGGCTGGACCTGGGGCTGCCCCTGTAAAATCGGGAGCATGGACAGTGGTGTCCGGGCCGTGTCTGTTCATGGACAGGCACTCATTGAGCACTTACTGTGTGCCATTCACCCTTATTACTGCCATATCAAAAGAAAGATCAAAATGAAATGTTTTGGAGGCCTCTTGTTTAACTCTCACATTTTACCAAAGGGAAAACTGAGGCCTGGGGTGGCTTGGCGACTTCATAAGTCACCCAGTGGGTTAGTGGCAGAATGCTTGCCTGTCTGTTCACTGTTGTACCCCAGTCCCTGGAGCAGTGGCTGGCACTCAGGAGGACCTCAGTAAGTGGTGGATGGGTGGGTGAATGTGTGGGTAAGTGGGTGGGTAAGTGCGTGGATAGGTGCGTGGGTGGGTGGGTGCATGGGTGTGTAGGTGTGCAGGTGGGTGCATGCGTGGCGGGTGTGTGGGTGCGTGGGTGGGTACGTGCGTGGGTGGGTGGGTGCATGGATGGATGCATGCGTGGGTGCGTGCGTGGGTGCGTGGGTGGCCGGGTGCATGCATGGGTGTGTGCGTGGCTGCGTGGGTGCATGGGTGGGTGGGTGCGCGGGTGCGTGGGTAGGTGTGTGGGTGCGTAGGTGGATGCGTGGGTGGGTGGGTGGATGGATAAATGTTCTCAAGGAGCTGCTGGGTGGAGACAGGAGTCAGAAATTGTGGTGGTAACCACAGCACCACACTTGTCTAACTATCTGACTTCCATCCCTCCTGCTGCGAGCTTAGCTCTTTGTGGGTACACCTTCATGGCAGGGCAGAGGGGAGCTGGTCGCCACCCTTTTTGTGGTCTGTTTCTTTAAACAAAGTCCCACTTCCACTTCTGGGGAGCTTGCAAAGCCCTGTCCCGGGTGGCCCTGGCGGGCAAGTTGGGCGGGTGGGCCTCAGCCCCCAGGAGGTATTGAGAGGCCCAGGGAGAGGGAAACCCTGGGCACAGTCCCAGGGAGAGCTACGCCAGGAGGCAGCAGCGGGGAGGGCTGGGCAGTGGGGTGGGAAGCATTTGGGGGTTCTGTTTTCAGTTCCTGTCACTGCCCTAAGCTCCCCTCACATCTGGGGGAGCCTTGAGAGATGATGGGGGGCCCTGGAGCTCCTTGCAGAGCCCTAGGCACTACGGGTGCTCTTAGGTTCTAACAAGAGCTGGGCTTCTCAAAACTGCACACAGCTCAACCAAGAATTTTGCTAAAATGCAGGTTCTGCTGCAGCAGACCTAGGGTGGGGCCTGAGACTGCGTTTCCAACATGCTCCCAGAGTATCTGGGGCTGCTGATCCATGGAGGACACTTTGAGTAACACGAGTTTAGAGCAATGCTTGCAAATTGTTTTATTTTATTTTATATTATATTTTATTTTATTTTAATTTTTTGAGATGGAGTCTCATTCTGTCGTCCAGGCTAGAGTAGAGTGGCATGATCTTGGCTCACTACAACCTCTGCCTCCCAGGTTCAAGCAATCCTCCCACCTCAGCCACCCAAGTAGCTGGGATTATAGACATGTGCCACCATGCCTGGCTAATTTTTGTATTTTTAGTAGTGACAAGGTTTCACCATGTTGGCCAGGCTGGTCTCGAACTCCTGACCTCAAGTGATCCGTCCACCTTGGCCTTCCAAAGTGCTGGGATTACAGGCGTAAGCCACTGCTCCTGGCCTGTTTGCAAATATTTTAAAACACAACCCCTGGTAAGAAGTACATCTTGTAACCCTGCACACATACATGCGTGTGTACACGCACACACACACACACACACACACACACACACACAAACGAAACTATAATAAAAGCTTCAGGAACTTGCTCCCTGGTTTGCCAAGGGTCGCATGGCATACTAATCAGGACTTACTGGTTGCAAGTGACAGAAAGTCAAATCAAGGGGGTTCAAATCTCAGCTCTACCGCTTCCTAGCTGTGTGACCTTAGGCAAGTCACTTAACCTCTCTGAGCACTAGTTTTTTAATCTGTAAAATAGAGGCCACCTTCTGTGGGCAGCTGGATTTCTTTTCTATTTACCGGCAGCAGCCATTGGGAATTCCCCAAGGGCCCTGTGCTGCTGGGGGAATGGATTTTCTATCCCACCCAACTGAGTCTAGTCCTGACTCCTCCGCCCTTGGGCCTTCCATCTTCTGGTTCTGTGAAGTGGCAGCTGCCGGCCACCTCCCAGGCCCTCCTGAGGCTCCTGAGTCTGGCCTTCTCCTGGCTTGTCCCTGCTTTCATTTGAGCCTTTCCCGAATCACCTGATTGCATCTACTTCATGCAGGGTGAGGACTTCGCAATTTGTGCTGTAAATTGCCCAGTGGAGGGTTCTGCTCAGACAGTGGACACCACCCTGGGGAACTCTGGGAGATCCCTGGACTGGCCCCCTCTGGGTTTAGCATCTGCACCAGGCCAAGCCTCCCCAAAAGCTTTGTCCTCTGTGGTAGGCAGAATCCTGCAATGTCCCCTAAGCCCCTCTCCCCTGGTGTCCACGCCTGGGATAATCCCTCCCTTGAGTGAGAACGCGATGGGATAGTTGTTGCCTGGATCAGGTTACGACATGTGACAAAAAAGTGATGGTGTAGTCTCTCCCATGACCGCATGACACCATGGGGAAGTTGCAGTAGCAGAGGAGCTCCCGGCGGCTTTGAAGAAGTCAGCTCCTGCGCTGCAAGCGGAGGCCTGAGAGCCGAGAGCCAGCCCTGGTGACAACCAGCCGGAAAGCGGGGCTCCCACGCCCCCCGCAGGCTGCCTCCCTATACCTGACTCTGAAAAGGAACGCTGGCCAGGAGCGGTGGCTCGCGTCTGTAATCCCAGCACTTTGGGAGGCCGAGGCGGGCTTATCACTTGAGCCCAGGAGTTCAAGACCAGCCTGGGCAATGTAGTGAGAGCCCGTCTCTACAAAAAATACAAAAAGTAGCCAGGCATGGTGGCGCACACCTGTGATCCCAGCTATTCGAGAGGCGGAGGTAGGAGGATCTCTTGAGCCCAAGAGCTCGAGGCTGCAGTGAACTGAGGTCACACCACTGCACTCCAGTCTGAGGGACAGAGGGAGATCTTGTCTCAAAAATAAAAAGAAGGCTGGGCGCGGTGGCTCACACCTGTAATCCCAGCACTGTGGGAGGCCAAGGCAGGTGGATTACCTGAGGTCAGGAGTTCAAGACCAGCCTGGCCAACATGGTGAAACCCCATCTCTACTAAAAATACAAAAATTAGTTGGGTGTGGTGGCACATGCCTGTAATCCCAGCTACTCGGGAAGCTGAGGCAGGAGAATTGTTTGAGCCCAGGAGGCCGAAGTTGCAGTGAGCCGAGATCGTGCCACTGCACTCCAGCCTGGCCGACAGAGTAAGACTCTGTCTCAAAATAAATAAAATAAAATAAAATAAAATAAAATAAAATAAAATAGGAATGCTTCCAAAGAGCCCTGCCTGACACCTCTGCTTGTCACTCATTGATGACCTGTGTCTGCAGGGGAGGGTGGCAAGGGCACTCTTCAGTGGGGCACATTGTCACCCCTGAAAACATCAAAGGTTGGAGCCAAACTCCTGAGCCAAAGACAGCTTCTGGCCGGGTACAGTGGCTCACGCCTGTAATCTCAGTGCTTTGGGAGGCCGAGGTGGGAAGATTGCTTGAGGCCAGGAGTTCGAGACCAGCTTGGGCAACATAGCAAGACCCCATCTCTATTTTTTAAAAAACAAAAACCTAAGAACAGCTTCTTAACTGCTCTGTCTCCAGGATTTCTGGAAAAAAAATAAAAATTCCCAAGCAAAGCCTAAGGTGTACTCTTGGTATGCTTGGACTTAATACCAAATCCATATGGAGCCAAGCACAGCCAGACCCTCCAGCCACATCTGCCCACACAACCTCAGGTGCCCAGCGCCTCGCCGGCCACTCAGCCCTTCCTGTTCCTGGAGCCCACCTGGTTCCTTCCCACTTCAAGGTTTCTGTGCTTGGTGTTCCTCCGTCTGAATGCACTTCCCTGCCGTCTTTGCAGAGCTGGCTTCTCGTCCAGTTTTCAGCTCAAGGTCAGCTGCTCAGAGAAGCCTTCTCTGACCTTCAGGTAGACAAGCCAAACTCTGAGCAGCACGAAGCTTTCTCTGCCGTTGCTGCGTTTGTTTGCTTTCTTGTTGACTGTCTGTCCTTCCCCAGGAGGCTGCCAGGCCTAGTGGAGGGAGCTTGTTCCCGACCACCTTCTGGGAACTCAGAGAAGGCTCAGGCACATGGTGGGCTGAACGAAGGAAGGTGATCACAGACTGTGCATCGCTCCTCCCCGGCTGAGGGGGGGTGATGGGAGGGGACCGCCTTCATTCCATTGTTTCTAAGTCGCCCTTCATCTTCAGAGCTGCGTTCAGGAATTGCTAAGATGTTTCCCCCAGGGAAGTGAAAAAAAGCTTTTTAAAAGAGAGGGAGAGAGAGAGTGAGAGAGCACGCTCAGACTGAATGTCAGTGGCTGCCTGGGCTGCGGCCAGTGGTAAGGTCAATTTGAGTGGCCCCTGGCCCCAGCTCCATACCTGATGTCTCAGTGGAGTGTGGGGAACAGAGGCCTGGGACCCCCGCTCAGAAGCCTCACGGGTAGGGCTCCTGGAGGTCACCCCTTGTTCCCACGTGTGACCCTCATTGGGTCCCCTTGGGGCCTAGAGGACATTTGGGAACTGAGACCTGGTGTTTGGGACGAGGCTGCCTGGCCCATCTCTCAGCTTTTGCCGTGTCACTTTGGGTGAATTCTCAGGCCAGCAAGCCAGACATTCCTGAGATAGCCACCAATTCCGTTAAACAACAATCTGTGAGCCAGGCAGGCCCTGGTGGTCAGCTATTTAGCAACCATTCCCTTCTTTTCCTCTCAAATGGTCTGGATTTTATTTAGGGGGTGAGTCTCCCTGTCCCAGGGAATTGATTGTGATAGATCTAAGGGAATCCTGTTTCTTCTTGGTCTAGGGTGGGCATGAGACCAAGCTCTAGCAAGCAAAATGTTAGGGAAACTCGGCTGGGGGCAGATTTTAATAAGAGAGAAACGAGAAGAAAGTGCCTCTTGCTGCCTCTCTTCCTTCCTGCTTGGCTCACTGGGTGAGGGTGAGGGTGTGTTGTCTGGAGCCACAGCAGCCACTTTATGACTATGAGGGAAAACAGGGCTGACCCACTGAGAATGGTGGAGCAGAAAGCTGGGAAGCTCCTAGGTTCTTGATGATTTTATGGGGTCAAAATCATCCTGAAACTGCCTTTCCCTAGGCCTTCTGTTACATGAGTGTCTTAGTTCAGGCTGCTGTTATACCAGCAGTCCCCAGCCTTTTTGGCACCACAGACCAGTTCTGTGGAAGACAATTTTTCCACGGCCTGTCGGTGGGGAGGATGGTTTCAGGATGAAACTTCCACTTCAGACCACCAGGCATTAGATTCTCATAAGGAGCAGTCAACCTACATCCCTCGCATGCGCAGTTCACAATAGGGTTTGTGCGTCTATGAGAATCTAACGCCGCCACTGATCTGAGAGGAGGCGGTAATGCTCGCTCGCCCGCTGCTCACCTCCTGCTGTGCGACCCAGCTCCTAACAGGCCATGGACTGGTATTGGTCTACGGCCCAGGGGTTGGTGACCCTTGTGTTATACAATATCATAGACTGGTGGCTTATGAACAACAGAACTTTATTGCTCAGGCTGGGTGCGGCGGCTCATGCCTGTAATCCCAGCACTTTGAGAGGCCAAGGTGGGCAAATCGCTTGAGCTCGGGAGTTTGAGACCAGGTTGGGCAACGTGGTGAAACCTTGTCTCTACAAAAAATGCAAAAAATATTAGCTGGGCACGGTGGTGCACACCTGTAGTCCCAGCTACTTGGGAGACTGAGGTAGGAGGATTGTTTGGGCTTGGGAGGTCAAGGCTGTAGTGAGCTGTGGTCATGCCACTGCATTCCAGCCTGGGCAATAGAGTGAGACCTTGTCTCAAAATTTTTTTTTTTTTGTCACCCAGGCTGTAGGACAGTGGCATGATCTTGGTTCACTGCAACCCCAGCCTCCCCAGGTCAAGCGATTCTCCTGCCTCAGCCTCCTGAGTAGCTGGGATTACAAGCATGTGCCACCATGCCTGCCTCATTTTTTTGTAGTTTTAGTAGAGATGGGGTTTCACCATGTTGGCCAGGCTCGTCTCAAACTCCTGACCTCAGGTGATCCACCCTCCTTGGCCTCCCACAGTGCTGGGATTACAGGTGTGAGCCACCGTGCCCAGCCAACCAGCTAGTTCTTAAAAAGTCATTTACTCAGGGGAGCCTGCCCTGATTCTCTCTCCACAAGAACAGGTCACGCTTTTCTGCCTCACAGTTTCCTGGCCTCTCATGCACTGAAAGGCCCTGTAACCCCACAGCTGTTAAATGTCAGTCTCACCCCTGAACCTGGACATACCAGAGGAGCAGCGACTATGCTTGTTTTTGCTCCTGGCACAGTGCCCAGTGCTTCATGGGTCCTCAACAAATATTTGTTGAAAGCATGAATGAATATTCCGAACCTTAGAGATCTCACAGTCCAAAATCAAAATGCAATACTCCAGCAGCAGCTAGCATGACTGAAATGAAAAAGACTGATGCCCTCCAGCACTGGGAGAATTCAGAGGGCCTGGAACTCACACACAGCTGGAGGGAATGTGAAATCACATAACTACACTGGAAAACAGTTTGGCAGCTTCTTAAGTTAATCATACACTTCCAGTATGACCCAGTGATCCCACTCCAGGTATTCACCCAAGAGAAATGACAGCGTCTGTCTACACAGAGACTTGTACACAAATGTTCATTGCTGCTTTCTTGTCATAGCCAAAAACTGGAAATAAACCAACAGCCCATGAGCAGGCGAGTGGGTCAGCACACGGTGGTATATCCTTACAATGAACTATTGATGTGCATGACAACATAAATAATATGGTCTGGCTGTGTCCTCACCCAAATCTTATCTTGAATTGTAGCTCCCATAATTTACACAGGTTGTGGGAGGGACCCGGTGGGAGAGAATTGAATTGTGGGGCAGTTTTCCCCATGCTATTCTTTTGGTAGTGAATAAGTCTCATGAGATCTGATGGTTTATAAGGGGTTTCCCTTTTTGCTTGGTTCTCTTTCTCTCTTGTCTGCCACCATGTAAGATGTGCCTTTCACCTTCTGCCATGATTGTGAGGCCTCCCCAGCCTCATGGAACTGTGAGTCCATTAAACCTCTTTTTCTTTATAAATTACCCAGTCTCAGGTATGTCTTTATCAGCAGCGTGAAAATGGACTAATACAATAAATGACTCTGAAAATACCTACGCTGAGTGAGAGAAGAGCTGGGCAAGAAAAGAGGACATTTTGGGAATGAACTGGGGGCGGGGACAGAGGATTCAGAGTGGAAGTCCTAGTTATTACAAAGCCCCACGAGGTCGTGGGGTCTGGCCCTGAGACTGTTCTGGTTTCCTTTCCTATCTCTTCTCCCAACCTCTGTCCACTCCAGCCCGCTCGGCCTCTGCTCTGCTTCCTGAGTACACCAGGCATGCTTCTACCTCAGGGCCTTCACACTGGCTGTTCCCTCTGCCTGGGACCCTCTTCCACCAGACCCAAACGTGGCACAGATCTCCACTGCCTTCAAGTCTGCCAAACATCACCTCTTCCGAGAGGCCTATCCAAATCTCTTCTCTAGCTAAAAGCACTCCCAACCTGCCTTTAGTTTCTGTGTTCTTTCTTGGCATTTACTATCAGGTGGATGTATGCATGCACACCTACCCCCAATATGGACGTGTCTCAAAATAATTTGCTAAATGAAAGAAGCCAGTCAAGGAAAGAGGACCTACTGTGAGATTCTGCTGACATGAAATGATGCCATTTACACATAGTTTCATTGTCTCCTCCATTTATTTCATTAATTAATTTATTTTTTGGAGATGGAGTTTTGCTCTGTTGCCCAGGCTGGAGTGCAGTGGCACAATCTCGGCTCACTGCAACCTCCACCTCCCAGGTTCAAGCGAGTCTCCTGCCTCAGCCTCCAGAGTAATTGGGATTACAGGCGCCCGCCACCACACCCGGCTAATTTTTGTATTTTTAGTAGAGACGGGGTTTCACCATGTTGGCCAGGCTGGTCTTGAATTCCTGGCCTCATGTGATCCGCCAGACTCTGCCTCCCAAAGTGCTGGGATTACAGGCATGAGCCACCGCGCCCGGCCTGTCTCCTCCATTTAAAACGGCATTGGCCAAAATAATAGCCACTGGTCACGTGTGGCTATCAGGCACTTGAAATGTGGCTATCAGGACGGAGGAACTGAATTTTATGTCTTCATATCTTTGTTTTAATTAGTTTAAATTAAAAATTAAAAACCGAAGCAGTTTTGCCAGTGTGGATGTGAATATTAAAGGAAGATGATTTTTTGATACTCAGTTCTTGGAGACTTTTAAGTCTCTATGGAACAACTTCAGTAGATTAATGTACCTTTTCAACTGTCAGTTTTATGGAATCAAAATGCAGATCAAATATTTCCGATGAGAATTTAGTGTCCACATTGAGATGGGCTCTAAGTGTGGAATACACAGTGGGTTTCAGAATGTTAGGATGAAACAAATGCATGTAAATAGCTCACAGATTAATTTTTTATGTGGTGTGCATGCTGAAATGATAATATTTTGGATCAATTAGATTAAATTAAAATTAATCTCTTTTTTCATTTTTTATTTTTATTTATTTATTATTTTCAAGACAGAGTCTTGCTCTGTTGCCCAGGCTGGAGGGTGGCAGCATGATCAAGGCTCACTGTAGCCTCAACCTCCCAGGCTCAAAGGATCCTCCTGTCTCAGCCTCCCAAGTAGCTGGGACTACAGGTGCAGGTGTCACCATGCCCTGATAACTTTTAAAATTTTTTTGTAGAAATGGGGTCTCATTGTGTTTCCCAGGCTGGTCTTGAACTCCTGGGCTCAAGTAACCCTCCCGCGTCGGCCTCCCAAAGTGTCGGGATTACAGGCGTGAGCCAAGGAGCCCAGTCACATTTTTTTCCCTTTTTTTTTTTTCTTTTTTAACGTGGCTACTAGGAAATGTTAAATTCTACCTGTGGGTGGCATTATGTTTCTACTAGACAGGCTGCCCTGGAGCATCAACTCAATGAGGACAGGGAGTGATCGGCTCAGCTTCCTTCTTTTTATTTATTTATTTGAGACAGTCTCATTCTGTCACCCAGGCTGGAGTACAGTGGCACGATCTAGGCTCACTGCAACCAACCTCCGCCTCCCAGGCTCAAGCGATTCTCCTGCCTCAGCCCCCTGAGTAGCTGGGGTTACAGGCGCCCGCCACCATGCCCGGCTAATTTTTGTATTTTTAGTAGAGACAGGGTTTCACCATGTTGGCCAGGCAGGTCTCGAACTCCTGACCTCATGATCTGCCCACCTCGGCCTCCCAAAGTTCTGGGATGACAGGTGTGAGCCACTGCGCCTGGCCTCAGCTCCCTTTTTTAGTGTCAGCATCTAGAACCCGGCCTACTGTGTGCCCTGGGAGTCTTGGTTCTTCCCAGTGGAAAGGACTGTCTTTAATTTGCTGACCGTGGGCATCTGGCCTTGTAACCAGGCCACTCCCAGCCTACGGGCAGAACGGAGCTGCTGGGAGGACACAGGCAGGGTGACTCAGTTCCCGTGCTGGAAAGAGGAACTTGGGTGTCTGCTCCGGACCTTGTCATCTCTGCCCCGGAGTGGCTCCTACCAGGTGGCGCTGGCCAAGCGCCTTTCTTTCCCCTGCCCGCCCCAGGGCCGGTTGCTGAACCTCCTCCCTGTTGGCTGCGGAAATGGTTTGCATCATTTTTGTGCCTGAGGCCTGGGGGCGTGTGAAGTTCAGATCCACTGGAAGGCAATCAGCCTTTGTCCTTGTTCATGAAACACGAATCAATACCGCATTGATCGAAAGTAGACTGGGCTTCCTCTCCAAATGCCTCCGAGCAGGAATTGCTATACCCGAGGTGGAGCAGGGAGAGAGAAAAGCTGGGACACTGGCTGGATGAGGATTTGTGCTTATTGGCTTTTTTTGTTTTTAACAGGCTAAAACTTGTGGTTTACTGCAATATATACATCACAGAAAATTTACCATTTTAGCCATTTTTAAATGTACAATTTGGCAGCACGAAGCACACTCACATTGTTGTGCAACCATCACCACCATCCATTTCCAGAACTTTTTCATCCTCTCAACTCACTGGCGTTTAAGACTTGGGGGAAGCCGGGGTGGGGTGGGGGTGGGTTCTGGTGGGGGAGGGGCTGACACTAGGGGATCATGGGAGAATCCGGGCGACCCAGCATGCACTGGGTTTCTTCCGGGGCATCTATCTGGGTGCAAGACTTCAGGAAAAGCAGGAACAGTCACATGTGGATAACTCCAGCTTGGCTTCATACAGGGGCCATTTTCAAAAGTGTGGGCAGGAATAGAGGAACCCTGGGCTGGAAATGGAGGTGATGCCACCACCCCTGGGCTGGAAGGGAGGAGGGAAGGGATAGTTCCAGAAAGCCAGGAGGAGAGGGAATGTAGCAGGAGCTGTATGGAGAGGAGAGGGGCCCTTGAGTGGCCTGAGGGAGCCCTTGACCTCACTCATGTCCTGCCGGGCTACCCCGTGCCAAGTCCAACCAGAGGCAGAGAGCAGTGGGCTGTGGAAGTGGTTAAGGTGGGTCAGCTTCAGGGGCAGAGGGCCAGTGGAGAAAGGAAGAGAGAGATCTCTCGGACAAACAGAAGATGCCAGCACACAGGGTCTGATTCGTTTCTTGGTATAGTGAGCACCTGAGTCTGTCTCCATAGCCTCTGCTCCTCCTCCTTCGGGCAAAATGTCCTGATTTCCATGGGGGATCCAACCTTCCGCTCTTGGTCCAGAGACGGTGCACCCAACTCCAGGCCAGTGATTTGGATCTGAGCCAACTGGCTTACTGCTGTCCCCATATGGTTTAAGATGGCCAATCAAGGTTGATCTTGGAGCATTTGCTGTATGTAGTACCCTGAAGGAACATCTCTTTCCTGCTGGACTCAGGCCTGGGGGATGTGGCATAAAGCTCCTGGTAGCCGTCTTGCCACCATGTGACGTCTATTAATAAAACCAACATGGAGGAGAGGGCAGGCCAGAGAGAGAAGGAGATACCCAAGCCTGATGACATTAGCCAAGCCCCTGGATCCAGCTATGCCTGAAGCTGATGCTATTCCTAGAATTTAAATTGCTTCAGCCAATAAACCTCCCTATTTGCTTAAACCCATTTAATTTGCACTGACTTGCAGGAAAGATTCCTCACATTATCAGTTTTTCCTTTTTTTTTCTTTCATTTTAAGCAAGCTATAGTCTAGTTCTGGCATTCTCAGGGATTTTTTAAAAGTTCAGCAAGAATGCTGAATAAGCAGCAGATGTGGATAGCAGCAAGCCGTCTTCTGCTTCTGATCTTTCGGGTCAGCATTATTTTACTATCGAGCCAAGCAATGGGTCTGGAGAGGGTGGAGGTCCACCAGGGCCTGTCCTGCTGAGCTGAATGCGGCAAAGTGAAGGTGAGTGCTGTTCACCTCCGTCCTGGCATCTGGTGCCCCAGAGGAGGTGGTCTGCTTCTCATTTTTCACAGGGGCCTGAACAACCTGCACCCTTCACTGAGTCTCAGTGTTTGCCTTTGCAAAATAGGCTAACAAGAGGAAGAAAAAAGAAAATGCCCAGCATCCGGGCCCTGGTAATCCCCGGAGAGGTGACGGAGTGCAGGGTTAAGAGAACAGCACGGGCTCTGGACTTGAGTTCCAGCTCCCAGCTAAGCCACTTCCTAGCTGTGCAGCCTTGGACACACTACTTCACCTTTCTGTGCCTCAGTTTCCTAGCCTAGAAAATGAGGATGATAACATTTCTTCACTCATCGGATTATCAGGACTTATCAGTGCCTTTAATATATCAATGAGCATTGTGAATTTCTTCACTTACCGGTTTGTCATGGGGACCAAACGACTACAGACAAACAAAGCCCTCAGAGCAGTGTCAGAAACGTGGTAAGCACTCGGTAAACAGCAGCTGCTGTTTTTACCCAAAGACTGGTAGACAAGGTTACTATTGGCAATGTTTATCGTCTCTCACACTCTCAGCAATTCTCTATAAAATCTCACTGAGGGCCGGGCGCGGTGGCTCACACTTGTAATCCTAGCACTTTGGGAGGCCGAGGCGGGCGGAGGTCGGGAGATCGACACCATCCTGGCTAATACGGTGAAACCCCTGTCTCTACTAAAGATACAAAAAATTAGCCGGTCGAGGTGGCGGGCGCCTGTAGTCTCAGCTGCTTGGGAGGCTGAGGCAGGAGAATGGCGTGAACCCGGGGGGTGGAGCTTGCAGTGAGCCGAGATCACGCCACTGCACTCCAGCCTGGGCGACAGAGCGAGACTCCGTCTCAAAAAAAAAAAAAAAAACTCACTGACGTCCCTCCCAATGTATCTAAGGACCGTTTGCCTCTTGCTGCTCACCCAGCACCAAACAAGTTATCTAACCACCCAGTGCCTCAGTTTCCTCATCTGCAAAATGGGGCGTTAACAGTTCTTACTTCACAGGGTTCTCATTAGGAGGAGTTGAGAAGCCACCAAGCTGCGCTTACATAGCTCGCAACCCATGTTCGTGCAAGGGCTGAGTGCTAGTATTAATAACAGCATTACATTAATAACATTATAATATAGCATATAATATATATAACATAATATTAATAACAACATTATATTAATAATGTGCTATTATTAATAAGAGCATTACTACTCCCAGCGATTGCAGGGAAAAAGCTTGGCGGTGCGTCTAATTCCAGCAGGCACTGGAGCCTGGGGGTCAGTTCCTTCACTCCGTGCTAGAATTTTAGAGAAAACAATAAATTAAAATATACATGCATTGGTAATTCTTAAAAGAGAAAGGAGAAGGTTGGAATTTCACCCAGGAGGCATTTTTAGCAGAAAAGCATCAACTTGAACTTCATGTCTGCCCCTGCCCTGGTTCCTGCAACTTCTTGTCATTAACCAGCCCCTTAAGATCCACCAAAGACTCATTCAATTCCTCGCTTGGTTTTCAGGAGTCAGGTGGGACAGCGAATGGTCCAGGCTTTGGTGTCCTCCAGCCTGGGTCTGAATCTTAGGCTGATTCTGTCAGCAAGGTGACCTTGGGTGAGGCAGTAGAACTCTTGTGCTTCAATGTCCTCATCTGGAAAATGGGGATAACTCTACTTACCCTCCAGTGTCATGGAGTGGGTCAGAACAGTGTTCCTTGGCCAGGTGTGGTAGCTCATGCCTATAGTCCCAGCATTTTGGGAAGGCCGAGGCAGGTGGATCACTTGAGGCCAAGAGTTTGAGACCAGCCTGGCCAACATGATGAAACCCCGTTTCTACTAAAAATACAAAAATTAGCCAGGCATGGTGACATGTGCCTGTAGTCCCAGCTACTCAGAAGGCTGAGGCGTGAGACTGGCTTGAACCTGGGAGGCGGAGGTTGCAGTGAGCCAAGATCACGCCACTGCACTCCAGCCTGGGTGACAGAGTGAGAGTCCATCTCAAAAAAAAAAAAAAAAAAAAGAACAGTGTTCCTCAAAAAGGATTGAAGTGGTATCCCTTGCCCCCCCCCCCCCGCAGGTCTTATCAGTGCCTTTAATACATCAATGTGCATTGTGCATTTACAAGCAGAGGTGTGAACATGCAGTTTTTCATGGAATCTTTTTCATAGAGCATCTGTATGCATCAGTGAGTATGCTGCTGGGCATCCTGGATTAGGGAAGATGACTGCAGGTTCTCAGAGCCTGGAGTCAAATACACTTGACGACATCACCTCTGTAACCCTCATCCTTGCTATTTGCAGTTAGGAGGGAATGGTTATCCTGTGTGGCTGGAAAGAAGATAAAAACTCAACACTTTAAAGACCCAGTCGTACTGGGGACATTGTCAGAACCCAACAAGAAATGGATTGATTCGTAAAGTGTATAAAAGTATTTTGACAAAAACAAAGTTATACCACATGAGGGAAGAGTGAAGAACCCAGAAGAGTGAGTTATTGGGTGAAACAGAAGAGGAATCTACAGAGTAATATTGGTCCTTCCAGTTCTCCCAGAAGACCATCATGTGACTATGGAAACAGAAGGTTCTGTGCCAGGGATCAGCAGAAAGCTATGGGCAAGGTTGGGCAAGTGCACAGATATGACTCAAGGCATTCATTACCCATTGCTATGTAACAAAACGTCACAAAGTTAGCAGCTTAAAATGATACCCAGTTTTATTTATTTATTTATTTATTTATTTATTGAGATGGAGTCTTGCTCTGTCACCAGGCTGGAGTGCAGTGGCGTGATCTTGGCTCACTGCAACCACCAACTCCCTGGTTCAAGCGATTCTCCTGCCTCAGTCTCCCGAGTAGCTGGGATACCCATTTATTATGTAGCAGTTTCTGTGGGTCAGGAGCCTCACATGGCTTAGCTGGTTCCTCTGCAAGGCTGCCATTAAAGTGTTAGCTGGACTGGGTCTCATCTGAAGGCTTGACCAGGGAGGATCTGCTTCAAGCTCACATGGTTGCTAGCAGAATTCAGGTTCTTGTTGCTGTCAATTAGGGGAACCAGTTCTTATGGGCCGAACTGTGCCCCCTCCAAAATTCCTTTGTTGAAGTCCTATGCCCCAGTACCTCAGAATGTGACTGTATTTAGGAATAGGTCTTTGAAGAAGTAATTAAGTTAAAACAAAGTTATTAGGGTGGGCCCAAATCTGCTATGACTATTCTATCAAATAAGATTAGGACATACACAGGAAAGACCACGTAAAGACACAGAGAGAAGATGGCCATCGGCAAGCCGAGGAGAGAGACTTCAGAAGAAAAGAACACTGCCCACGCCTTGATCCAGGGCTTCCAGCCTCTAGAACTGTGAGCAAATAAACGTCTGTTCGGTAAGCCGCCTAGTCTGTGGCACTTGTCACGGCAGTCCTAGCCATCGAATACACCGACCATTCCAGTTTGCTCAGGACTGAGGGGCTCCAGGGATGCCAACCTTTCAACCCTAAAACTAGGATAGTCCTGGATAGACCAGGAGGGAATTTCCAGGGATGTGGGACTCTCCAGTGCTAAAGCTGAAAAAGCCCAGGCAGGCTGGAATGAGTTGGTTACCCTCGCTGTGGGGCTGTAGGGCTCAGATTCTTGCTGGCTTTGGGCCAGAGGCTGCCCCCTCTATTCTTAGCTGGTCATTGGCTGGCGGCCACCCCCAGTTCTCTGTTATGTGGTTCTTCCCACATACCCACTCACTTCATCAGAGCCAGCAAGGGAGAGAGCCTCCTAGCAAGACAGACACTATGATTGTAGGTCCTGCAAGTGACATTCCATCACCTTTGCAAGAAGAAAGCCTCATGTGGGTCTAGTCCACAATCAAGGGGAGGAGATTAATAAGGGCATGAACACCAGGAGGCAGAGGCCACTGGGGCCTCCCTGGAGTCTATCTGCTACTCCATGTCCAGGTTTGCTGATTTTGTCTTTATGATTGTTTAAACAATAATAAAAGCTAACAGTCTGTGGTGGCTGCCATGTGCCAGACAGTACTCCAAGGATTTTAGATGTATTAACTCATTTAATCTGGCCTCAGTCAGGAGAGATTAGGTCTTGCTGCATTAACAAATGACCCCCCAAATTCCAGCTTAACAAACAATAATCACAGTTTATGTGTTGTCCCTCATGGGTGGCACAGATCGCTCTACTCTTGGCAAACTGCAATAGTTGTAGGAAGGGAAGTGAATGAAGTGAATCATGGTGAATTGCGCACTGGCTCTTAAAACATATCTGTTCCATCCGGGTTTCACGCACTGCACCAAGACACGTGACTGCACCTCAATTCAAGGGCTGGAGAACATGCGATTCTTTGTGTGCTGGGAAAGAGAAGAGGAAAGTGAGCAAATGTTTGGGGGAAATTGGAGCAAATCGCTATCCTCACCAGCTGTGTTAGGAACAAGTATTATCCACATTTTTCAGATGAGAAAATCGAGGCCCAGAGAGGTTAGGTAACTTGCTCAAGGACACACAGCTTTTAAGCTGCTAAGCAAGGACATCTGATGTCCTCAAGAAAACCTTCCCATTTCTCATTCATGCTAGGACTGTTTGATGATCTGTTCTGGGACACACACACCACCCTGACTGCAGAGCAGGGTGATGGCTTTGAGTATGTGGCGCTGTAAGGGCCCCCAGCACCCTCCCCTTGTTCCTTCCACAGCTCAGCTGAGATCACTGTGTGATTTCCTGTTAACCTTGTAATAATTTATGGCAAATCTAATGTGCCTGCCGCTGGGTGAGCTCATCCAAATCCCCTTCTATTGTCTGAGCCTCATACCGGGAGATGTCCTCAGAGGCCCCTGGGATCATCGCCGAGTGATTTATGGCGCCAGCTTCCCCGAGGATTGAAGCCAACCCAGTTGGAGGCTCGCCATGCTCAGGAGAGATGGCAGCGAAAGATCTGGTTGGCTGGTTTTATCCCTGGAGGAGAACAAACCTGAGGAGTGAGGATTTTCAGAAGCTCAAGCCAGACAGTGTGTTATATTTTCTGCTGCTGTGTCCTTAGAGAAAAACCTGCTTGGGTTGCAGATGGCTCACGGGCATCTCGAACTTACCATCATGTTTAACATCGACCTCAGGCCTGCTCCTCCACTGCCTGCTTCTCTGGGAATGGTAACCTCATCTCCCTGTTGCTGGACTAAACACCTCAGAGTCATCCGACTGCTTTTTTTCTCTCCTGCCCGTGTCTGACTCATCAGCAAATCCTGCTGTTTTTCTCTTCCAAATACATCCAGAATCTGCGGACTTCTCACCACCTCCACCTCTCCCCACCCCAACCAGGTTCCAGCTGCCATCATTGCTCGCCTGGACAGGTGCAGTAGTCCAGGTCCCTGGTCTCCCAGCTGCCACCCTAACCCCACTGAGGCTATTCCTCACACGGCAGCCAGAGGGAACCTGTTAAATCCCAAGTCAGAGGAGGCTGCTTCTCTGCTCAAACGCCTGCCGTGGCTCCCACTTCCCCCAGAGTAAACACCAAGTCCTTCTGTGGCCTCAAAGCCGCACACACTCTGGCCCTCCTGGAGCATCTGTCCTCTGTGTCCTCATCTCCCACCACTGACCTCTTTGCGCACTTAGCATCAGCCATGCTGGCTTCCTTGCAGTTCCTCAAAGTTGCTACAGGCGTGGTCCGGCCTCCAGACCTCTGTGTTGCCTGTTCCTTCTCCCCTAGATGCCCCATTGCTCGTAACCTTCCCTGTTTCAGGTGCAATGACTCCTTTCTCAGCGAGGCCTTCCCTGCCACTCCACTTAATATTGCACCCCCTTGCATCCCGTCCCCACTGCCCCCGCGTCATTTTCTGACCTTAGCACTTACCAGTGTCTAGCATAGTGCGTGTGTATCAATATTTATTGCATGTTTTCTTCTGCTACTTAAATACCAGCATCATGGGGGCAAGGTTGCTGTCTGTCTTGCTCCCTGCTGTATCCACAGTGCCTAGAACACTGCCTGGCACACAGTAGGCGCTCACTAAACATCTGCTGGATGTGTGCATTCAGCAATGAGTTCAGCACCTACAGTGTGCCCGGGACTCACACAAAACCAAGGCTGGAATCCGAGAAGCAGAGGCAGGCAGCTCAGAGTGCGGGCTCTGAGTGAGACAAACTCGGGTTCACATCCTGACTCTACAACCAATGGCAGACTGTGTGTGACACTGGGCAAGTCGCCTGGCCTCTCTGAGCCTCAAGTTGCCCCATCTGTAGAACAGGATGGTCGTGCTATTTTCCTTGTGGGATCGCTAAGGGGCTTCACAGAGGGGTCTTTGTGCAGCTCTCGAGGCAGCATCTCACATGGGAGGAGGGGCGGATCAAGCATCTGCCATGCTTACAGCTTTTAGTTTATGTTGTTGGAGGAAGACAGAGAAGGGCGTGAATGCACCTGCTCCACCTTCCAGAAGCAGAAGCCCTGCCATCGCTACGCCGTAAAAGCAGATCCTCCAGGAGATGCTCTACGTTGCAGTCAACTTGTCAACAAAATGTCAGGTTCTGTCGCTGTCTAAGTTGACACCTGTGAATTTGCTTTTTAATTTCAGGAGCTTTTGGGGTACATGTGGATTTTGATTACATGGATGAATTGTACAGTGGTGAAGTCTGAGCTTTTAGTGCTCCCGTCTCCCTAGTTGTGTACACTGTACTCCGTGTGTAGATTTTAATCCTCATCCTCCTCCCACCCCCACCCCACGTGACTCCACAGTCCCTCATGTCACATCATATCACACTGTCTCATAGAGGCAATTTATTCCAAGTAATCCATCCCTCCTTAAGACACATTTCAAACTTCATGACCCCTAACAAAAACTTTTAAAGACTCGGGCAAAGAGACTGGTCTGAAAATTTCCTTGCATTCGCTTTCTTGTTCCTGTGCAGAATTATTCCTATTCCCCAACCTCTCCTTCCTTTCAGTGGAAATATAGGCTCCTCTCTAGTCTTTTTTTTTTTTTAACTTTTATTTTAAGTTCAGGGGCGCATGCGCAGGTTTGTTACGTAGGTAGACTTGTGTCATGGGGGTTTGTTGTACAGGTTGCAGGCTGGTGCAAAAGTAATTGCGGTTTTGGACCATGAATTTTAAATCATTATAACTAGGCTCAGATACATCTTTATTAATCAAAATAAGAACGATTACAATCAAGTCATTTTTGCCAAGAAGAAATGTTCATTTATTCCTATAGTGTAAAAATCTGTGCTTTGGGATTCGATGAACTCTTGGAAAGCGCTTTCTGCATCCTGCTGGTTGTGGAAGCGTTCTCCCTGCAAAAAGTTGTCGAGATGCTTGAAGAAGTGGTAGTCGGTTGGGGAGAGGTCAAGTGAATATGGCAGATGAGGCAAAACTTCGTAGCCCAATTAGTTCAACTTTTGAAGCGCTGGTTGTGTGACGTGCAGTCAGGCGTTGTCGTGGAGAAGAATTGGGCCCTTTCTGTTGGCCAATGCCAGCTGCAGGCGCTGCAGTTTTCAATGTGTCTCATCGATCTGCTGAGCATACTTCTCAGATGTAATTGTAATTACACCACTGTACTGTATGTTCGTTAGCAGTTCCAGGGCTAAACGTGTTGTTGATGTTGCGTGTTGTCTCTGCTGCTTTATGACCCATTTTGAACTCGAGTAAGAAAATCACTCAAATTTGCTTTTTGTCTAACATCATTTCCATAGTCTAAAAGAAATATAAACAGCAAGTAATAATAAGTCATTACCCAAAAAAAAGCTAGAAACGTGCATTAAAATGATATATAAAAACCACATTTATTTAAGAATGTATTCCAATACAAAATGGCAAATTTCAACAGTGCAAAAACCACAATTATTTTTGCACCAACCTAGATACTAAGGTACTTAGTACCATAGTACTTAATACCTGGGCACTAAGCCTAGTACCCATTAGTTATTTTTCCTGCTCCTCTCCCTCCTCCTGTCCTCCATCTTCAGGTAGGGCCCGGTGTCTGTTGTTCCCCTCTGTGTGTCCATGTGTTCTCATCATTTAGCTCCCACTTATAAGTGAGAACATGCAGTATTTGGTTTTCTATTCCTGCATTAGTTTGCAAGGGATAATGGCCTCCAGCTCCATCCATGTTCCTGCAGAGGACATGGTTTCATTCTTTTTTTGGTTGCCTAGTGTTCCATGACACCTATCAATTTTGATTTTGCCATTGGCTTTTCTATTTCAGAGGCGTGTCTTCTCTGTTTAAGGCCTTGGTCATGGTTGCAGGCCCTTAAAGCTGGAAAGCTCCAATCGCCGTGCACATGGGGCCAGTGGCGGTGAAGACTGGGATTGGTGCTCAGGGTCCATTGCTTATGTCACAACTGCCCCCTAAGCCCCCTACCTTCTTCACCTCTGCAAGCAAACCTCTCACCACATGGCCTTCGCACCTGCTGAGCCCTCGGCCTAGGATGCTTTTTCCTTCTCTCCACGAGAGTGTTACCACTTGTCCCTCAAATGCCAGCTCCATCGTCATCCTCATGTCCTTGGGGAAGCTCCCTCACCCCCAAGACTGGGTGCGGCCCTCTGTTACAGGCACCCACAGCACAAGCAACTCCTGTTCAGGCCACTGGGCACAGCTGACAGTCATGTGCATGACACCACGTCTCGAGTCCCTCCCCCGACACACCCTGTGGGAGCCAGGAGGGCCGGGACTCATCTGGTTTTGTAACTTACCAGGTGCCAGTTCTGCAGTGCTGGGAGGTGCTCAGTGCACATTAGCAGAATGCGTGAACGAGTGCCCACACCTGGCGTCTAATAAACAATGGCCTCTTCGGGCAAGTGGCACCCATTGGAATGCAGTACGTGAGGGCTCCGTATTGCAGAATTGACCTCATCCTTCCTCCTGCCCTGTGTTTGCACCCTCTCAGTTCCTCCCATTGTGGAGGTGAAGTTTGTTTTTCTACTCCTTGACTTTGGCTTTAACCAAAAGCACGAAGCTGACACGAGTGTGTGCCAGGTCTGAGCATGCGTGTCTAGGGACCTCCATTGACTATGTTTGCTTTTTTGCTCCTCCTCCTTTGCCATAAGGAGAATGTGCTGAGTGGCCACTGGTCCCACAGAGTGGATGAGAGATATGTGGGGCTGAGCCACACCTAGATCAGCCGACCTGCAGCAGCTGGGTGAATCCAGGTGAGGTCAGCAGAGCCCGGCGGGCGAGCCAGCCTAGATCAGCCAGCGCCAGCCGCCCTGCTAACACACCAGCCAGGTACATAGTGATTGTTGTACACGTTGAGGTTCTGTGGTTGGTTGTCAAGCAGCACATAGTAGGTGCTCAATAGATAACTATGGAATGTTTGAGCATACAGCTAGAGCTCCATAAAAGACATCCAGTAAAGCCCCCAGCACTGTGCTGGGCACACGGGAAGTGCTCAAGACACAGTGCTCCCTTCTCCCTGCTTCCTCCTGTCAACAGCAGCAGCAGTAGGTTAGAGAGGCCGATATTTGAGACATTGTGGCAACCTTTACAGTCCACACTCTACTATTCTACGGGACACCCCGAAGCCTCCAGCCACCCCTCGGCAGCCCTTGGTAGAACAGGGTCTATGTCTCTTTCTTGGCCTCTTCTGACCAAGAGTCTTGTTCCTAGTGGTGAAGAAGCTGGGGTCTTTCTGGAGCCACTGCAGACCCCCTAGTCAAGGGTGGCTGCTTTGTCTCTGCAAGAAAGCAGATTGTTCTCTTTGCCGACTCCTGCTGGGATCTTCTCTCTTCCTCTCCTCCCACCTCTTCACAGGCGGAAGCCATAATTATTTCAATGCAACATCCCTGTCATCAGCCAGCACTTTGAGCAGGGGACACAGTCAGCACTGTTTGGGATCCCACACTGTGTGTACACAGTGATTATTCCGGCATCGAGGGCAGATAATGAAACCTGGAGTTGTGTGTCTTGAGACACCTCTGCTCACTACTCACTCTCTAGACACCAAGAAAATTCGACTTCCCGCCACGCCCAGCCGGGCCCTGCAATGGGCTCCCAGCTCCTGTGGGTGCAACATGAGCCTGGTAGCTCCCAGGCAAACGCTGAGCAGCAGGCGAGATCATGGTGGCCGCGGTGGCCACAGTCTGTGAGGTCAGAGCTCCCGTTAGGCGTGGGCTATCTATGGGTTTAATAAGCCAAGGCCTTCAGGGCAGGGCCCACAGAGCAGGAATGTCCTGAGGCTCAATATTCCAGCCATTTGTTCCTGTCTGTTGTCTCTCAAACCAGATCCTCTGCCACTTCTGAAGGTCCCTGCAAAAGAGGCTTCTGCCTCTAACCCTAAGCAGCCAGCCCAAGCCTGCCATGTGGAGAGAAGGGGACAGGGAGGCAGGAGTTGCAATCTGTGCCCCGTGTGCCCCCTGTGCCATCACCCTGTACAATTGTGGCCCAGGCAAAGCTCCTCTCTGTACCTCGGTCCCCTTGTCTCAGGAACAGGATCTCTTTCTTTCTTTCTTTCTTTTTCTTTCTTTCCCTTTCCTTTCCTTTCCTTTCCTTTCCTTTCCTTTCCTTTCCTTTCCTTTCCTTTCCTTTCCTTCCTTTCTTTCTTTCTCTCTTTCTCTCTCTCTTTCTTTCCTTCTTTCTTCCGTCTTTCTTTCTTTGTCTCGGGAACAGGATTTCTTTCTTTCTTTTTTTATTTTATTTATTTATTTTTTTGAGATGGAGTCTCGCTCTTGTTGCCCAGGCTGGAGTGCAGTAGCATGATCTTGGCTCACTGCAAACTCCGCCTCCCGGGTTCAAGTGATTCTCGTGCCTCAGCCTCCTGGGTAGCTGGGATTACAGAAACGCGCCACTACACCCAGCTAATTTTTGTATTTTTAATAGAGACAGGATTTCACCACATCTGCCAGGCTGGTCTCAAACTCCTGATCTCAAGTGATCCACCTGCCTTGGCCTCTCAAAGTGCCGGGATTACAGGTGTGAGCCACCGCGCCCGGCTGAGAACAGGGTTTCGTCTATTTCTCATTAAGTTGCTGATGGCTCCCTTTCAGGATTCACCGCCACAACCAGGCCTCCCTGGCACCTTGTTTTAAATCACAGCCCTCCTGACCTAGATCCAGGGCCCCAGAAGCAGAGCCAGAGAGAGAGGTTTTTACAGGAGAGGGAGGGAGGGCGGCCTCAGCCTGGACCCACGGGGGGCTCTGATATGTGAACTCCACCAGGGTTTGTCCCATCTGTAGCCAGGTGGGTCAGGATGTGTGTGTGTGTGTGTGTGTGTGTGTTTTGTTTTTTGTTTTTTGCATTATTTTTGAGACAGGGTTTCACTCTCTTGCCCAGGCTGGAGTGCAATGGTACCATCACAGCTCACTGCAGCCTCCACCTCCAAGGATCAAGCGATTCTCCTGCCTCAGCCTCCTGAGTAGTTGGGACTACAGGAGTGTACCACTGTGCCTGGCTAATTTTTTTATTTTTTGTAGAGACTAGGTCTCACTATGTTGCCCAGGCTGGTCTTTAACTCCTGGCCTCAAGCAATCTTCCTGCTTTGGCCTCCCAAACTGCCAGGATTACAGGCGTGAGCCACTGCATCCAGCCTTGCTTTATTTTCAATTGTGGTAAAATACACATAACATAAAATGTACCACTTTAGCCATTTTTAAAGGTACAATTCAGTGGTATTAAGGACATTCACAGTGTTGCTTGACCATCACCACTCTCCTGTTCTGAAAGGTTTTCATCACTCCAAGCAGACTCTGTCCCCATTAAGCAATAACTGTCATTCCCGTCCCCCAGCCCCTGGTAAGCGCTAACGTACTGTCTGTCTCTGTGAATCCGCCTGCTCTAGGCACTTTATTTAACCGGAATCATGCATCTGGCTACTTTCACTTAGCATCGTGTCTTCAAAGTTCATTTACGTTAGAGCCTGAGTCAGAATTTCCTTCCTTCCCGCCGCACTTTCATTTTGAATAGACTTTACTTTTCAGAGCAAGTTGAGTTCACAGGAGTGGCATTCCTCTTCACGGCTCAACAATATCCCCTGCATGGAGGCGCCCCTCGTGTTATTTGTCATCTCCTGATGGGCACTTGGGCTGTTCCTACCTTTTGGCCATTGTGACTGGTGCTGCTGTGAATGCCTGTGCACCAGAATCTTTCCTAGTCCTTCCTCTCAGGGGGCCAGGCTTCTGCCCTCCCCTCCGTCCTGCTCCCCGTGTCAGTCTGTTTTGGTCACTGGCTGTGGCCTGGGAGACACTCCCACTTGGATGAAGGCAGTCACCCCCGGCGGTGCTCAGGGTGGAAGGGGGCCAGCAGGGGAATCCGGGTGGTGCCAGGAGTGCCCTGCATCTCCCCGTTCCTCCTGCCTTCCCTGCTTTGCTACCCCCAGTACTTCTCACCTTCTGACACCCCCGGCATGTGCTGACTTCTTGGGCTTCTTGTCTACTTCCCCCTAGAAAGCACCCAAGGCCTGGGGCTGTGCCTGTTTTGTCACGGCTGGACCCACCCTTCCTGATACACAGTCAGGCTCAACAAATATGCATGGGATGAATGACTAGCACGCGCGCACACACGATCTCTTGGAATTCTCGCCGAAACTGTGATGTCACTGCTGCCGTCATCCCCATTCTACAGAGAAGGAAATGGAGGCTCAGGAACGTTGAGTGAATTCCCCAAGGTCACAGAGCTTGCGAGCGGCAGAGCAGAGACAGGGGTGCAGAGCTGCCCCACGCCTAGCACTTCCCAGCCGGAAGGCTTGGCCTGTCTACATGATGAGCTGGACACCTGTCAAACACATGTCACTCACACTAATTCGACTCTGCGTCTTTGGAGAGAGAGAAACTTCGATACCCAGCCAATGGCCAGGCCATTGCGCTCAACTAGTGAGGGTGAGGACCTAAGTGTGCAGTTTCCACAATTGCGTCCCTTCTCTCGTGCCCCTCTTTTTTATAATAAAAAATAATTTTAAATCCCAGCACTTTGGGAGGTTGAGGCAGGCAGATCACTTGAGGTTAGGAGTTTGAGTTCATCCTGGCCAACATGGTGAAACCCCATCTCTACTAAAAATACAAAAATTAGCTGGGCATTGGTGGCGGACGCCTGTAATCTCGCTACTCAGGAGGCTGAGACAGAAGAATCACTTGAACCCGGGAGGCAGACATGGCAGTGAGCTGAGATCGCAACACTGCACTCCAGCCTGGGTGACAGAGTGAGATTCTGTTTCAAAAAAAAATTTTTTTTTTAATTTAATTTTTTAGATACAGGGTCTCACTGTCACCCTGCCTGGAGTGCAGTGGCATGATCGTAGCTCACAGCAGCCTCGAACTCCTGGGTTCAAGCTATCCTCAGCCTCTCAAGTAGCTGGGACCACAGGTTTGTGCCGCTATGCCCAGCTAATTAATTAATTTTTTTTTGTAGGGACAGGGGTCTCACTATGTTGCCCAGGCTGGTCTTGAACTCCTGGCCTCAAGTGATCTTCCCACCTGTCAGCCTCCCAAAGTGCTGGGACTACAGGCTTGAGCTACCGCACCCAGCTAATTCACGCCCCTCTTAATGCGAGCATCTCAACACGCTGACGGAGACCCTAGCTGCCAAAGTTACACATTGAGAAAAAATCTACGTGCTGGGCGAGGTGGCTCACGCCTGTAAGCCTAGCACTTTGGGAGGCCGAGGAAGGTGGATCACCTGAGGCCAGGAGTACTAGACCAGCCTGGCCAACATGGCAAAACCCCATCTCTATTAGAAATACAAAATTTAGCCAGGCATGGTGACGGGCGCCTGTAATCCCAGCTAGTTGGGAGGCTGAGGCAGGAAAATCGCTTGAAGCCTGGAGACGGAGTTTGCAGTAAGTCGAGATCGCGCCACTGCACTCCAGCCTGGGCAACAGAGCGAAACTCTGTCTTTAAAAAAAAAAAAAAAAAAAACACGACAGAGGAACAATGCGTGGAATGTATGGATGCATGGTAAGCTGCAGAAATCTTCCGTGAGTGATGGATTGTGACAGACGTCTGCACATTTCCACCTTGGCGTTAGTACTCAGACCAGGACGTGGAAGGTTCCTATCATCCAAGAGTTCCCTTGTGCCCCATCCTCCAGGGGTAACCATGATAGAGGCTCTATCCCCACAGACCCTCTCTGCTGTTCCAGAGCCTCACACAGTGCGTGAACTCTCACCCCTCGGTGTCTGGCCTCATCTGCATATCCTCCAGTGAGGGTTGCTCTCGCTGTCCGGAAGCTGCAGCTCGTGCTTGCTAATTTCTGTGCAGTTTTCAATTACATGAATAGGTCGTCGTTTGTTTTTCATTCTAGAGCTGACGGATGTTTGGATTGTTTTCAGTGTGGGGCTATTACAGATCGAGGTGGTGTAGAGGTTCTTATCCATGTCCTCTGATGAACGGATACCCCCATTTTTCTTGGGAGTGTATCTGGGAATGGGATTACTGGACCACAGAGTAGTCATGTTCTTGGATTCAGTAGCTGGCGACAATTTTCCAAAATGATTGTAACAATTTACTCTCCCACCTTTAAATCCTCATCAACACTTGATATTGCCAATTAAAGTTACTTTTTTTTTTTTTTGAGGCAAGGTCTTGCTCTGTTGCCCAGGCTGGAGTGCAGTGGCACGATCATAGCTCACTGCAGCCTCGAATTCGTGTATTCAAGTGATCCTCCCACCACAGCCTCCTGAGTAGCTGGGACTAGGTGTGTGCTACTATTCCCAGCTAATTAAGTTTTTTTTTTTTTTTTTTTTTTAGAGATGGGGGTTTTACTATGTTTGCCAGGCTGATCTTGAACCCCTGGCCTCAAGCAATCCTCCTGCCTTGGCCTCCCAAAATGCTGGGATTACAGGAGTGAGCCACCACGCCCAGCCTAAAGTTACGTATTTTTGATACAATATGTGCAATGGACTGAATGTTTGTGCAACCCCTCACAACAAATTCATATGTTGAGACCCTGGCCCCGATGTGATGGCCTTAGAGGGTGGGGCCTTTGAGGGGTGGTTAGGTCGTGAGAGTAGATCTCTCACGATGGGACCAGTCCCTTATAAAAGGGACCCCAGAGAGCTCTCTAAGCCCTTTTTCTGCCCTGGGAGGACACAAGGAGCTAGCAGCTGTCTTTGACAGCTCTGGGGCTTTGGCCAGGTTTCTCAGCCTCTCTGAACTTCAGTCCTAAAATGGGATAATGGCCTCCTGGGCTGTGGCGGGGATTAAGTGAGCTAGCTGGTGTAAAGCGCTTAGAACAGGCCCTAGTGCATAGCTCCTGCTCAGTAAGTGCTTGCTGTTTATTTTCCTTCCACGAGCACCTGGGATGGGGGTGGTGTCCTCAGTACTTGTCAGCAAATAGCAGTGCATTGCAGTATGAACCTGACTGGCCCTGCGACTCTAAGGATGAGGGCATCTGGTGTTAACTAAAATAACCCTCAGGCCCAGTGCAATGGCTCACGCCTGTAATCCCAGCACTATGGGAGACCGAGGCAGGAAGATTGTTTGGGGCCAGGAGTTCAAGACCAGCCTGGCCAACATAGTGGGACCTTGTCTCTCCAAAAAATTAAAAAATTAGCCAGGTGTGGTGGTGTGTGCCTATAGTCCCATCTATTCTACTTGGGATGCTGAGATGGGAAGATCCCTTGGGCCCAAGAGTTCAAGGCTGCAGTGAGCTGTGATTGCGCCACTGCACTCCAGCCTGGGCAACAGAGTGAAAAAAAAAATCTTAATAAAAGATTTTAAAGAGAGTCATCCTCACAAAATGGACATGTGGCTTAAAAATCCCCCTGTAGGGGGAAGACTAGCCGAGTAAGAAGAAAACAGCTAAGGAATGTAGAAGCCATGTCCACAATTTACAAGTTAGAAATATTTATATCATGAGCATCAGTGCTCAAAATTTATTATTAAGGTCACAGGATACACTCAGAAGTGTCTGGAATGTTCTGGTTTGGCTGACCTGTGGAGGAAGATGGGGTCATAGAACCTAGCTCTCCCAGGACTGGTTAGAGCTGTGTTCCCAGCTGGTAGTTAGTGTTCCCTGGGTGGTACTCAGGACAATTTTAACTGGTGCACCGTTCAACTTTTGTCTTTTAATTTCCGTAGTCACACATTTATTGTAATATGTGCTAGAAAAAGATAAAATAGCACATCTGTCTTTAGGCAATATTGGTGGTAAAAAAAAAAATCTCCCTAAAGACACAGGGACTTCCAGGGGGTCTGGTTGTCCTAGATAAATTGTGAAGTGATAATGTCAGCCAGGTATCAGCAAATATTTGAAAGAATGAGTTTAACCCGTTAGAACGAGAAAGTGGTTTTTTACTGCATGATCTATTGTTGATGAAGACAACTGTGGAAGGACTGGGACATGCACAGGAGTGAGGAGGGAGGGACGGAGGGGAGGGATGCTGTGTGTGCGTGCAAAGAGGCGAATCTTAGCTGGTTCTGTGAACTTTTGTTTCTTTTTCCTTTTTCTTTTTTGAGACAGAGTCTCACTCCATCACCCAGGATGGAGTGCAATGGCGCAACCTCGGCTCACTGCAACCTCCACCTCCTAGGTTCAAGTGATTCTCCTGCCTCAGCCTCCCGAGTAGCTGGGATTATAGGTGCACATCACCACGCCCGGCTAATTTTTGTATTTTTAATAGAGACAAGGTTTCTCCATGTTGGACAGGCTGGTTTCAAACTCCTGTCCTCAAAGTGATCTTCCTGCCTCAGCCTCCCAAAGTGCTCACCATGTCCGACCCTGTGACTTTTTGTTTCTCTAGAATGAGAGACCTCAAGGAAATTTGGCGGAATGTTAATATCCGTTTAATCCAGGTGGTTGGATATGTGCAATCAGTTTCATTATTAACTGCACACTTTGTGTGTTTGAAATAATTTTTAATTTAAAAGCTATTGAGGAAGTGGGTTTAGAACAGGAGTGATGTAATAACTGAAGGGGTCTAGTTTGTTATTTGGATTATTTCTCCTCAAAGTGGGTAACGCTTGAAAGGTAAGAGGGATTGGAATCACACCGTTTGGACACACACATGTTCAGAATACACAAGCAGAAGGGTCCCTTTGTCAGCCCAGGCACCTCCTCTGTGATCAGCGCTCCAGCCTTGGTATCACCCCTGTAAAAGGCCGCTTTCTCCCAACCAGAACAAGGTAACTTAGAGGCTGCCCCACGTCCCAGGAATCCTTGATTGATTAGAAACTTTGCAGCCATCATGAGTTTGGAGGACATTTGGCAGTGAATGACACAGAACCCAAAATAATGGTGGTTTAAATAAGTTATGAGTTTCCTTCCCACAGAGAGACAAAATCCAGAGGGAGTCATCATTTCCATCTCGTGGCCTAAAATGGCCATTCCAGCAGGGCGCGGTGGCTCATGCCTGTAATCCCAGAGCTTTGGGAGGCGGAGGTGGGAGAGTCACTTGAGCTCAGGAGTTCCAGACCAGCCTGGGCAAAATAACGAGACACTGTCTTTACAAAAAATGTTTAAAAATTAGCTGGGTGTGGTGGCACACACCTGTAGTCCCAGCTACTCGAGAGGCTGAAGCAGGAGGATTGCTTGAGCCCTGGAGGTAGAGGCTGCAGTGAGCTATGATCACGCCACTGTACTCCAGCCTGGGCAACAGAGTAAGACTCTGTCTCAAATAAATAAATAAATAAATAAATAAAATGGCTGCTCCAGCTCCAGCCATCACATCTGAATTCTGGCCAGCAGAAAGGAGGAGGGCTGGGAGTGGATGGCTCTCCCTCCCTTTAAGGACACTTTTACTTCCATGCTGGTATGGGCACGGCCATATGGGCATGGCATTGGCCATATCTAGCTGCAAGGGAGGCTGGGAAATGCATTGTTAGTCTTGTCGCCGGAGTGCCCAGCTAAAAGCCAGCGTTTCTAGTACTAAGGGAGAAGGGGTGGTTGGTGATTGGACTACAGCAATCTCTGCTTACAGTGCTGTGGGGGTGGGGAGCCCTCCTCCCGAGGAAGGTCTCAGCGTGTTGCCGTTCCACCACGTTCCCACCACCCTGGAGCTCAGTGGAGGATCTGGGGCCTATGACCGTAAAGTTTCATTAGGGCAAGTCTGCTTCGCCCAGCACATGGCCCTCTGCTAGGACTAGGACAGTCTTCGGAAAGATTCACGAGATGAAAGGAAGGTGGTACTTGGGGGAGACCACTGAGTTGGGGAGCAGGGGTGACAGTCACAGGCTTGGAGCCCAGTGGCTGGGTCCCAGCTGTGCCCCGTGCTAATCACTCTCAGAGCTGTTGCTCGGAGGAAGTCATGACGCCTCTGCTAAAAGTTGCAGCTGCCCCAAAGGGTGGCCAAGAGGTTAGGCCTATGCCTAGCTCAGCTCCGTCCTCAATAAACACTGTGGAGAGGCAGCAAAACTCCCACCGAAGACTGAAGCTGCCCTCCTCTCTCAAGACAACTACGAAACCACTGTTTCACAGGATCCAGCACTTAGGACATCAGTGAATGAGACCTCCCTCCCTCCCTTCCTTCCTTCCCTCTTTCCTCTCCACCTTCCCTCCCTCCCTCCCTTCCTCCTACCCTTCCTCCCTCCTTTTCTGTTTCTTAACCTTTTTTTTTTTTTTTTTTTGAGACAGAGTCTGGCTCTGTTGCCCAGGCTGGAGTGCAGTGGCGTGATCTCGGCTCACTGCAACCTCCGCCTCCCGGGTCTAATCTCTTGCTTCAGCCTCCTGAGTAGCTGGGATTACAGGTGTGCACCACCACACCCGACTAATTTTTATATTTTTAGTAGAGACAGGGTTTCACCATGTTGGCCAGGCTCTTCTCAAACTCCTGGCCTCAAGTGATCTGCCCACCTTGGCCTCCCAAAGTTCTGGGATTACAGGCGCCTGGCCTATTTCTTAACTTTCTTATTTCTGCTGAAACATCTATCTGTCTGTATCTATCTATCTATCTATCTATCTATCTATCTATCTATCTATCTATCATCTATTTCTCAGAGTATAAAGGGAACTGATCTGAAATGTACAGCTTGATGTGATTTCCATGTGTGTACCCAGGAAACTGCTACCCAAATCAGGATAAAGCACATCTCCAACCCCAAGAAGGCTTCCCCAGAAGGCGCGTCCCCCTGCCACATCCCAGTCAGTAGCACCCACCCCTGCTGGGGGGGGTCCCTGCTATTTTGACTTCTCTCCCTATAGAGGGATTTCTCTCTGGAATTTCCTACACATGGAAACATGTGGCGTGTGCCTTTCCGCAGCCGGCGTCTGTGGCTCCCCACAGTGTCCACGAGACTCATTCATGTGCGTAACTGTGCTGCGTTCTTTACTGTTGCCATATAACCTCCCTCAATGTGAACAGACCGCAGCTCACTTAGCCATCTTTGGATGGATTTCCTGTAATGGGCAACTACAAATGGAGTTTCTAGAAACATTCTTGTATATACCTTTTGGTAGACATAGAAGGAGTAAATTTCTTCTTATTAATAGTAAATTTATTGAAGTAAAACCAATTGGGCCAGCTTAGAAAAAGTTAAGTAACTCGGGGTAGGACAGAGGCATACACATGGCAAAGGTGTTGGGGTGCCCAGATGCCAGAGGTCTGAGGAGCCCTGAGGTGGGGCAGGGGCAGGTGCTCTATGCTGAGTTTGCACCGTGTGGCCGGGTTCTGTTACATGCAGCCCAGTGGAATCCTGACTAGTGAAGCTACAAAACAGATGTGAGCTCACTGGGCTGGGGCTTAGCCAAAATCTTGCCCCTTCCTAAGGATCCTTCTCTAGCCCCCGACTCTCCCTGCTTCGCATTCAGCTGCCTCATTCAGCTGGGGAGGGTGCAGGCAGGCGAAGAAACAGAGGAGGCCTCCAATTCTGGCTTCCCAACAAGGAGCGCTTAATGAGGCAATTAAGCAGAACTATTTTCTCTTTATCTCCCTCTCCATCTTCCCACAGCCTGTCAGAGCACAGGAGCCTGGAGGGCCATTGAAGAGGAGAGGAGCCTGTACGCCCTGTTTCAAGAACCTGAGAGCTGGGCTCAGAAACGGGCAGCGGCTGGACCAAGGTCACACAGCAAGTTGGTTGCTCAGCCAGAGTCAGCACAGGGCGGGGTGAACTCCAAAGCCCCGGGGCCCCAGTGAGGGGGTAGCATGAGCCAGGTGGAGACTGGGGCAAGGTAGAAACCTCCAGGGCTAGCCAGAGGGAGTGGCCACGATGCAGCATCACTGGACTGTAGCCATATGGGGGGCGGGCACAGGCCTGAGTAGTGAGGGGGATCTTCCTGGCCTGCCTTATACTCGTGTCCCCACAAAATCCCCCTACAGCCCAGGAGTCACAGGTACCGCCTGGGGGGTCAGCACCGTCCATGCACAGTGTGTGTGTTGTGCACTGTACAAAGGCACTCACTGAAGAGGCAGTGGGGGTGATCCCAGGCCTTGCTTGACTACTCATCCTGGAAGAACTGATTTTCATAATGTATCCACCCAAAGGGCTCTTTTTTCTTTTCTTTTCTCTTCCTTTCTTGCTCTCTTTCTTTCTATATGGCCTTGCTCTGTCACTCAGGCTGGAGTGCAGTGGTGCAATCATGGCTTGCTGCAGCCTCAACCTCCCAGGCTCAGGTGATCCTCCTGCCTCAGCCTCCCGAGTAGCTGGGATTACAGGTATGTGCCACCACACCCAACTAGTTTTTAAAATTTTTTGTAGAGATGGGGTCTTGCTCTGTTGCCCAGGCTGGTCTTGAAGTCCTGGGCTCAAGAGTCCTGGACTCTTGGTGTTCCCAAATGCTGGGATTACAGGCCTGAGCCACCGCGCCCAGCCTGGGGCCTCTTTTTTCTAATTCCCGCATGGTGCTGGGTCAGTTTGCGACCCCTAAGAAGCAGATGCCCAGGTGAGATTAGACATGCAGGAGGCTGACTGGGGGAAAGGGCTCTGGGGGGAAAAGGAACGGCGAGGGGGAAGGGAAATCCTTCAAGCCGTCGTGCTGGGCCAGCCCCTGTGCAGGAGAGAGGGAGGGAATGAAGTTGGAGTAGGAGGAGCTTCAGGCTGCAGACAGTTCTAAGGTTTTTGCCCCGGCCAATGGGGAGTCCTGAGGCCAAGATCCCCTCCCGGAGGGTCCCGCATGGCGCTGGGATGGACCTGCCTTTATTTCCCTTCCTGCTTGCTCAGTGGCAGGAAGCACCCATGGGGAGCTTGGCGTAACGCAGGTGCAGGTGATTTAGAGCCCGGCACCTGCCATACACGCCCCGAGGGGGCCACTTGCAAGGTCACCACATGTGCCCATGAATATGTTATTTGCTAGTAGACAAAGTAACTACTATGTTAGTTATTTGCTGGAGGCACCCCTGTGCGGGAAGACAGAGTTGGAAACAGTCTTTGTACAAGCCTAAGAGTTCTTTGAGGCAGGGTAGCCGTGCAAGCAGTTTTGCATTCTGTATCATAATAAATCTGAAATTGTTGGCCGGGTGCGGTGGCTCACGCCTGAAATCCTAGCACTTTGGGAGGCTAAGGCAGGTGGATCGCTTCAGCTCAGGAATTCAGCTCAGGACTTTGAGACCACCCTGGGCAACATGGTGAAACCCTATCTCTACAAAAAATACAAAAATTAGCTGGGTATGGTGGCATGTGTCTATAGTTCCAGCTGACTGGGGATCTGAGGTGAGAGGATCATGTGAGCCCAGGAGGTTGAGGCTGCGGTGAGCCGTGATTGCGCCACTGCACTCTAGCCTGGGTGACAAAGTGAAACCCTGTCTCAAAAACATAAAAATAAATAAATACATCTGAAATTGTTGCAACATAAAAATCGTTTTCTCGCTGTTGTCCTTGAAACTTTCCCTACGCTATGGTATGTCGGCCTTCTGCCCGAGGGGGGTACATGGTCTTGTACAATGTATCTGTTTCTCATTGTTGTGTGACACATTGCCACAGACTTAGTGGCTTAAAACAACACCCATTTATTCTCTTACACTTATGGAGGTCAGAGGTCCAAAATGAGTCTCATGGGATTAAAATCAAGGGTTGACAGGGCTGGTTCCTTCCAGAAGCTCCAGAGGAGGATCTGTTCCTTGCTTCTCCCAGCTCCTGAGGCCACCTGCATTCCTTGGGCTGTTACCCCTTTTTCCATCTTAATCATCAACATAGCACGTCTGTCCTCTCTGAACTGTCTCCCTTTTATAGGGCCCTGTGTGATTCTGCTGACCCATCTGGATAACCCAGGGTCATCTCCCCGGCTCAAGATCCTTAACAGAATCGCATCTGCCAAGTCCCTTTTGCTAGGTGAGGTCACATACTCAGATTCCAGGTGTTAGAACGTGGGTGTCATTGTTCAGCCTTTAGGCATTAGGAGATGTCATTATTCAGCTATCACATCAAATAAGAAAACTGGGGAGGTAGAAACAGTCCCTGGCTGGGAGGGAGTCCCAGACGAGCCATGTGACTCCCGCATGCCCCTCTGTCTCTTGGGGCTTGGTGCAGGCCTGCTCCTTCTGGGAGTCCACAGTTCCTGCTCCTATGTGGGCAGCATCCGTTCTCCTGTTGCTGGTACCAGCTTCCCTCCTGCTCTCAGACCACCTGCCACAGGCCAAGCTGACCATCCTCCCCTCCTCCCCAGCTCAAGGATGGGTAAGGGGCCCAAGCCTGGCTCATCAGAGTGGTTCATGACCTTGGCCAGGCCACCAAGAGCTTCACCTGAAATTCAGCATGGGACCAAGAGTATCAGAGAAGCTCTCTTTCTTCAAGGGGCTGGGACAGAAGAATGAAGACTTAGAGCTGCTGGTGGTCATCCTACCTCCAGGTAGGAAGATCCTGCTTGAGAGTAAAATCTACACAGGAAAAAATAGACTAATAAATAGAAAAAGGCCAGTGCCTATTGACCTGGAGCACCTGGATCCAGCTGTACCTGAAGCTACCTCTGCCCTGATAGTTTCAGATACTGAGATAATAAATCCTCCCTTTGGTTTAAGGCAGCTTCAGTTGAGTTTGTAATTCTTGCTACTCAGAGTCTTCTCTGGTACTCCCTCCTCCAATTTTGGACACCCAGCCCCATGCCTCAGAATTAACAAACTGTTTTTTTGCGTAGGCAACAAGCTCCTGTCAGCCTCCCTTGCTTTCCTTCCTCTCCTCTCTTTCCCCCTGTCAGCTGTGCTATTGGGTGATACATCCTAATGTATATTTAACAGTGGCTCAAAATCGAATTAATTTAGATTGGTTAATAAACTGTAACATCCGTTTCTAAATCAAGCTACATTTTCCTCTTGAGCAACTAAATTCATGCCCGTTGGTTTAATTTGTTGCTATTGTAATCCTTTAACGCTGATGAAATTATGGAGCGGTTTCTAGTGAAATTATCCAGATTTGATTAGGGTTTGAACATATTAATATTTTTCCTTCTGAGTAGTCTTCAGAGAGAGACTGGCTGAGGGTGTGCAGGTCCCATGGGCTGGGAGGGTGGGGAGTGCCACCTCAGAAAGCAGATTCAGTCTGTCCCTCTTCAGATAATCTTCTTCTTAAAAAATATTTTTAATTTTAATTTTAATTAATTAATTTTTTTTGAGATAGAGTCTCGCTTCGCTTGTCACCCGAGGTTGGAATACCATGACGCGATCCAAGCTCACCGCAACCTCCACCTCCTGGGTTCAAGGGATTCTCCTGCCTCAGCCTCCTGAGTAGCTGGGATTACAGGTGCCCGCCACCATGCCTGGCTAATTTTTGTATTTTTTAGTAGAGATGGGGGTTTTACCATGTTGCCCAGGCTGGTCTCGAACTCCTGGCCTCAAGTGATCCGCCTGCCTCAGCCTCCCAGGTGCTGGGATTACAGGCATGAGCCACTGCGCCCCATTTTTATTTTTTAGAGACAGGGTCTTGCCATGTTGCCCAGGCTGGTCCCGAACTCCTGGCTTCAAGTGATCCTCCTGCCTTGTCCTCCCAGAGCACTGGGATTACAGGTATGAGCTGTGACACCTGGCCCTTTGGGAAAAAAAAGTGCATTTATTGAGTACTGACTGTATGCACAGTCCTGGATATGAACATTCTCAATGGAGAGTCTGCCAGAGAAGGTTCTGGGCTCCTAAGTGGCAGTTGTTCCAAACGGATAGCTGGAACACAGTGGGTCCCCTCCAGCTTTGCCTCCAAACCCACCTCCAGTTGCAATGGAGCCTTCGCTGTCTGTTCATCATAAACCGGTGCTGGGTAGGAAGAAGATGCTCACACGGAAGTCACTTTAACCTTGGCTTTGACCCTGGAGGATTTCCTCCTGACTAAGAGCCCCTCTCCGAGACCCCATGGTGATCTGGAACAGTAGAGGCTGGGGAGAGGAAGACTGAGGGCCAAAGCTCCATGCAGACCCTGCCAGGAGGAGCAAAACCCAGGCCAGCGGCCTCCCTCTGCTGCCTCTATCCCGCCTCCTCCCTGTGGAGCTTACTCCCCCCTCACTGCCTGCTAATTCCATTTGTTCTGGAATGTGCCAGGCCTCGCCCCAAACAGTACATAAGCACCGAGGAATCTGAAGTGCGTTTCCAGGTTCCCTCCTTCAGGAAAGAGAGGGCCAGGCAGGGTCTAGGAGCTAAGACTGGAGTGGATAATGGCAGGCACAGAGAGGCCCCCAAGGAGGCTCCGGTTTCCAGCCAGTACATGGGGCCAGGGACCCCAGGCCAGCCTGACCTGCCCTCTACTCACTGCCGCTCTGGCTGGCGATTCCTGAGCATGGCACAGTTATCAAGAAGGGGCTGCCCTCCTTTTCCACTGAGTGAGGGATGGAGTAACTGCTCCTTGTGTTGCCAAGGGACACGCTGGATGCCCTTCGGATGTGCAGATGGCCGGGGCCAAGTCCCTCTGCCAAGCCTTTGCTGAAGCCATTTCCTCTGCAGGGCCTGACCTTCCCCAGCCTCCTGCCCGCTCCCCTTCACCCCACACTCAGCCGTCAGGGCAGAGCCAAATCCTCCTCCTGGAAGAACGCACTCGCCCAGCCCACAGTGCTTCCCCGCTGTAGAACCCACCACACATGGTCACTCCAGAGCTGAGAACTGGCTTCCTCACAGCCAGCTCCCCCGGGGCCTGCAAATTCAGTGAAAGCAGGAGCCCCCTCCCCAGCTGCCACAATGTCTAACTCAGAGTTTGTCCACTGGTGGGCCACAAATGTGCTTAGCTGCTCTTGCACAGAGATTCATTATTTTTTAAAACATTAACTGGCATCATTTAAAAGGTAGGATGTTTCACATTAAAAATCTGGGCTCTGTTAAAAAAATCAGATCTGGGCTGGGCATGGTGGCTCACGCCTGTAATCCCAGCTCTTCGGGAGGCTGAGGCAGGAGGGATCACTTGAACCCAGGAGTTTGAGACCAGCCTGGGCAATATAGCGAGACCTCCACTCTACAAAAAACAAAACAAAACAAAAATTAACCAGGTGTGATGGCATGCGCCTGAGGTCCCAGCTACTCAGGAGGCTGAGGTAGGAGGATTGCTTGAGGCTGGGAGGTTGAGGCTGCAGTGAGCCGTGATCGTGCCACTGCATTCCAGCCTGGGTGACAGAATGAGTAAGACCTTGTCTAAAAAAAAAAATAAATAAAACAAATAAGTAATCAGATCTGGTGACCCCGGGCCCTGCATTCTTATGTGACAATTGTTGGAAACTGGCCTTTAGATGTGGCAGGCACTCCCTCTGTCATGGTCACTTCACTCCACTCCCTTCCAGTCCCTATCGCCGTGCCCCAGCAGCTCTGCTTGTTGACGCTGCCTGTCTTGCCTCTAGCCTCCGAAAGTGCTGGGATTACAGGCGTGAGCTGCCACGCCCGGCCGCAAGTAGGAGTTCTAATGAGGACACAAGTGGAACGCTAAGTGAAAAGGACTTTCTCCGTCCTGGAGACTGCAGGCGTGGAGCGGGGAGGAGGGGTGAAGGGAGACCAGGTTTGGAAACCAGGTGGTCAGCGGTCCAAATCCTGGCTCTCCCGCTCATTGGCTGTATGACCTTGGAAGTGTGCTTAGCGTCTCTGAGCCTCAGTTTCCTCATCTTGAATATGATTTTGAGCCTTCGACCCCCTGTCTAGTCCTTTGTGTCCCTGGCCCCCTAGCCATGCCTGGCACACAGGAGACCCTCTACGTGCAGCAATCCTTGCAGCAACCTTGCAGGACACAGTTCTTCATATTCAAGAACTGAGATGGAACATCTCCGTTTGTAAGCGTTGTCCACACACTCCAATGTGCACAGAATCCCTCTGGGATTGAATGGAGAAGCTGCTCCATGTCGCTAAGCTCCGCCCTCACTGTAAAGCCTGGTTTTTGTCACTGATTGCAGAGGTCAGACTCTACCTGGGGTGGCCTGGTGTCTGTGCTCACTGTTCTCAGGGAGGGGTGCTCAGGAATGTCTCAGATGGGTCAAGGGTGCTACATGGGGTCCCCAGTATTACCAGTGCCCAGGAGGTATAGGACAGCAACCTCCAGCAGCCAGAATCCCGCCTCTCCCCTAAGCACACACTATCTCCAAGCCCTTTCCTCATGGTGTGGGTTATTCACCATTCATTAAAAAAGAGAAAATAATCAACAACCTATTACGTACCAGGCACCATCAAAAGCCCAACGTCACTTCCAAAACAAAATCAGAAATGATTCCTAGCTTTCGAAAGACGAGTTTTTCCACCTTCCAGAATGTTAGCACCAGGCAGGCAGGGATGCTGCTTGTCTAGTTTCCTGCTGTCTCCCAAGTGCCTAAAACAGAATCCAGCACACAGTAGGTGCTCAGCAAATGTTTGTTGAATGACTGCACAACAGTATAGTAGTAGCATCTTCTCAGGCTTTCGCTGTTGGGAATTCTGTAGTAGGAGCCCCTATGCGCATTCCTCCTTTAGGGATAAGGCAACTGAGATGCTGAGAGGCAAAGACATGGGCCAGCATTAGCCCAGCTGCTCTGAGTGGGGCCAAGAGTAGAGCTTAGGCTTCTTCTGACGCCAGCTGAGGAACAAAACCCTCTCTGTCTTCTCAATCTCCTTGCCAGCCTACAGCTTGAGATTTTTCACACAGTGGATTTTCAGAGCCTACGGTCGGCATCTAATGAACAAATACGCGGGTGGGGACTGAATACCTCTTGCAAGAATCTCATCTCAGCCCTTCAAGGCCACTCTGGGAAGCTTACTTCTTGGAAGAGGACTTATCTCTTCCTTCCCAAAAGAGCTGCATTCTAAATCCAAACAGCCGTGGAGTAGCTGCTCCTGGAAGGATACTTCAACATCCATGAAATGTAATGATGTCCTCAAGTGAAATATTTCAACAGCGTGCTCAGGAACCCAACAAAAGAACATAGGTTTAGGGGAAATACACAGACACGCACACACACACGCACACACACCCCAAATTCTTTCCTTAAAACATAAGCTGGAAGGATTTTATCTGCTCTCACAGGGAAAACTCAAGAGGTTTAATTTAAAACTTGGGCGGGCTTGTGGTTTTTCAATGGGGTGATTGTTCCGTAGTCAGGGAATGAGATAATAAGAAAATGTTTTTGAGCCAGTGTTTGGTTTGGCTTCAGAAATTCAAACCAGCCTTCTTCTGAGAGCTGTCGGGCCTCGTGCATAGTTCAGGCTGGTATCTACCACCGTCAGGAACCCAGATTTGTGATAACATTTATGCGGCCAAAGACTTCCAAGGGAATGCAGGCCGAGGGGTGCCTTGTGCACTTGGGCACAGCAGAGCTTGGTTGAAAAAGGCAGGTCTCTAACCTGGCTGCGCATCACCCCGTCTCCAGACACCCAGACCCTTAGCAATCATGTAAAATATGGGCTAAGGCAGGCTGGGTGCTGCGGCTCACGCCTGTAATCCCAACACTTTGGGAGGCTGAGGCGGGTGGATCACTTGAGGCCAGGAGTTTGAGACCAGCCTGGCCAACATGGTGAAACCCCATCTCTACTAAAAACACAAAAATTGGCCAGGCGCCGTGGCTCATGCCTGTAATCCCAGCACTTTGAGAGGCTGAGGCGGGCGAATCACGAGGTCAGGAGTTCAAGACAAGCCTGGCCAACATGGAGAAACCCTGTCTCTACTAAAAATACAAAAAATTAGCTGAGCATAGTGGCGGGCGCCTGTAATCCCAGCTATTCGGGAGGCTGAGGCAGGAGAATTGTTTGAACCTCAGGAGACAGAGGTTGCAGTGAGCCGAGATCAAGCCACTGCAGTCGAGCCTGGGCAACAGAGTGAGACTGTCTTAAAAAATAAATAAATAAATGAATATATACATAAAAATTAGCTGGACATATGGGCGCATGCTTGTAATCTCAGCTACTCGGGAGGCTAAAATATGAGAATCACTTGAACCCAGGAGGTGGAGGTTGCAGTGAGCCAAGACCATGCCATTGCACTCCAGCCTGGGTGACAGAGTGAGACTCCGTCTAAATATATATATATATATATATGGGCTAAAGCAGACATAAGGGTAATCTGCCATGATCTGGAAGCCCCATAATGAGACAGCATCTTTTGATCTGTCCTCAGCAAGGTTCATCAGCCTCCTGCTATCTGCATCAACCCACTGGAGGGGAAGCCTGAACTGCTCTTCCCCAGCCCACATCTCCCCAGCATCCCCTGGGGGCTTTTGATATGGATTTTACCAGGTGGAAATGAGCAGAAGGACATTGCAAATGGAGTGGGCTTGTTTTTTCCCCACTGCTTTGCCTCTTTTGGTCTGCTTTGGGCTCTCTGGGGAAAATAACTGTTGCTGATGGAAACAGGAATTCCTAGAGCCCCAGTTTGGGGTTAAGGTGATGTAGGGCAGGCAAGCCCCAGAATCAGGGCTTAGCCTGGGAGGGTTCTTGGCTCCACCCAGGAAAGAATTCAAGGGCAAGCTGGTGGTGTTTGATTGCAGCCGCAGTGCAGGGCAGCAGCAGAGGCACTGGGAGATCGGGCAGTGTGCCCAGAGCAGCAGCTCAGAGGCAGCCCTGCAGTCTCCTTTATACCCACTCCTAATGATATGCAATTAAGGGGTGGGTTATCCAGACACTTCTAGAAAAAAGGTGGTAACTTTTGAGTCATCAGGTCATTGCCATGGAAAGGGGTGATAACGTCCAGGTGTTGCCATGGCAATGGTAAACTGACATGGCACACTGGTGGGTGTGTCTTATAGAAAGTTGCTTCTGCCCTGCTCCTATTTTAGATAGTCCTCAATTTGGTCCAGTGTCTGAGCTCTGCCTCGAGTTGAGTCCTGCCTCCTACCTCAGAGGGAGATCAGGTAGGAAGTTTTAGTGGTATTTGCTCCTGGAGTACCAAGCATTTCAGGGGAGAGCCTCTCATTCATGGGCGGCTGGGCTGGAAGGGGGTTTTGAGTGGAATCACTCGCTGCACAGTCTTCTCCAGGGGGATTCTCTAATTTCAGGTGACCCATGCCCCTCTTGAGAATAATGTTGATTGACATTCTGGTGTTCTGCCCCAGGAGCCTCCACCTGTGTCTAAAGAGGTCAGCTAATGGCTTCCAGCAGGGGCAGGTGACACTTGTGCTCAGCTCCTCTCAAAAATGACTCACCTCTCCTTCTGCACCTGGCATTTGAGTCTAGAGGTCTGAAGACCCGCAAAGGGTCTTCTCTCATCATCCCAGCCCTACACCTCAACTTAGCTTAGGACTGGCCCTCATTCAATGCCCACCTCTGACCCTAACCCCAACCCACCAAAGCCGGTCCTTGATCAAGACCTGAGCCCTCTGTGAGGCCTGAGAAGCTGGAGGGAGGTTTGGTCCTGTGATGCCCCTGGGACGCCTCATCCAGCACGTCCTGGCCAGCACAGCATCTGCCATTCACACTTACACCTTGGACAGCTCCCAGGGATCTGCTCCCAGGTCCATGGGCTGCCATCTGCCAGACTGTCACATGCTTCGTCCTCTGTCGGTTTGCCCTCCAACCAGGCCTCAAGCACTCTCCCTCTTACCACCATTCCTCCAAAAAAATTTTTTTTTAAAGATTATGCTTCCAGCCAGGTGCAGTGGCTCACACATGTAATCCTAGCAATTTGGGAGGCTGAGGTGAGAGGATCACTTGAGCCCAGGAGTTCAAGACCAGCCTGGGCAACAAACATAGTGAGACTCCATCTCTACAAGAAATATACAAAAATTAGCTGAGCGTGGTTGGCATATGCCTACAGTCCCAGCTACTCGGGAGGCTGAGGCAGGAGGATCGCTTGAGCCCAGGAGGTCAAGGCTGCAGTGAGCTATGAATGCACCACTGCACTCCAGCCTGGATGACAGAGTGAGACTCCACCTCTAAATGAAAATAAAAATGAAAAAAGAGAGAAGAGAAGGGGTGTATAATCAAAAGCAACAAGCCTGAGGCTGCAAGGTGCGTGGTTCCCAGACAATGGAAACTGCCGTGGGCCATGACAGCCCCCAGCTGATCCTGTACCTGGAGGGGACGGTTTGGGGGTATGACAGAGTACGGGGTGCACCTTGGGAGCTGGCTGTGGAACTGCCACTTGGAGAGTGGGGGGCTGCCCTGTGAGCCTGCCAGGGCTTTCTCCCCAGCCATTCAGCCTCCTTGGGTCCTCTGCCCCAGCCTGCCTTCCTGGCCGGTCAGGGTGCTGAATAACTCCAGTAACCATGAGAACACCTCCCACTTGCGGAAGCCTCCCTTTATTTGTTGGCTAGGGCTGGCGTAACTAATTAAGCCACAAGCTGCGTGGCTTAAAACAACAGAAATGCATTCTCTCAGTGTTCTGGATGCCAGAAGTCAGAAATCAAGGTGTCCACAGGGCGGTGCTTCCTCTGGAGGCTCTAGCGGAGGAGCCTTCCTGCCCCTTCCAGCTCCTAGCAGCTGCCCGCAACCCCGGACCTTCCTTCCTTGACGCAGCTGCGTCACTGGCTGGCTGTCCTTTGTGCGTCATCTGTTTTTATAAGGATACCAGTCACTTCATTTAGGGCTTGCCTACTCCAGTGTGACCTCATCTTAACTTGGTTCCATCTGCAAAACCCTGTTTCCAGATAAGATCACATTCACAGGTTCAGGGTGGACATGGATTTGGAGAGCGGGGATGATATTCACCCCAGTAAACTCCCCAAGGGCCTGCACTGGGTGAAATACATTCCCTGTTTCCCCACATAATCTTCACAGCAGCCTGTGAGGCAGGTGCAGTCAGTTCCCACTGCATGGATGAGGAAACTGAGGCTCACAGAGGCTGAGCATCAAGTGCCCAAAGCTGCACAGGCTGGGGGAGGAAAATGGCTTGGAACTAGATAAAGGTGAATGGATTAAATACCACTGAACTGTACATGCTGCAAGGGTTAATTCTATGTCATGTGAATATTACCTGGTAAAAAGTGTTCTATCTTGGTACCTTTCCACTGTCTAAAATCCACGCTGCTAGAGGGAATCTGTGGTCTTGAGATGTGAAACCCATCATCGAGCCACTTCCTGTGGTGGGAGTCTTTGTGTCCGGGAGGCCTCGGTTATAGTGCAGATGAGCTTCCTGGAAGGTGGGGACTGTGTGCTGAGCGCCTCCCTTTAATACCCAGCAAGGACTGGGTTCCCTCACTGGCCACCTGTCATTTTAGAAGGCAGAGGATATGGGTAAGTTTTGCTTAATTAATTTTGGAGGAAGGGATACAGGGAAAGTGTCAGCAATTGGGAGCTAGTTTTTTTGGTTTGTTTTTGGTTTTTTATTATTTATTTTTATTATTTATTGATTTATTTGAGACAGAGTCACTCTGTTGCCCAGGTTGGAGTGCAGTGGCGCGGTGTTGGCTCTCTGCAACCTCCGCCTCTTGGTTTCAAGCAATTCCCCTGCCTCAACCTCCCAAGCAGCTGGGATTACAGGCACCCGCTGCCATGCCCAGTTGTTAATTTTTGTATTTTTAGTAGAGACGGGTTTTCACCATGTTGGCCAGTCTGGTCTCAAACTCCTGACCTCAAGTGATCCACCCGCCTCGGCCTCCCAAAATATTAGGATTACAGACTTGAGCCACTGTGCCCGGTCTGTTTTTGTTTTTTTAGAGACAGGATATTGCCCTGTCACATTGGCTACAGCGTAGTGGCATGATCATAGCTCACTGCAACCTTGACCTCTGGGGCTCAAGGGATCCTCCTGCCTTAGCCTCCCTAGTAGCCAGGACTACGAGTATGGAACACCATGTCCAGCTAATGTTTTTAAAGTTTTGTAGAGACAGGGTCTCACTATGTTGCCCAGGCTAGTCTTGAACTTCTGGGCTCAAGCAATCCTCCTGCCTCAGCCTCCCAAAATGCTGACATTACAAGTGTGAGATCCAGCCATGGCCAGGATCTTGAAGTTCGTGTGTTTGTCCTGCACTGGCCCCTCTAGCCCATTCCTGGCCTCACTCCGTGCACGCCCCCAAGCCCCTCACCGGCCTGCTGGGAGAGCTGGGGTCACTGTTGAACAGTCAGCCCCAGAAGCCTAGCTCCCTATGTATCTGCCGAAAGGCCTGATACAGCAGTAGCTCAATTTTATTGATCTTGTCAAAAGCAGTAACTCAAGAAAGCTATTTAAATTCACGGGAGGAAGCCACAGCAATTATCCACGTCTGCATCAGATTCTTCATCATTTTTGTTATTGGCTGTGGAGCCTGGAGACATTCTGTGTGCGGCTGACGCGGCAGCGAGGGGACCGCTGAGGGCTGAGGTTTTGTTTGCAGCCCAGGAAAACAAATACCATAATCAAGAGTTCGCCGATATAAATCTATATGCATAAAGGTTTACAGGGTATTCCCACGGGGACGCACGGGCACCCAGTGGTTTAGATTCATTTTGTCCCTAATCCCAGCCAAATCCCGTCAGCCTATTCCTGCAGCTCCTGTTTTAGTGCATAAAAACATTGCGATGTGTGATGGAGCAGGTGATTTTTTTTTGCAGTCTTTCCCCCATAGTTAAACTTTAATGAAAGATTAAATCACAGTGGAATTTGAGTGACAAGCAGATGAGATCTGTGGCAGGCACCGTGAGTCTGGCTGGGTGGGCTATGGCAGGGACTGGGGAAGATGACCCCACCTGCCCACCACCAGAGTGCCTCGGACCTCAGCAGATGGCAGCTCTCTGGATTGGGGTCATGATTAATTCATCTCTTAATCCCTGGCACCTAGTAAGTGCCTGGTACACAGCAGGTGCCCCAGTGAATAATTGAATGAATGAATGAATGAATGAGCTGGCTGAGTTGCCTGCTTTAAATTGTTGTTTGCCAAACAGTTGCTCCTGGATATCCTGGTGTCATGATATTTTCTGTCTGTGCTGGACATCTTTAGTGTGTCACTCCAGGCCCAATCTTCACTCTGTTCATCTAGGCCTGTTGGCTTCCAGCCCTTGGGTGTCCAGCTAGAGGTTGGAAGCAGGTAGAGAAAGAGGCCAGGGGGTGTTTACAGCCCCAGTTCCTCTCTGCAATGTCCCAGGTTGGCTGCATCCCTCCAACAAAGGATAGGGCTCCTATGGGGTGGTCCTCTCTTACAGCCACCCTCTTCAGGTTCTGGTAACTTACCTTCAGGTGTGGTGATAGCTCCTCACTGTTGCTACTGGAGGGGAAGGGCTTCTCTACCCCCTGCTCACACCTTTGCAGATAATTGATTAGTTAGCGCTTCTCCATTTCCTGTGTCAGCATACCCTCCTCTGTTTTCTAGTGGGATCCTAACTGATAATGCATCTAAACTACTGTTTTCTTCTTCTAAAATCAACTCACATGCTTTTACTCAAGTACCAACTTGAGCCGTGAGAGCCAGCAATTCTCAAAGTGTGGTGCCACACCAGTAACCTCAGCATCACCTGGGAGCTTGTTAGAGATGTAAACTCAGGCCCACCCTGGACTCACTGAATCAGGCATTCTGATGTCGGGGGGAAGCTCCCTGTGTTCTCATAAGCCCCCTAAGAGATTTGCACACATTCTCAAGTGTGAGAACCACTGGTCTAAGTAAGAATTCCAGCAAAATCAAAGGTTTGGATTATGTGTGGTCCGTGCTACCGGATGCCTTCCCAACACCCACTCTGCCCCCACCTTCCTCACTAATAAAACCCTAATTTTGTTCAAGATAGTTTGAATCCCACCTTTTCTAGCTTCCTCTGCAAGTAGGGGTTGCTCCACGACACAGCTCTGGCCAATAAGATGTAAGTGGATGTCCTTGGGTGGGGCTTCCATAAAAGCTCTTTAAAAGGTGAAAGTGGGTGGGTGGCAGTGCAGGAAGCTAGTGCAGGTCTTTTGCCCTATTCTCTTTTTTCTCTTCCTGCCTGGAATCTAGATGCAATGCTGGAGGTACAGCAGCCACTTTGTGACCATAGGTGACTATGAGGATTAAAGGGGTAGAAAAGGGCCTGGGTATTCATGGAGTGATGGGGCTACCTTCCCAGCCTTGAACAGGCCACCTCCAGATGTCTTGTTAAGAGGGAAACAGAAACCTCTTATTTGGGTAAGCCACTGTTATTTGGGTTTTCTGATATATGCAGCCAAATGCAATTTCTAGTTAAAATAAACACACAACTATGACAAGAAGTGGTCATCTGTGTGTCCCACTGCCAACAGCCTCACAGGCCATGAAACCCTGCTTGAACTGAAGGGTCATCATTGAAGGCGAGATTCCACTCCAGACTGGCACACAGAGGCTTGCCTGTCAGAGCTGGCTCTGAGCAGATGCAGGATTTATGACTTTGTTTATACTTGCATCCTTGCAAAAGAGGATCTGAAGACAACTTCAAGTCAAGTTAAACTAAAATTAAAGCAGGAGAAAGATTAAGGAGACCCAGGAGGTCTCAAATGACATTTTAAAAATTGTCATTATCATTGTCATCAATCTCAAAATCTCCAGAATACTATTAACAGGGACATGCACCAGGTCCTGGAGACCCTAAAGGCACTAGCAGCCTGATCTGAACTTCCAAGGAGTTCACCGTGCAGGCAAGAGACCATGCCAAGGGTTCACTGCAGCTGGGCAATCAGGGAAGACTGCTCAGAGAAGGTGTCATTTGTGCCGGTAGCTAGGGGAAGAGAGAATGCCCATTGATGGAATATCTGCCTGTCTCAGGCACTGCATCAGAGGCTCCTGCCAGCTTCCAAACTGCTCTGTGAGGAAGGGATTACCACGGGGAAACTGAGGCTCAGAGAGGGAAAGTGACTTACTCAATGTCACACAGCCTATTGGGGGAGACCTTGGGCCCACTCTGAATCTTGAGTACTACAATCTGAGTCTTTCGGCATCATAGACAGGGTTTCCCCAAGGCACTGAGAGATGCCAGGAAGGGGACCCCAGCTCCAGAGAAACCACAGCCTCTCGGTGTTGCTCGGAGTGCACTAGTACCCTCCTAGGTGCTTTTAATTATCCACATTTTCCAGAAGAGAAAGCTGGCTCACAGAGGTGAAGGCACCTTCTCAGGGTGGAGGAGCAGAGCCAGGGCTCACACCCAGGGCTGTGGGGCTCCAGGGGTCTGGCCAGAGCGCACTGGGAATTCCAGGAAGGCTTCACGGAGGAGGACCAGATGTGATTGAGAAGGTGGCAGAGGAAAAGGCCTAGGCCCAGGTGCGGCAGTGGGATCACGGCAGTTCTGTGTGGCCACGTTGGCAAAGAATTAGATGTCCATTGCGTGTTTCCTATGCCACCGTCCTGAGCACTTCATAGCTATCAACCCCTTTCCTCTTCACAGCCCTGTGAGCTCGGTGCTGTTTTTGAACCCATCTTACAGAAAGAGAAGTTGAGGCAGGTTACTGTTCAACCTCTCTGTCCTCTATTTTCTAGGCATCTCTCTTCTCGCCCATTCTGCAGACAGCCAAGTGCCCCTGGCAGGATTTCTGTGTAGTTACAGGTGAGTGTGGACAGCCAGGGCAGTGCATCTGGTTGTTGAGCTCTGGCTCGGAACTTCCCAGCCTCACTGGTGGAGTCTGTGCTACGACTATGCTTTCCTCCCTTCTCCTCACCTCATGGCCCCAGACAGGGAACTCAGCCCTGCAGCAGACATCTGCGGCCCTCCCTGTCCAGACTGTTTCCTTCTAGGAGGAAAGTCCCCTTGCATGTTCCTTTGGGGAAGAATCCTTTCCTTCTCTTCACCCATGTAGTTTGGGTGGGGCAGACTCTGCCCCATTACCATGGCAATTGGTTCAGGGATAGTCCCTGTGACCAGGTCAGGCCAATAAGAACCTTCCCTGAGACTTTTGCTGGAACCACTTGGGAAAGAAGGTCTCTCTTTGCAGAGTTGCTATGCTGGTGGGATGTGCCCAGACCTGCCTGAGAGACAACCCAGTCTAGAGGAAAGCAGCACCAAGATACAGAAGGACTGATGGTGTTTGTTGAGCCCCCGAATCAAGCCATGCCTGAAGTACCCCCTAGACTTTTTAGTTACACAAAATGATAAAATTCTTTTTTTTTTTTTTTTTTTTTTTTGAGATGGAGTCTTGCTCTGCCACCCAGGCTGGAGTGCAATGGTGTGATCTCAGCTCACTGCAGCCTCTGCCTCCTCCCGGGTTCAAGCGATCCTCATGCCTCAGCCTCCCAAGTAGCTGGAATTACAGCTGTGTGCCGCCATGCCCAGCTAATTTTTGTATTTTTAGTAGAGACGCAGTTTCACCATGCTGGCCAGGCTGGTCTCGAACTCCTGACCTCAGGTGATCCACCTGCCTGGCCTCCCAAAGTGCTGGGATTACAGGTGTGAGCCACCATGCCCGGCCCAAAATGATAAAATTCTAAAAGTTGGGTTTTTATCTCTGGCTACCCACCTCTCTGTGATTCCTCTTTCCCATCCCCTACCCCTAGCCTGGATTATTTCTGGGTGCATCAAACTTTGTTAAAATTTGGGGAGAATGGAGTGGTTTCACAGCACCACGCTGCTCCACTTTTTTTTTTTTTTTTTTTGAGATTCTCCAACTTCCCTGTTTTCCAGTCTCTTCCTCTCAGCCTCTCCAGGAAACTCTAGCTCCCAGACTTTCCTATCCAGGCCCCTCCCAAGCTTGGGCTCCCCTCACATCTCCAAAGCCTCATTATGGTGTCCTGCTGAGGAGATGGCCCCTATTCCTTCGGCATGCCCTGGCCTCACAGAGGAACTGGCTTCGGGCCTTGTCCACCTTTCCCTTCCCCTTTGTGAGCAGGCTCAGGGAGCCAGAAGGTCTGAGTTCCAACGGCAGCCCCTCCCTTCATTGGCTGTGTGACCTCAAGCACGTTACTTACCCTCTCTGTGCCTCTGTAACCTGGTCTATAAAATGGGAATGCAGCTAATACCTTTTTCTTAGGGTTGCCCTGAGGCTTACTTGAGTGCATTTGTGGAAAACACTCAGCACCATACCTGTCTTGTTATATTTGTTGTTATTAGAGGGGGATGATGTAGGAATTCATGTTCCCATTGGAATGAGTTATGTCACTTCCCTTAGGAAGCAGACGCAGTTACCAGTGTGTTTGAAAGTAACTGTTCCCCTACCTCCAGCACATCAGGAGGACTTTGGAAAAAAAATTCTCTTCCTCAAATAGAAAGGAGAGATCTGGGAGGAAATGGGGGGGGGGGTCCTGTTGGGGGAACCCATCAGCACATAGGGGGAGGAGGAGGGGGCTCTGGATCGATGCCTGGGGTGGAAATACAGAGCTATTGCTGGCTTTGAGCTGGGAGAGGGGGTGCTTCAAGAGTCTGGCCTCTGGAGGGTGTGCAATGGGGCCACATTCTTGCTGTTTCTTAACAACTCCTCCAAGCCCCACGCCAGCACTGGGCAGTCGAGAAGCAGTTTCCCCTGCATGAGCTGAGCCGCTTAACAGCTGATGTGGAGATGAAAAAGAACCCAATCAAGCTAACAGCCCTTCCTGGCTGCCCTGCAATGACGGTGCTTTGTGCTGAGCCGGGGAAAATATTGGCCGTTTAAGCATTCACACTCTCTGGGGAGCAGCTGCAGAGGAGGGGCGGCTGCCCGGGCAAACTTGAGAGAACTGAAGTCACTGTGGGCTTCCGGGGGATGGGAGGTGGGGGGATTGTCACGGGCAACCTCGTTGTCCCTCTATCCCTAAAGTAACCCCATGTTCAGGGAGGCGATGCGCTCTTTACTTTGAGTGGTCTCACTGCGCCATTGTACAGATGAGGAAACTGGGGCTCAGAACAGGAGGTGACTTCCCTGAGGTCATATGGCTGGGAAGGCCTCAACACAGGCCAGATCTGCCTGACTCCCAATCCCGTGTCATTTTTGTTCTGTAGGTGACCTCCCAGAGCTGGCAGGCACAGGATGGAGGTGGGGTTGAGGCTGGAGAAGCCAGTTTGGAAGCAAAGCAGAGAAGGTTGAATCTGGGGGCTTTGAAAGTGAAACTTAGGGAGGGGACCTGGATGCAGGCAGCTGGAGGAAGAGGGTGTGTGTGTTGCGGCAGGAAGCCTGATGGCAGGGGGTGTCGGGGAGAGACAGAAAGAAACAGGAGAGATAGAGAGATGGGGGGTAGAGAGAGGAAGAGACAGGAGAGAGAAAGATACACACACAAACACACACACACACACACAGACACACACAGTGTCAGAGAGTTATTAACCTCTTCCTTGGTTCTTTGGTGTTGCCTGATGTCCTAGACCACTTCTACAGCTGCTGAATATCCACTCATTCAATTATTCATTCATGCATTCATTCAATATAGACGTATCTTTAATTGAGCACCTACTACTTATAGGCACTATGCTAAACTCTGGGAAATCTAGCAGACGACAAAACAGGCAACGGTCTGGACTGTCAGGAATGTACATTTTAGTGAGGGGGTAGGGAGACCAACAGAGACGTAAATTATAAAAGGAGGGGGAAAAATGGCAAACAGTAGAGAGAGAACCTCAGGCCCGGAGGCAGTAAGGCATGTGGGGACAGGATGCAGACTCACTGGCAGGACAGGGAGGGGCCACTTTTTATAAGGTGATCTTGGAAAGCTTCTCAGAGGAGGTGATGTTTGAGCTGGAACTCTTGTATCAGGAAAAAGCCAAGGTTCTGTGCCCAGCAGGCTGGGACTGGGCAAGCCGACCTCGGAAGCCTTTCAGATGGAGGGAGAAAGCCTGAACAGGAGCCTTCAGATGACGGCAACCAGAGCTGACCTTTCCACTGCTGGAGACCTCAAGGGAGACCCTGCGCCAGAACCTCCCAGTAAGTGCCCCCGAGATTCCAGACCCACAGAAGCTGAGAAAATACATCACTGTTCCCAGAGGCTAAGTGTGGGGGCATTTTGTTATGCAGCAATAGCTAACTCACACAAGGGCCTTCTTGGATAGAGAGCGGCTTTTTGAGGGTGAGAAAAAGCATTCCTAGATTCTTGCCAGCAGTTGGTCAAACTGTGTCACATGACCATGACTAGCCCAATCTCTGGTTAGGGGCGTGATCACCTTGGACCAATCAGGACCCTGCCCTGGAGCTGGGCCGTGGCTCCCAGGAATCACTGAGGATGCTGGATGCTGGACCCCAGCCAGGAAGCAGCAGCCAAGATACTGCCTCCTGGCCTCCAATTAATGTCCAAGCTGCCATTTATTGAGCACTGACTGTATGCCTGGGTTTTCACCCACACCAAGTTCTGGCTCCACAGTTTTCTCACCAGCAGCCCCTTTCCCTCCTCCCAGCCTCCGCACCCGCCCATCCTGCCACACTGAATGCTGTTTCTGCCCCAGTTGCCAGTTAGAATCCCACGCTTCCTTCAAGGAAAACCTCACCTTGGAGTCTGTCTCCACTTCCTGTAAGAAGCCTTCCAAGATCCCCCACGGGGACTCATCAGGCAAGGATAGGGAGTGATGTCATCCTGACTATCACGACTGCAATCTTTTCACTGCCACGGAGCTGGGGTGAAATTGCCCTAGGCGGGCAATTTTCTAGCTGTGTGACCTTGGGCAAGTTACTTAACCTTTCTGCGCCTCGCCTTCCCTGTCTCTTAAATGGAGATCATATTAGTACTTCCCTTGTTGGGTCATTATCCGAGTTAAATGTTAATACACGCAAAGTGCTCAGGATCTCGTCCAGCCCACAGGAAGCACTAGATAAGCGTTAGCTGCTGTCATTCCCCTCCCTGTTCTCTCAGTCCCCATCAGGGCTGAAGACTGACCCTGGTCCAATTGTCCTGATTTGCATGTGGCTCACTGTGGATTCACGTATGCACCCAGAGTATACCCAGGAGCACCATGGCGCCCTGGCAAACTCCACAAGACAAGCTGTCACGCTCCAGGATCACCTGGCAAATTTTCTCATGAATAAAACCGGGAGCTAAAAATGTCTCACGTTTTTCTCCACCTACAAACCCGTCAGTCTCCCCCTGCTCTACGGAGGGCACAAGGATGCACAGAATGTTCCTTAAAAGAATGGAAAAGGCATTCTGGAATCCAGGGCTAATACAATTACTCTAAAAGCATTTCTCCCCTGTTCGAAGTTAACTCGCTCCTGATGATGATAAACTCTGCCGTGCCTGGCCCTCCAGCGCGAGGTGGGGTGATGATTCTCCTAAGGAATATTTTTTCTGCCTCCCACCGGGGTCCTGGTGTTCTCTGCGCTCTGTGGCAGCCAGCATGCCAGCAGCATAAGTTTGGGGATTGCAGAAGGCGAGCGCTGGGAGGCATTTCAAAGCTGCCCGAATGCTGTCCTGGAGAAGGAAGCGGCTAGGCTGCTGTCTGCTGACCTCCTGGGTGCCTCTTCAGAGCTTTCCAAAACAAGGGCTAAAGGGAAAAGACAACACGCCCTTCACCAGGAACCCCAGGAAGATGCAGGAGTGTTTTGGCTCATTTAAGCTGGATAAGACCCAAATCCTGGAGGCTGTTCTGCAGATTTTGACACTCGGAACAATATTCTGGTTTTCACTGGGTGAGTCACTCTTGGGAGACAGAGCCGTGTTGTTAGCAGTTTCATTTTGACTTTGTGAAAACTCATGCCCTCCTTACTCCCTTTATGCCAGCCCCCAAAAAGCATCCACTGCCTGAAGTGGAGAGAGGTCTGGCTTCTCTTCGTCTGCTCGGGGGAGACTCTGAGTAGGACTTGCTTTGGAGACTGGAGCAAACTGTGGTGTGCAGAGGGTTGCTTTGTGAATTACCTGGCACCGTTGTTCAGGGAATGAGCCACAGTGCTTTGAAGGTTGGATACTCTGGAGTTCTTGGATATGCAGATGGCCAACAAAAGAAGTGCTTTATCTTCATGGCCTCGTTGGAGCTGGGAACATTCTGGACCTCAGTGCTGGAGCCTGCTTTCACTTCCTCTACTACCACAGTCTCAGACTTGGCCTGACAGGGCACTTCAGACCTTCTCCTGACCAACCAGTCCAGGTCCGACTGGTTTTCCCAAAAGTGCTCACTGCATCGCATAGAGACTGTAGTGCACATTAAAATGAATTACGTCCGGAGAATACAAGATGATCAGATATGAACCGTTTTGACTCCAACAATTATAATGGCTCTGTGCTGTGTGTCAGGGGCTATGAAACAGGCGTTAAAAAGAATGAGGTGACTGGCTGGGCACGGTGGATCACGCCTGTAATCCCAGCACTGTGGAAGGCTAGGGCGGATCACTTGAGGTCAAAAGTTCGAGACCAGCCTGGCCAACATGGGGAAACCCTGTCTCTACCAAAAATACAAAAATTAGCCAGGCATGGTGGCGTGTGCCTGTAGTCCCAGCTACTCAGGAGGCTGAGGCAGGAGAATCACTTGAACCTGGGAGACAGAGGTTGCAGTGAGCTGAGATCCTGTCATTGCACTCCAGCCTAGGTGACAGAGCAAGACTCCATCTCAAAAAAAAAAAAAATGAGGTGACTTATGTGTGTCCAGCATGAATTGATGTCTCAGACATGTTAAATGAAAAAAGCAAGTCACAGAACGATACACAGAAAATGGTACAAAATAGAAACAACAACACAAAAATTTAAAAATGAAATCAAGAACTCTTCTACAAAGAGGTGGGATATGGCATAGTAGTCCTGCGACCACTCTGCTCAAAGCCACAGTGGATTGACCTCCCTCCAACATGTGCTGGCTGCTGGCCCTGTCCCTCTCCGAGTCTCAGTTTCCCTGTCTGTGGAATGGGGATGATAAAAGTAAAAGCCTCAGAGGGTTGCTGTGGGCCCCACAAAGTTTGGGAAGTACGGGCGCCCAGCCTCGTTGACTGTGCTTATCATCTGTGCAATGGGGACAGCCTCAGGGGGCAAGGATCTCTCTCCAAAAGACATTTTGGAATTTCTCACAGCCAGTGCATGTGGATTACATGAGTACATTTTTAATAAGGAAAAAAAAAAGAAAGTTAAGGATGCTATTTCTGAAGGGAAAATATGCAGGAAGTTTTTAAGACCCTGACTCCTCACACACCCCCTCAGGGGCCGGCTTGCAGTTTAGAAGTGAGCACACGTGGGTAGCTCAGCTCTGCGGAGGAGGCTGTGGTCAGAGGCAGCTGCCTGGCGGAGGCTGGAAGGGCCCCTGGACATTTATCAAGGCCAGGATGGGGAGACATGCTGCTCCCGACCCCAGAGGCCCCACTCATGTTACCTGGCGGCTTTGAGACAGAAGTTCCTCAGCAAAGCAGGCTCCTTCCTGCCTGGCATTATGAGCAGAGATTAAGCACTCTGTTGACACACAAAGAAACAGCCCCATCTGTAAAATTCCGCAGCAGGGCGAGGCTTGTCAGGCCTTTAATACAGGGGCCTGGAGGCTCCTGAGTGTTTACTAAGAGCTCAGCCTGATGGGGATGGAGGAGAGGACTCTCTCAGTTCAGTAGCATGTTTTTACTGCGCACCTACTGTGTGCCCGGCACCATTCTAGACACTCAGGACGTGGCAGGTAGATAAATAAATGAACATGAGGATTGGAGGCAGTTGTGAGTTCTACGCAGTTGTTAAAATTGTTTGATTTGATAGAAAGTGAGGAGGTGAGGGGGTGGGGCTTACCTCTGAAGAGGTAACATCATCTGTACAGAAATCGAAATCGAGTTAGAGAACCAGCCATGGGCTTGTGTGTGGGGAGGAGCCTTCCAGCAGAGGGCACAGCAGGTGCAAATGCCCTGGGGCCGTAGTGGGCTTGGCATGGAGCTGGAAACTAGAGGTTTAGGAGGAAAACGGTGGGAACAAGGTTGGTAAGGAGGGTGGGCTAGATCACGCTGGGCCTTGTCAGTCGCTGTAGGGAATCTGGATTTCCGGCATTTACTTCCTCGTACACCGAGCACGTGAGTTTTAAGCACCAGTTATGTGCAA